>NC_000002.12:10623511-10930267 GCF_000001405.40 Homo sapiens
TATACCAAAGTTCCTTATCACCTGTACTATCTGTTCCTTTACTAGACTATCAGCTCCTAGGCAGCAAGGCCCATCTCTTCAAACACCTTTGATATCCTAGTGCAGTTTTTGATATCCCACCCTTGGTCCTGGCACAGGAAAGATGCTCACTAAGTGTTTGTGTAACAAATGTTTGTATAATAAATGACCCAGCCCCCCAAATACTCAAAACTAACAACTAATTAACACAACTATCTAGTTAAGCCCAAAAAGACAAAAATCATGGTGTGTCATTTTCATGACTGACCAACATAAATAAATGATATTTGCAAATTAAAACAACAATAAGATACTATACGCTATAAATCGATTAGAATGGCTAAAACGCAAAAACATTGACAACACCAAATGCTGACGAGCATGTGGAGCAACAGGAACTCTCATTCACTGATGTCAGAAATACAAAAAGGTCTTTATTCTTGTTGCACAGCTGTTGTTTGGGGACTTCCCTTTGCCATCATCCTGGGATTTCCCTTTACCTCCTTCCTGTGTGATCTCTGGTTTCCTAAAATCCCTGTCTTCCTCTCTGTTAGGTTATTCCCTGTTTTGGTCAGTATATCATCCAAGAGTTTCCTGACAAAAGAGATGGGAAGGTAATTTCTTTCTCCAGAAGTAGATTTTTCTTTTCTTTTTTTTTTTTTTAATTGATCATTCTTGGGTGTTTCTTGCAGAAGGGGATTTGGCAGGGTCACAGGACAATAGTGGAGGGAAGGTCAGCAGATAAACAAGTGAACAAAGGTCTCTGGTTTTCGTCGTGCCACTACACTGAAGCCTGGGCAACAGAGTGAGACCCTGTCTCAAAACAGAAAAGGACCTATCAGCCCCAAGTGGAGCAGAACAGAGGGATTTGGGAGGAATGTCCTCAGAAAAAGATATTAAAACACAGTTATCTGATGAGTTTGAAGATGTAAAAAGTTCTACTGAAAGCCATTGTACACAGCGATAGGAAGACATGCCATAGATTAAAAAAAATAATAACCTAAGCAAATCAAAATTAGGTAACAAAAGTCCAGGAAAAACAAAAGCTTATAGATGGGAAATGTAGACAGTATACATCACTTAACTTAGAAATGAGCCATCATCGAAAATAATAAAAACACTGATTATGAATTTAAAAAAAAAAAGAAATACAAAAAGGTATGGGCACTATGGAGGACCATCTGGCAATTTCTCAAAACTAAACGTATTGTGACCATATGACATAGCAATTGGGTTCCTTGACATTTATACAAACAAGGTGAAAACTTATGTGCACATAAGAACCTACACGAGAATGTTTAGAGCGGCTTTATTCCTAACTGCCAAAACTGGAAACAACCAAGAGGCCTTTCAATAGGTGAATGGACAGACAAGCTGCAGTACATCCAGACAAGAGAATGTTATTCAGCGATAAAGGAAAATGAGCTATCATGCCACAAACAGACATGGAGGAATCTCAAAAGCATAGGATTAAGTGAAAGAAGCCAATCTGAAAAGCCTACATACTGTATGATTTCAGCTATATGACATTTTGGAAAAAAGCAAAACTAGAGACAGTAAAAATACCAGTGATTGCTCGGGGTTTGTGGGGTGGAGGAAGGGATGAACAGGTGGAACAGAGGACTTTTAGGGTAGGGAGACTATTCTATGTGATATTATGACCGTGTATACATGTCATTATACATTTGTCAAAACCCACAGAATGTACACCACCAAGAGTGGACTCTAATGTAAACTATGAACTTCAGGTGGTGATGTGTCAATGTCTGTTCACTGGCTGCAGCAAATGGACCACTCTGTTGTAAAGTGCTGATGGTGAGGGAGCGTGTGGGGGAGGGACATAAGAACTCTGTACTTTCCACTCAATTTTGCCGTGAGCCAAAAACTGCTCTAAAAAATAAAGACCACTGAATGAGTGAATGACATAACCATGTACAGACATGCAAGAAACATGGACAGGCAGATCTAACCTTTCTTTCAATGTCCCACTACTATCATTTACATATTACTTGTTTTCCAACCAAGAATAATGTTCTGTTCCTCAAGAAGGTAAACATATAATCCAAATGAGGATTTGTGCCCATGTCAAGATCTAATATTCGTTCCCATTTAACAATCTGTAATAACTACTTTCTAGAGCAATTTACGGTGCTAGTAATACAGTATAAGCCAACTTTACCTCCACCCCACCCCCACAAAAAAAAAGCCTGGGGGAAAAGCTGATGACATGGGAGCAAAAGGATGGGTAGAAGACGGGTTTGTTACATTTCTCTCTACTTTTATGTCTATTTGAAATTTTTTCTCCTCTAACCAATGAGAGACAAAATACATTTTTTTCATAATACATTAAAAAAATGTGTCAGGTCAGGTGTGGTGGCTCATGCCTATGATCACAGTACTCTGGGAGGCCAAGATGGGAGGATCCCTTTAGCTCAGGAGTTCAAGATCAGCCTGGGCAACAGAGTGAAACCCTGTCTCTATGAAAAAAAAAATTTTTTTTTAATTAGCCAGGCATGGTGGTATGTGCCTGTAGTCCCAGCTGCATGGGGCTGAGGTAGGAGGATTACTTGAGCCCAGGAGTTTGGAGGCTGCAGTGAGCCATGATCACACCACTGCACTCCAGCCTGGGAGACAGAGTGAGACCCTGTCTCAAAAAATAATAATAAATAAAACAAATTTTAAAAGGGTCAATATTCATTACTTTAAACCAGCATGCATGGAGTCAATGAAAGCCTATGAAGTATAAGACACTGTTCTAAGAACCAAGGACACAGCAAAAAGCACAACATACAAAGTTCCCGCCTTGTGGAGCTTACATCCTAAGTGGGCATCAGAAGAGAAACTTACGTTGGGATTTGAGAACACTGAATCAAAGTAGAGATGGTGTAAGTCCTAGAACTTTCTTATTATTTTCTGTATAAGGTGGGCCTTTTAAAAGAATGTAGTCTAAATTTCTGGCTTACTTGTATAAGCTACCTTCTTTTTTAAGGAAAAAACAAAACAAAACCAAAAAAAAAGAAGAGATAATGGCCATGTTAACTAAAGACATCGCCACCTAAGTGACTACACAACCAGGACACTGAAATACTAGGTTTAAGTCCGACTATATCTCATCCAAAATAAGAATGGCAACGAGATCGACTTGGTAAGCACCAAGATGGAGGAAATGCCGGAACCAGGAGACAAGGCCTTTGGTCAACATTGAAGTCAAACTAGCATCTGAATAGGAAGTTGTCATTTATTTTCAAGAAAATGGACATGCCAGATGTAAGACTATTTAAGCAAAAACAAACATCATCTGATACACTAACACAATATATGTCATATGTGTATCAAATATCTCCATGAAAATTACATACATTTTTACCCAATCAGAACTGAAATTAACTTTGAAAATGCGACAGGATGCTCAGAAAATTACTTCCTGATTGTCACACATTAATGCTTCTGTATGTCCGCTATTCTTGTGATCCAATAAATTGTGATGGGAAACGGGGAGGATATCCTTTGTTGAGAAAAAGGCCACAGATACTGTTACTACCTGAAAGTGTTTAGATTAAAATAGGAAGTCCACATTTCCCCTTTGTAAAGTCACAAACAACTTGTTTGTCTTACAAAAGAATCTGTATTAACCACCTGACATTTGTGCCTTGCTTCCCAGTTCATAGTTATGAATATATAACTGAAAAATCACAAAACAGAACTCCACACTTTTTCCCCATAAAATTAGGTCTTTTACCTTCCATAAGATGTCTTATCTTTCCGGATCTTTCTTATAGGCTTGGCTTTATCATTGTAATACCTTTCTTGGAGAATAAAATTAGGCATTTGTTTCTTTTATCCTATTATGAATCAAGACATCTTAAAAATACACATCTTCTCACACCTGTAATCCCAGCACTTTGGGAGGCTGAGGCGAGCAGATCACGAGGTCAGGAGATCGAGACTATCTTGGCTAACACAGTGAAACCCCGTCTCTACCAAAAATACAAAAAATTAGTCGGGCGTGGTGGCGGGTGCCTGTAGTCCCAGCTACTCGGGAGGCTGAGGCAGGAGAATGGCGTGAACCCGGGAGGCGGAGGTTGCAGTGAGCTGAGACTGCGCCACTGCACTCTAGCCTGGGTGACAGCGTAAGACTCCGTCTCAAAAAAAACAAACAAACAAACAAACAAAAAAAAACAAACAACAACAACAAAAAACACATCTTTTGGAGAGAGAGGGAGGGAGGGAGAGAGGGAGGGAGGGACAACTTTGGATACTATGCTCACTTCCAGGGTGACTGGTTGAATCGCATCCTAAACCTCAACATCACACAAAATACCCATGTAACAAACCTATACATGTACCCCCTGAATCTAAAAAAAGTTAAAATTTTAAAAAATAAAAATAATAAAAAATTAAAAATATACATCTGAATTCAAATTTGAACTCAATTTAAAGTAAATCATATTTTTCATTCAAATTTGTCTTTTTCCTCCTTTTAGAAGCTGTGAAAGGCGAGTGCTTCACTGCCTCCCATTGTCTGACAGCTCTTCCCACACCCTCAAACAATGAAAACTTTCGTCTTCAGGCCAATGTCCTATCATTTTCTGTACCTCATACAAGGTAGCTTTCTTGCATGATCTTACTCTTTTCCTAGATCCTAAAATCATGCCTTCTCTATCTAGATGATGCCTGGAAACACAATTCTTGAATTCTTTTCTGAGCTTTCTCCAACTTACCACCACTAGCAGAAATAACACACACAGGTACACTCTGCACATGAAGAGCCCCAAGACAGCCCCTTCACTGTGCTATCCTGACATTCTCGACCCCCATTCACAAGTGGAGTCACTGCCAACATTCTACTTAACCTTTATTCCTTTGATTTACAGTTGACTGAAACCAACAGAGCTCTTTTTGTTATAGATGCTGCTGCTGCTAGGCACCATCTCACCCATTCCGCTAACTGTATTTTTAAAATTGTTCCCCTTCTCCTACTCTATCCATTGCATTAAATATTTCTGAAGTTTAATTTCATTGGTTTAATCTCTTATATAAAGATCAGGTTCTAAAGTCAAGCAGATAAGACTAAATGGAATATAAGCAAACCTAAACTTGAAAGGCCCGTCAGAATTTCCATCTGGTGTTAGAATAGGACCAGATACAGCAGGAGACTTGCACCTGGTGACTACGTCATACCAAAAAATCCCATGTCTTAAATGACCAGAATCACACTCAGTGTGATGCTGTCATGCGCAGTATTAGGAAACAACACATTTAAGCAAACTTTTTCAAACAGTCTTCCTCATCTCAACTAAGAACACAAAAATAACCGAGTAACTCTTTTCTCAATTCTCCCAACAACGATCCATCACTGGAGCCATCCTAAATGCATGGGGGAGAAGGTAATTGATCACATAAACTGGATGCCTTAGGGAATTAGGAACACGTTTTCTCGGTTGAGAAAGGCCCTCTCATCTCAAGTTTAGTCCAGGACATATGCCCCCCAGAGCGAATGGACAGCCACGTAAGTGAAACTGCCTAAGAGTGCAAACATGCTCGCTTGCTCCCTCCACCTCTCCCCTACATACACCTCCCTCCCTCCCCCCACCACCCCTCCACCTCCAGCCTCCAACATCTTGAAGGGCTTTTATTGAAACTGATGTAAGCTAAATGAACTTCTGACAGGATTTCACTTTAAATCCAATCAGTAGCCACTAAAATATCCCAAATGCAAAGAAAATGTAACAGAAATGTTGGCAAGAATGTCTCTGACTAGTGAGATTTATAAATTTTTCATCTTTTTCTGATATTTATGTATTTTCAAAAATAACTATTACTTTATATTCATACAGAAAATATATTTTTTAATAATTTCCAAGAGTTTATAATAATAAAGAAATGTTTAGTGGGAAAAAAAACAAGATAAGAAACCATATTAACAAAGTTTCAGATTAAATATTGAAAAAATACAGCAAAATGTTAATGTTTGTCTTTAGGCAGTGGAAGGGTATTTGAGTTTTCTTCTACTCATCTGTATTTGCCATATTTTGTACAAAGAGTGCGCCTTGATGATATAATTGGGGAAAATGAACTTCACTTTAAAAAATCAGACTTCTTATTTAAACAACCAGATGTTATCACTGCTTTCTGTTTCAATAGTCAATGGCAAAACTAATGGCACAACAGACCTCTCTCAATCTATATCTTAAGTGATTATCAGACTAAACAATCCCAAATCATGTCTTAACTCATTTTCCTTGCTCACATTCACAAGTTTGTCACAATCTTTTCCGTGTATAGCTTTATTTTGCTCAACATGATATTCCCTTCTAAAAGCTAAATAAAA
Source organism: Homo sapiens (assembly GCF_000001405.40). Lineage (NCBI taxonomy): Eukaryota > Metazoa > Chordata > Mammalia > Primates > Hominidae > Homo > Homo sapiens. Next base: position 10,629,861 of record NC_000002.12, read on the forward strand.
GTCCATGCTCACACAATGCCATAATTATTATTCTTTTTCCCCTCAGTCCCCTGAGTAGCTAAAACTACAAATGCATACCACCATGCCCAGCTAATTTTTTAAAACATTTTGCAGAAAGAGGGTCTCACTATGTTGCCCAGGCTGCCTAGAAATCCTGGCCTCAAGTGATCCTCCCACCTCATCCTCCCAAAGTACTGGGATTACAGACATGAACCACCACACCCAGCTTAATGACTTAATTTTATCCAAATACTCTTTGCCACCCACGGACCCCGTGAATTCTGTTCATTACAAGAAATCAGCTGAACATGAGAAATGACTGAATGAGTATATCCATTCTACATAAATGCCTTACAATATCATTCCTCTTTTGTTGCTCAAGAAACTAGTGTTCGGAGAGAATAAGTAACTCATTCAAGGTCACATTTATAAATGGCAATGCTGGTATTCAAACTCGGGTCCAACCAATTCCAAAGTCTAAGTTATTTCTACTATGCAATGTGGAAGGAAGAAATGCTTTTTAGATCCAGCTGTCACCAACTTGCCATTTGACCTTAAACAATAACTTGCAGCTGGGCGCGATGGCTCACACCTATAATCCCAGCACTTTGGGAGGCTGAGGCGGGCGGATCATGAGGTCAGGAGATTGAGACTATCTTGGCTAACACAGTGAAACCCCGTCTCTACCAAAAATACAAAAAATTAGTCGGGCATGGTGGTGGCAGGTGCCTGTAGTCCCAGCTACTTGGGAGGCTGAGGCAGGAGAATGGTGTGAACCTGGGAGGTGAAGCTTGCAGTGAGCTGAGATCGTGCCACTGCCCTCCAGCCTGGGCGAAAGAGCAAGACACTGTCTCAGGAAAAACAAAACAAAAAAAAACCCAAAAACTTGCTTCCTCAGCTACAAATTAAGGGCTGGACTAGATGACCTTGGAGATCCCTTCTAGCTCTGATGGTCTATGCTCCAAAGCTTCCCCTTTCCTTTAAAGCACACTGATGAATCCTTTAGTGTGGACAAGATTTGAGCAACGACTTTCCCGTTTACATTCTGTCTGGAACATCGTTTGTATGCTGATAAATTCCCTAGGGAAGAGTTTTCTTTTCATCTGACACTACCTTCCCAAACAAAGAGAATATGTTGCTACTGGTACTATAAAAGAGCAATTTCTGGCAAAATTACATCTGTCAGTATGTCTAATAGGGCTCTGCTTAAATGTGCACTTTAGATGAAAGTGTGATCTATCATTTTTAGGATTCTACACGGACACTAACAGATTCAGGGCCATTTCAACATATACTAATGGGGCAAAGAGATCTCTTACTGGGGACTTCTCCAGAATATCAATTTAGTAAACATAAATGATCCTACATTGTTGGCTTTGAACTGAAATACATCAGCTGGACCAATCGTGGTCCTGATTCAAACCCAAATCTTAGGGAATGACGTGTACAGCACTCCCAGCAACTCCAGTTAAAAGCATGGAGAGAAAAACAAAAGGCATTCTTTTCAATCTTTAAAACATACAATAAGGCTGTCATACTCTAGATGCAAAGCCAACTTCTGCACAAATTCCAAAAAAATTAAGACAAAAGCTAAATGCCCTTGCTTTCATATTCTCCTTTTGGATTTTTATAGGAAAAAAAAGTTTAATTAACCTATCTTCTTAACAGAATCACTATTAAATCTTTTGGACAAGGTATTACTTTTAAAAATTTGTTGGCACTCCCAAACACAACGATTGCATCATACCACCATTCTCAGATGTGGCTGACAAGAAGGCACTGTCAGAGCCAAAGAACTGATGCTAATCCTACTGTATGAAAATTATACTCTGGCACACATGAACCATGTTCTCCCTGTTTTTTTTTTTTTTTTAGATGGAGTTTCGCTCGTTTGCCCAGGCTGGAGTGCAATGGCACGACCTCAGCTCACTGCAACCTCTGCCTCCCAGGTTCAAGCGATTCTCTTGCCTCAGCCTCCCTAGTAGCTGGGATTACAGGCATGTGCCACCACATCCAGCTAATTTTGTATTTTTAGTAGAGACGGGGTTTCTCCATGTTGGTCAGGCTGGTCTCAAACTCCCGACCTCAGGTGATTTGCCCGCCTCGGCCTCCCAGAGTGCCTTTCTATATTTTAATAGTAGTAGCAGAAAAGGGCAAATGCAAAATTTCAATCTGGCATTAAGTACGGTCAAGAAGCACTGCAAACCAGCCATGGTCAAAGTACACAACCATTATCAAAGACGCTCCAAATTGCAGTAATCAGGTCACTCTCACTTGTGTGCTCATTAATTTTTCCACACCCATTAAGTGAGGGCCTACAGTATGACAGGCACTGCTTTAGGTGCTGAGGATATAACAGGGAAAAAGACAAAATGACGCCCCTGCATTCATGTCTTACATTACAATGGGGAAATATAGACGTAAAGAAGTAAATAAACGAAGAGAAAATATTTTAGGGCTCACGAGCCATATGGTCTCTGTCACAGCTACTCAACTTTGCCATTATAGTCAGAAAGTTGCATAGATAATACATAAATGAATGGGCTCACTGTGTTTCAATAAAACTTTATTTACAAAAACAGACAGCTGGTGTGTAGTTTCCCAAACCCCAGTCTAGAGTACACCCTGCAAGATCATCTGATTCTCATTCTACAGGACCTATTTTACAACTTTGCAAATTGTAAGTAACTGGAAGCAATGCAAAATAATTGTCTATAGACATGCAAATGAATTATGTCTGGTGGACAGTTTATACCTTTGGAAAAGGCCCCAAATAGTCCAAAATAGACCATTTTGTGTCTACTTGCACATTCCCAATTCAATATAACTTTATTCCATGTAAATTTGTCCTTTTTTACACTTTTCCTTTTAAAAGTTAAATTAAAATTTTACCTTTTGATTTAACCATGGGCCTGGTTCCCTCATTTAATTTACAGGTTAAATTAAAATGTGAAATTTTTAAATTTTAAAATATTATTTAAAAAAATAATAGCAACAGTGTCTTGGTTATGTTGCCCAGGCTAGTCTGAAACTCCTGGGCTCAAGTGATCCTTCGGCCTTAGCCTCCTAAAGTGCTGGGATTACAGGTGTGAGCCACCGCACTAGGCCTAAATTAAAATTTTAAGATGTATTTATTTCATCTCTATATGAGAATCATGATTTCATGTTTTGGGGAAGTTATCTTTTAGCAGTTTTGGAGGTCTCACTAAGATACCTGATGCACTCACCTGACAGAACCAGGAAAACTTCCTCATCAGAGTGTAACATACTTGGGCTCCTGAAATCCAAGCACAGTTGTCCTTGGCTCGCGGGGTGAATCCAAATGAACAGCAGAACTTGGCTGTGTCTGTCTTTCTTTTTTATTTTACTTAGTTATTCCGTTATTTTTTTGAGACAAGTTCTCACCATGTTGCCCAAGCTGGATTTGAACTGGGCTCAAGTGATTCTCCACTCCTGAGTAGTTGGGATTACAGGTGGGTACCACCGCAAAAGGCTCTAATTTTAAATTTCTTATCTAATAAAGCTTATGTAATATATAATTGATATATTAATTATATATTAATGTATCATAACATTGGTATTAATTATATATTGATATATTATTAATATACAGCCCATAAGTTATTCCCCACTTATGGTAACAGTGGCTGGGGATTTGGTTTAACAGCCCATAAGTTATTCCCCATTTATGGTGGCAGTGGCTGAGGATTTGGTTTAACAGTCTGACTATTTGGTGATCTTTGTAAATAGATTAATGCTTAATAGAGATCTATTCTCTGTTGAGTGAGAAGAAAACAGAATCTGATTCTTTAGTCTCTTTCTGCTTTTCTATTATGTAAGACTTTTCAAGTTGTAAGCAAAATAATGAGCCACTGGAAGGTTTTAAGCAGAAGAGTAACACAATCTGATTTATATTTGTTTTGTTTATATGTATGTGTGTGTGTGTGTGTGTGTATATATATATATTTATTATTATTATTTTAAGCAACAGGGTCTTGCTCTGTCACCCAGGCTGGAGTGCAGTAGCATGGTCATAGCTTACTGTAGCCTCAAACTCCTGGGCTCAAGGGATCCTCCTGCCTCAGCATCCCAAGTAGCTGGAACTACAGACACATGTCACCACACCTGGTTAATTTTTAAAACTTTTTGTGGAAATGGGGTCTCACTATGTTGCCCAGGCTGGTTTCAAACTCCTAGGCTCAAGCAATCCTCTTGCCTCAGCCACCCAAAGCACTGGTATTACAGGTGTGACCAACCGCACTGGGCCTGTTTTGTTTATATTTTTAATATTTTACATCAGTCTGGCTGTTACATGGAAAATAGGTTACAAGAGAGACAAAAGCAGAAGCAGAAAGATCAGTTATCCAGTATTACAGTAATCCAGAGGCCTGATGGAAGGGAAGCACTGAGAAATGGCTGGATGTGGAACAAAATCTGCAAACAGCTGATGGACTGGATGACGAGGCATGAAGTGGAGAGGAGAGGAAACAAGGATGGCTCCTGCGCTCTAAGCCTAGACAGCCGAGTGAGCAACAACAAGGCTTCAGCTGAAATGGAGACCCTGGCAGGTGGGGTGCAGGTGGGGAGCTGGATCAGAAGTTCTGATGTAGACACATTAAACAGGATGTGCTATTAGACATCCAAGTGGAGAAGCCGAGTAGACTGGTGGATATGTACCTCTGTAGCTCAGAGGGAAGGCTGGAGAGGGAAAATTGGACGTCATTAACACACAGCTGTTATATAAAGCCTAGTTATATAAAGCCTAGGCATAAACAAGCTCCCTGGGAGAGAATATAAATAAAGAAGAGACAAGGACTAAGTCCTAGCGCTCACTAACATTCAGAGGTCAGGGGAGAGAGGCAAGATCCGAAGTCTAGGACGTTATCAGCAGGAGGAGGAGCCAGTGAAGACTGAAAAGAGATAACTAGATGAAAGAAGGAATCCCAGGAGAATGTGGCCTTCTAGAAGCTGGGCACAGAGTTTTAAGGAGGCCTGGTCAACTGTGTTTCTAAATACCACTTGGAGATAAAGTAAAATGATGTGCATATGAGATGTATGTTCAAGGAGAAAGGGAGGATGACTGTACACGTCTGTCCAGGAAAAGCAATACAGGCTGAGTAGCCTGTTTCTAAAATGCTTGAGATCAGAAGGATTTTAAATTTTTGATTTTTTTTTTGGCTTTTGGAACATTTGTATAAAAATAATGAGATATCTTGGGATGAGACCCAAGTCTAAACATGAAATTCATTCATGCTTCATATACACTTTATACACACAGACTGAAGGTAATTTTATACCTTTAAACATTTTATATTTTTAATAATTTTTGGCAGGAAACAGACTTTAGGTTAAGTCTCATGTTTGGATTTTCCACTTGTGGAGTCATGTTGGCACTCAAAAGAGTTTTAAATTTTGGAGCGTCTGCATTTCAGATTTTTGGATTATAGAGGCTCAACCTCTACGTTCTCTATCGGCCAACATTCTCTCTACTGTTCTCTTTTGTTTCCAGAGATTGTGGGACAAATATGGTCATTCACTATTTTGCCCCAGATATGTGCTATGATCATAAGGCAAAGAAAACACCAAGTCTCCAACCCTGAAATTCAAATTTAAGATGAAGGTGGGGGAGATTTTTACAAATCTATATATAATATCTACACAGAAGAAGGGGGCTGATAAAATATCTACATAAAAAAGAGACTGATACAAAGTGCCTGACCCTTGACTTAGGGAAAATGCGTAGGAAGCCACTGAACCCTGCTGCCTTCCTTCACAGCGCTTAGTCACAGATCTGTTTATCACCACCCCTCACCTAGATTGTAAGCTCACAAGGGCGGTGAGTGTACAATAGAGAACATGTTGGTTTTCTTCACCAACATATTCCTGCAGCCTAGTACCGTACTCAATATATCCTTACTGAACAAATACAAGCACTTGTTGGTCTCCTACATTTACTTTTATAATATAGGAAGACAAAATAAAAATATTAAGAGACAAAATAGCAAAACACTCGTCCATCTAGGAATTTCATGTATTTCTTATTTTTTTTAAGAGAGTCTGTGTCACCCAGGCTGGAGTGCGGTAGCACGACCTCGGCTCACCGTAACCTCTGTCTGCCAGACTCAAGTTATTCTCATGCCTCAGCCTCCCAAGTAGCTGGGATTACAGGCACGTGCCAAAGCATGCTCAGCTATTTTTTTGTATTTTAGTAGAGACAGGGTTTCGCCTTGTTGGCCAGGCTAGTCTCAAGCTCTTGGCCTCAAGTGATCTACCCGCCTCGGCCTCCCAAAGTGCTGGGATTACAGGCATGAGCCACCATGCCTGGCCCATCCAGGAATTTTTGACACTTATTTTCAAGATACTGTCAAATCTACCGTTAAACTAAAACAACATATACTCTGGATAGCTGATAAAATATGGCATCTTTGGCCGGGCACAGTGGCTTACACCTGTAATCCCAATCCCAACACTCTAAGAGGCCGAGACAGGAAGACTGCTTGAGCCCAGGAGTTGGCGACCAGCCTGGGCAACATAGTGAAACCCTGTCTCTACAAAAAACCAAAAAAAAAAAAAAAAAAAAAAAAAACACCAAACAAAATTAGCTGGGTGTGGCGGCATATACCTGTAGTCCCAGATACTCGAGAGGCTGAGGTAGGAAAATCACCTGAGCCCAGAAAGTTGTGACGCTGCAGTGAGCCATGATCACACCAATGCACTCCACCCTGGGAGACAGAGTGCGACCTTCAATCAAAGAAAAAAAAAAAAAGTATCTTCTTAATGAAGCTGAGGAGTAAGGCTGTGTTCTTAAGACTTTGGAAAATTATGCCAAAACACACCAGAACAGTAATGTTTCAAATACTGAACTTGAAAAAAGATACCATCTATATAGGAAGAAGATCACATAGCGATGATTAAAAAGTATCCATAAGTACCTCTCTAACAGACAACAGTCATTGACATAGTCATGGAGTTTAGAACTAGACTAACAAATTCAATTCACCACAGACAGAAGTTAAAATTGTTTGCACCTAAATTTGTTTTTGTCACAAAACCCTTAGAGGCTGGGTGTGGTAGCTCACGCCTGTAATCCTAGCACCTTGGGAGGCCCAGATGGGTGGATCACTTGAGGCCAGGAATTCAAGACCAGCCTGGCCAACACAGCAAAACCCCATGTCTACTAAAAATACAAAAATTAGTCAGGTGTGGTGGTGCGTACCTGCAATCCCAGCTACTTGAGAGGCTGAGGTAAGAGAATCGCTTGACCCAGGAGATGGAGGTTGATTGTGCTACTGCACTCTAATCTGGGCCACGGAGCAAGACACTGTCTCAAAAAAAAAAAAAAAAAAAAAAAAACACACACACACACTAAAACCAAAAACCCTTACAGAAAAAAACCTGAGAAAAAGACTATAATATCTATTTGTATTTCTTCATTGAGCAAGAAAAAAATCTGCCAGACTGCAAATATTCATACATTTACTAGAAAAATGTCCATGCCATTTCCCTAAAACTGACTTCCCAAAGCTATAATGATTTCAAAAGCATCTCCCTGACAACCCCTAAAATTCTGCAGCACCTACTGCCTTGCCATCTTTACAGGTGCAGGAGCACAGATGTCTGCCCTAGCCCAGTGACTGAAGCCCTGAGGAGATACCAGCGTTGAACCCTGTGATGGCGTCAGAAGGCCTCACCTCTGCGGGGAGTGTGCTACCTACTCAGCTGAGAGGCTTAGAAACATTCACTAAACAACCTTTTATTACATTCCAAAAAATGTGGCTTCCAATTGTGCATTTCCTTTGGTTTGCGTGCCTCTGTGAAGCTGTGTGGTATGTATTTTTGAGGCCTTATGCTTCTTAACACATAGTGTCCTCTATTTGCGAAGACAGAGTTTTGTGGGTTTATGAACTGCTGGATAAGCTCCAGTGCGATTCTGAACAGACGCAGAAGCACTAGTGCAAGTTAGAAGGGTTCTTCATGTTTTTAACCGCCTCATTTGCAGGCTCCAAGAGTACTTTCCAAATTTTAAATTAAATGGTAAATGTTAAAATATTTAATCAGTGTTTTATTTTAAACAGTCAAAATATTTTAATAGAAATAATATAGGAGTTTCTTAAGAAAATGTTTGAAAATAAAATAACTGGCCAGGTGCAGTGACTTACACCTGTAATCCCAACACTTTGGGAGGCCAACGTGGGAGGATCGCTTGAGGCCAGGAGTTTGAGACCAGCCTTGGCAACACAGTGAGATCCTCTCTCTACAAAAAAACAGCATAAAAATTAGCTGGGCTTGGTGGCACATGCCTGTAGTCCTACCTACTCACAAAGCTGAGGCGGGAGGATGCTAGAGCCCCAAAGGATGAAGCTGCAGTGAGTTATGATCACGTCACTGCACTCCAGACAGGGTGACAGAGCAAGACCCTGTCTCATTCAAAAATAACGTAACGTGACGTGACGTGACGTGACGTGACGTGACGTAACGTAACGTAACGTAACGTAACGTAACAGTACCTAACTGCCATTCTTGAAAGCTGGGTGCAGTATTTATTCTTTATAACATCTTAAATAGTGACATTAAAAAAAGAAAAAAACAAAAACAAAGCACATACCCTTATAGCTGAATTCCCTTTTTTTTTTTTTTTTTTTTTTTTTTGAGATAGAGTCTCACCCTGTCACCCAGGCTGGAGTGCAATGGCATGATTTCAGCTCACTGCAACCTCCGCTTCCCAGGTTCAAGCAATTCTCCTGCCTCAGCCTCCCAAGTAGCTGGGATTACAGGTGCCCACAATGACCCCCGGCTGATTTTTTGTCTCTTTAGTAGAGACGGGATTTCACCATGTTGGCCAGGTTGGTCTTGAACTCCTGAACTCGTGATCCGCCCGCCTTGGCCTCCCAAAGTGCTGGGATTACAGGCGTTTGAGCCACCGTGCCTGGCCTTTTTTTTTTTTTTTTTTTTTTTTTTTTGAGACAGATTCTTGCTCCGTTGCCCAGGCTGGAGTGCACTGGTGTGGTCTCGGCTCACTGCACCCTCTGCCTTCCAGGTTCAAGCGATTCTCCTGCCTCAGCCTCCTGAGTAGTTGGGACTACAGGCACACACCACCACGCCTGGTTAATTTTTGTACTTTCAGTAGAGATGGGGTTTCACTATGTTTGCTAGGCTGGTCTCAAACTCCTGCCCTTAAGTGATCTGCCCATCTCAGCCTCCCAAAGTGCTAGGATTACAGGCGTGAGCCACCATGCCTGGCCAACTGAATTACTTTTATTCTTCTAAATCAAACAGCTTGGGCCAGGCGCGGTGGCTCACACCTGTAATCCCAGCACTTTGGGAGGCCGAGGCAGGCGGATCACAAGGTCAGGAGATCAAGACTATCCTGGCTAACACAGTGAAATCCCGTCTCTACTAAAAATACAAAAAATTAGCTGGGCGTGGCAGCGTGCGCCTATAGTCCCAGCTGCTGGGGAGGCTGAGACAGGAGAATGGCGTGAAGCCGGGAGGCAGAGCTTGCAGTGAGCCGAGATCCTGCCATTGCACTCCAGCCTGGGCGACAGAGCGAGACTCCATCTAAATCAAACAGCTTCCCAAACAAATAGTTTTCCTCCTACATTTTTCCTCAAGTTTACACATCCACATTACCAAGCAGCAAGCAATCACTCACACCCCAACCACCACCACCAAGCAATGAGTGGCTGCAGGAGTGCCCTGATATGCTAGGGGCTCGGAATTCAGGAGCATTTCCAACAGAAACACCATTAAGCAGAAAGGTTTTGGGTTGGGTGCCATAGGGGACTTGGATTCCCTCTGAAGTCTACATAGTTGCCAAGGATGTTAATTATAAAGAACTAACCTAAGATTAAATTATGTTTCAGAGGAAAAAGCAAGCTTGAAAAATTATTCTTGGCATTAGTCTCTGAAGCTGCAGACGAATTAGACCCTGGAGAAAACAAACAAACAAAACAATAGAACCTGGTCTCTGAGAGAATTAAAAAAATAAAAATAAAAATAAAAAATAAGGAAAGAACTGAGAAAATGGGACAGGGGCTGCAGACAACCCATTTGGTCTCAAAGGACAAGCTGGCTACAGAGATATCTAAGTGCCAGAAGGTGGTGTATCAGGAACTGCATTAGTTTATAAAGATTTCAATTACTCAAGAAAGATGATATCAGATAGGCAAAAATTAACAAGCTAAAAGAACACTAAGTTGCCTTCATCTTCAGTATGCCCCAAAGAGGGAGGGAAAAAGTTTTCAAACCTGATTTATAAGATGTTAATACAAATCACAGTCCAGGCTTCCTAAACTTGGCATGGATCATACATTAAACACACATTTCTTTGGTTCTATAGGCCTCAAATGAACCTTCCTGCCAAACGTCAACTTGGTACGTTTGATAAAATCTTATGAAAAATGGCAGGCTTTCAGACCCCTGGGCTCTCCCTTTGCTTTGAAGGAGTTTACAAAGAGCAGTTTCCAAGTAAAGACAAGTGGTGCTATAAAATATCACTCAGTACTGTGGGAGGGAGCAGGGCAGAAAGGTAGGTCAGAAAGGAACACTGAAGTCCAAGTTTCAGCATAATGCTTCGCTTAGCAAAAGCAACTTCTGCTCACACTGTCCCCATATGCAGCTCACCTAGGAGAGGGCTCTCTGGATGTTTTTTTCACAGCTTTCTGTTAAATCTCAGGTAGAAAGTTGAAACTAAAAAGGTCTTATAAGATAAGCTAACATTTGTCAAGAAGGCAATTTCTCATCACCTGGCTATCATCCAGCCCCTCACACTTCATACTTCATACTTCTTCTCATCACCAGCCCCTCATACTCATGCTAATTAAAGTCACCATTACTTGGAACAAAAACGCCCACCCTAAGAAACTGATCCAGAGAATCAGAAGTAAACAATGGGTCTCTTACAGTTCTAAGATAATAGACATGTCATAAACCAGCCAATGACATATAATAGAGGCAACTAAAAATGTTTTAGGTAATTGCAGTACCTTAGAATTAATATTTCCAAGGTTAACTGAAGAAACCAGGAACCAATTTGTATATAAAATACAACTTTGGGGCTCATGCCTGTAATCCCAGCACTTTGGGAGGCTGAGGCGGTGGATCACTTGAGGCTAGGAGTTCAAGACCAGTCTGGCCAATATGGTGAAACCCCATCTCTACTAAAAACACAAAAATTAGGGCCAGGTGCGGTGGCTCATGCCTGTAATCCCAGCACTTCAGGAGGCCGAGGCAGGTGGATCACATGAGGTCAGGAGTTTGAGATCAGCCTGACCAACATGGTGAAACCCCATCTCTACTAAAAATACAAAAATACAAAAAAAAAAAAAAAAAAATTAGCTGGGTGTGGTGGCACATGCCTGTAATCCCAGCTCCTCAGGAGGCTGAGGCAGAAGAATTGCTTGAATCTGGGAGGTGGAGGCTGCAGTGAGCCGAGATTGTGCCACTGCACTCCAGCCTGGGCAACAAAAACTCCGTCTCAAAAAAAAACATTAAAGCTTAAAAAAAAAAAATACAACTTCCCACACATAACATCACAAATATAACTAAAAAACAATACATCCAAATATTAATGGTAGTTATAGTATTATCAAGAGGGAATAGCTGGTTTTTATTTTCATGTACTTTGTAACCCACTTAGAATAAATAGGAATACGCATACATTGTTTGCATGAACAAAAAAGCTGTTTTGCTTTCTTTAAAAGATCATTTTATAAAATGCAGAAAATACCAAAGGGAAAATAATGTTTAATATTCTCCTGCCTCTTCCTGGACTCAGAATGACATAGTTATCTGCACATTTGCCCAAGCAAAAACCGGGGTGTCATCCTTGGTCCTTTCCTATTCCTTACTTCCCACACTCATCAATTTCAAGTCTCTTACAACCATAACAACCCTTTCAATTCTATGCCCATGGCCACCATCCTCACACAGGCTTGTAAGGTGGCCTCACTGCAACCATCTTCAGGACTGCCCCTCCCCACCTCTCCATAACGCGGCTCTCCAGCCCACATCTCCTCCTCTACTAGGCAGACCTCCCGAAGCAGCACTCCACACTGAGAGTGCTTTTCACCTGCCCACTAGTTGATTCTATCTACTTTTGACATGCAGAAGGGATCTAAGATCCAAGGCATGGACAGGCACTTGCTGTCCATGTTGCTGTAGTGATCAAAATACAATAAGCACTTCTAAGAGGAAGATGAAAGAGACCTTTCTCATGATGAAAAGGTTAGGGGCAAGCTGATTTATTCTGCCTCTCCTGACAATGTTCCCCAAAGGGGCACAAACTGGGAGAAAACTACGTAACGCTGGTCTGAGGGCAGCATTCTTGTGATCTATACAGCTCTCTATCAATGAACACCTCTGAGACATGCCACCAGGCAATTCAAGGATGAATCGTCTGCAAGTACTGCCTACCAGATTAGACTTCTCTCACATTATCCCAGAACCCCAAAGAGCCACAACTACTAGAAAGGGAGCCTGGCACAGGTAATGCAGGTGCCATCATCTCTCCTGTGGGCTGCCACAGCCTGTGCTTGTTGCGTCCAGATTAGAGCCTGTTTAATGCATTCCCCTGCGGCAGCAAAAGTAATCTTTTCAGAACACAGGTCTGATCCTATCCCCCCGCTTACAACTCTTGTCAGGACTCCCTGCCCTACATCCCCACAGCCGGCTCACAAGACCCCTCCTAACCTGGCTTTCTACCTGCCCCCACAGGCTCGAATGCTCAGCCATGGGAGGTACTTGCTCCCGCAGCTCTGCACCCACTCTACTGTCAAGATCCGATCTACTGTCCAACCTGGGAAAGTCGACTGAAAAGGAAAAAAAAACCCTTCTCCCACTGGGCACCTCACTCCACCCCACCCCTTCACCCAGTCGACGCAGCTATCCTTCGGTCCCTCCTTCAAAGTCTCTCCCTCTGGGAAGTATTCCCTGAGTGCCAACCACACTTCTCATCAGCTCCTGGGCCCTCAGTGGGTACAGGGTCTCTCCTACGTGCTCCCACCACAGTACCCTGGTAGCACTCCTCACACTGAATGGCAACTGCCTACTTTCTTGTTGGATTCCCAACAGTAACTCCTCAAAGAGAAGGGCAGCACCCTGGATGCTGTAATACTGCCAGCATACAGCATCGTTCCCAACACACAGTTGATGTAGTCCATAATATTTATTAACAAGTGAATACAAGGAAAGATGGATAAGTTGACAGGAATATGAATGCAGTATCTGCAAGAGTCCAGGGGAAAAGGAACAAATGGTAACTTAGGAAAACCAAAATGCTTCCTGTTTGAACGGCCTTCATTTCACTACCAACCAAACGAAATATCTCTAAGTGCTTTCAACAACACGTCAGTATCCCGAAACCACAGAGTCAACAGCAAGCAGCATGCTTTTTTTATGTGTGAAAATACATAACTGAGCAATTTTAAAAGGACTATCATAGACAGGAATAATTTTCATACCTGCAAGATGATAGTGGTTACAGAGAGTTCACCTCCCTCAGATTCTGATCTTCAGTACCCCTCACTCTACTCTCTTCTCAAATCTCAGGTAAGGGAGATGTCTGCTGAGTATAAAGTAATCTAATGCCAACTTTATACTATGTGTTTTTCTGCTTATGAAATCGTATTTCCTTGCTTCATTTTTTACTATAAACTTAAAGGGAAGGGTGGGAGCTTCTGGCTATTTAAGAGAAGAATTATTTAAGGAGGGAAAAAAAGGTTTTTTTGGCAAACTACATGTCATCCCTGATCAGGATGATCTATGATAATTTATATATGTAACTTATTTTTAAAAGAAACAAACTATAGTGAGATGACTTGAAGAGTAATAGACTTTTCAGAATTAGACCTCCGGATCACTAACAGCTGAAAGTTTAAGATTCTGAAATACTTGGAAACAAAAAATAAATGTAAATCAGAAGAATAAATACTAATTTATAATGTCTGTTTTAACATGATATTAAACAGTTCCCATAAAAGAATGTTTGAGCATGAATTGACTGGCTCCAGAAAGCAAATTCAACCCAAAAGTGAGTCCACTGTGTCTAATGTACACAGCCACATGTAGACCCAGGTTCCTCAATACATCCAATTTAAAAAGTATCTTTGGCCGGGAGTGGTGGCTCACACCTGTAATCCCAGCACTTTGGGAGGCCCAGGCAGGAGGATCACTTGAGGTCATGAGTTCAAGACCACCCCAGCCAACATGGCAAAACCCCGTCTCTACCAAAAATACAAAAATTAGCCAGGTGTGGTAGCGTACACCTGTAATCCCAGCTACAGGAGGTTGAGGTAGGAGAATCACTTGAACCCAGGAGGCAGAGGTTGCAGTGGGCTGAGGCTGCACCACTGCACCCCAGCATCGGTGATCGCCAGACTCCGTCTCAAAAAATTAAATAAATAATAAAAAGTATCTTTGCTTGTCCTATTTTTACTGAAACTCCTCTTTGTATTACTTACTGGAATGTAATAGATGCCCATCTTGGGGGTTTCATTGGCCGTCAGAAGCATGCCTAAAAATAAATACAATGAAAAAGGTCAATGCATAGGAAAAAGAAAGTACCCTTTTCTATTTGCTTTCCATTCTGAAATGCCTGAGGAACTTCTGTTAGTCAGTGAACCAAAGTATAGTATTTCCCACAAAATGTCACAGCAAATTCCTAACTTTTACAAAACAAATTCGAATTTTCCAGAACAAATTTGCTTTGCTTTTGCAAAGCAAATTCCTAACTTTTACAAAACTGACTGCAAAACAAAATGTCTACATTTTGTTATCATCTACACCAGAAAGTCCTAGAGGGACTCTAACAGCCCTGACTACAGCACAGTCACTCCCTCACAGGGAATTATAACAGACTGAACCAACAGGGTGGTTAATAATTGAGTCTCCTTGGGATCAGCATATAAGAAAGCAAAACTGAAGAAAGAGATAACTTTCCGGCATTCAATAAAGGATTCTCTATAACCCCAGGAGCAACCTATAAGTACATTATTATTTGGTACTAAACTACTTAGTATCAAAGTATTCAAATATCTCGGTTTTGTTCCCTTTTCTCTGCCATTTTTGCAACATACTCCTTCCCCACAAGTGTTCTGAAGCAGCTCCAACATGGCAATATGCAAACATCAAAACTCCTCAGATCCCCTGCTCTGGACCACTGCACTTTAAATAAAACTGAAACCAGCAAGCCTTTGACCAGTCCTTCATAATCATCTAGGCACTTTCACATATACTATCTTAGTGAACATACAACAACCCTCTCAAAGAAGATGTATCATCAGCCCTATTTTACTGATCAGAAAATAAAGCTCAGAGGGACTGATGCCCCAGTCGTGAGAGAATGTTAAAGCTAAAGTCAAACTCAAGAGCGCCTGCTTTTAAATAAAGACTTCTACAGATCAGCTAAATAAGAATTCATTTTAAAAATCTATTTGTAAGATACAAGAGGAATCCACAGAGAGAAGACATTTAGATTATCAGATCACATAATGATAAATGAATATACCAAATGTTAAGGGCAATGATTAGATTCTGTTTTTAAAAATATTTTTTGCTGCCTTTCCTTTTATTAACACAAAAGTTTGTAAAAGTGATGATATTTGACTCTATTACAGAAATGAGATGCTGAGTGAATAGAGTCAATTACCACTCAAGCAGGAACTCAATACTATCTTTTTTTTTTTTTTTTTTGAGACAAGAGTCTTGCTCTGTTGCCCAGGCTGGAGTGCAGTGGCGTGGTCTCGGCTCACTGCAAGCTCCACCTCCTGGGTTCACGTCATTCTCCTGCCTCAGCCTCCCGAGTAGCTGGGACTACAGGCGCCCACCACGCCTGGCTAATTTTTTGTATTTTTAGTGGAGGGGGGTTTCACCATGTTAGCCAGGACAGTCTCAATCTCCTGACCTCATGATCCGCCCGCCTCGGCCTCCCAACATGCTGGGATTACAGGCATGAGCCACCGCATCTGGCCTCGATACTATCTTACCAAAACCACGTCTTGCCAATAACTCAGAAGTGTGAGCTAGCCCTGAACTGGGACCAACAGGTCACCAAAAATATATGCACACAAAACACACACACACACATACACACACACACACACACACACACCCCGTAAAAACATCTAAAAGCACCTAATGAAGTCTAAAAAAGCAAGAATAATGTCTAAATTAAACCAAAACAAAGTCAGAGCTGTTTTTCATAGCTTGTAACTCTTGTAGAATCTTTCATCTTAGCACTTTTTCTGGCCTTCCAAACAACGTTCACCGAGGTCATGATGGACAGAAACTGCCTCTGCTGATTGTGCTTCCTAGGTCTCCACTAACAACACTGCTGAAAGATCTCCAGGAGCCTTTGGACATAATTAAAGCAGTTCTGGAGACAGAAGCCACATCTTCACAACCAAAAGGAAGGTTCCTAATAAAGACCTCTCCTAAGCCTTCTCCACTGGCTCAACCCTGAACACTCAACAATGAACATTCCACAATGAAATACAACACCACCTACCAAACAAACCACGGAAAGGGCTCTAATGTAATTACACAAAAAAATTCAGACTGGACACAGCTAGACTGTTTTCTAAAAATGGAGGAGGATCTCACACAACCACATACGGCTAATGATACAAGCAGGTCTACTACCAAACTCAAGTGAGGAGGGTCAGGGCTGAAAGCAATTATGAATGAGAAAAAGAACATCATAGAGCCCAAAGAGTATGAGCAGCTTCTAACAGGCAGAAACAGAAAAATAAACCTGTGAAAGAAAGCCTTAGTTCAGCAGAAATTAAGATGATCAAGGCAGGAGAAGAGAAGAGCATGAGCATCGCGCCAGGCAAGTCACATTCTCAGCAAGTTACCTCCCTTGCTCAGGGCCACCACATAGCTAGTAAGTAGAGCCACTGACAGTCTACCAATTCCAAGGCTCATAACATGGGACTCTGACACTTCATCAACTAAGGTAAAATTAAAAGACCTCCTGCATGATCAAGTAAGAAACCATTTTAAAAAAGTCAGTATGAATACCACATGGCAACGTGAAAGATGTGTTTAATATAACATCAAACTGAAAAGCAAAAGATAACCGTAAGTACAGTGTGAGGACAACTTAAAACATATGAACACAGAATTAATATGGTTTCACCCATGAAGACAGTAATAGTACGTGACAGTACGTGTAAAGAGATTATGGCATTGAGGACTTTTTTCCTTTAAATTTATTTTAATGTAGTTTATCCACAATAAAACTATACATTTTTAAAGGAAGGAAAAGATATCAGCACCTGGAGTCAAAAGAACACATTTCCAATATGACCCAGTACACTATAGTGTATAGTACGCTGTAATAATACAATAAAAGAGAATTTGACAAAATAGTGCCCTCCCCAGAAACATGCACAAATCAGTACTCATCTGCATGTGCTCTGGGGACTAAAGGACTCACTGAAGTTCACAACACAAACACAGTGCTCTACAGCTGCTCAAAGTGTGTCCCCAGTGACAGACTGCAAACTGTTACCAGGCCAGGAAATAAGTGCAGAAATTGAAAAGAAGCATTTAGAAACCTGCAATTCAACACTGCAGTGACAACCAAATGTGTGATCATTTTCCTAGTAATTCATTTGTATTGTCTTTTACAGACGTATCAACGTGCAGTGGATTAGAAAATTCGAAACAAAACAAAAAACCAAAATCCTGGTCCTTCACCACACGTGTTGGGAAGTGCTGCGCAAAAACATATGGCATCAGTCACCACCTTGAACAGCTCAGAGGAGACAGGCTGTGCACGCAGAACTGTGCCAAAGGGGACTGGCAGGGGCGCTCCTGCCCTATTTAGAACCTCAGATGAAAGTATGGGGCATTTGAGTTTACTATACAAGGCACCAAAGATATTTATAGATGGCTCTAACAGTTTTCCATGTATTTAGAAGGCACTGACGGAATAAAAGGCTATTTCACACTTATCAGTACAGGTAGTCTTCAACAGCCCTGTAAGGCAGGTGAGAATTCCGAGGTTGGGTAATTTCTACCACTATTAAGCCTGAATTGGATCTTTCTTGAGCCCAGTGCCCCTGTTCTTTTCTCTCTACCATGGTTCTGAAACCACCGATGCTGATTCCACAGGTCTGGAGTGGGACTCAAGACACACGTAAGCTTTACAAGCTCCCCGTGTCATGAATCTGATGCACACCCAAGTCATAGAGCCGTGCTGTCTCTTCAAGTGCCCTGACCGGCATGGAGCAGCTGCTCACTGTACAGGTGGCTGATGAGCCATAGGAGCAGGGCCCTGAACAAGGCAGGAAGGCAGAACCATTTCCCAATATACTGAGCAGCCTTGGTATAAGAAAAATATTACAAAACCATAATCATGATTATGCTTCAATTACTCCAAAATGAGTAAGTGAAAAGAAAAAAGAAAGACAGTTTCAGCTTTTCTAAACTATGATTAAGCCCACAATGATTAAGCACCAGACACAAAGAGTTGAACGGGAGGAAAAGGTGTGGGAAAGCAAGGAAAAGCGGAGTGCAATCATCCGCCACACTCAGATCCAAGCCACAAAGAAGGGGCGCCTACGGGTCTTGTTCTGCCTGCTCTCTTATGAAATAAATTATTTGGCTAGCTTTTCTACTCTTGATTAACCTCTTACGAGTTATTAGATAGTAACAGTCATTCCTTTGTCCAAAACATCATGCTTAAAGTTGCTGGTTTGCAAGAAACTGTACTTTGTAATGACGACATCACTTAACAATGGGATCAACCTTACCCCTCTCCAATACTGCAACGACCTGGAGACCTCAGCAGCCTGCACATTACTCTTGCCCCAAATTTAATCTAAACTTAATTAAGTCTTTAGACTTAACTTCTATTTTAGAAAAAATACACGGTAGAGGATCAAGTTAAACAACATCACGAGAAAAAAAAATCACATAAATCGAGGATGAAGGATATTCTGAGACCACTGGCCTGATCTTTGAAAAGTCAACGTCATGGAGAAGAAAAGAAAAAGATGTGGGGGACTATACTGGATTGAAAGAAACTAAAGATACACAACAGCGAAATGTAACACACAACCTCAGTTATATCCTGGTTCAAAAAAACACAAAAAACAAACAAAAAAACCACACCTAACTAAAAAAGGGCATATGGGGAACAATTAGGAAAACCTGAAAATGGACTGGATGTAAGATAATATTAGAAAAGGGCTGCCATTTTTATTAGGCACAATAAGGGACCTAATAATTTCAATGATTTTCAGGAGATCAATGCCACCCTGGGTGCAGGTGAGTGCCACCATGTCTGCAGCTGGCTTTCGAGTGATTCCACAAAGAAACCACAACAACCACAGAAGCACAGAGATAAATAAATCAATTATGGTGAAGACAACAATAACAAACATTGAGGAGAGAATATAAAGATGTTCATTCTACCAGTTTTTCAACTTTTCTGTATGTTTGAATTTTTTTTTTTTTTTTTTTTTTTTTTTGAGACAGAGTCTTGCTCTGTCGCCCAGGCTGGAGAGCAGTGGCATGATCTCGGCTCACTGCAACCTCCGCCTCCTGGTTTCAAGCAATTCTCCCGCCTCAGCCTCCTGAGTAGCTGGGATTACAGGCACCTGCCACCACGCTCAGCTAAGTTTGTATTTTTGGTAGAGACAGGGTTTCACCATGTTGGCCAGGCTAGTCTCGAACTCCTGACCTCAAGTGATCTGCATGCCTCGGCCTCCCAAAGTACTAGGACTACAGGCATGAGACACTGCGCCTGGCCTGAAATTCTTCATAATTAAATACTGTGGATAAAGTGACCATTTTTGTTTATATTAGTAATATGGACCAGGGGTCAGCAAACTGTCTCTGTAAAGGGCCAGGCAGTACACACTTCAGGCTCTGCAGCCCCCCTGGTCACTGTTAAAACTACTCACCTCTGCCACAGTGCTGCAAAAGCCACATGGACAATGTATAAACGAACAAGGGTGGCTGTGTTCACATAAAACTTTATGCTGAAAGACACTGAAATCTGAATTTCAGTCACAAAAATTTGAATTTCCATGTCATAAAATATTACTCTTCTTAGATTTTTTTTTCCAACCATTTAAAAATGTAAAACCCATTCTTAACTCAAAGGCTGCAAATTACCAAGTGGTGGACTGGATTTGGCCTATAGGTCAGTTTGCCAAATAGACTTTTTAAAATGCTACTCATTAAGAATGTTTTCTGACCAAATTGTCAAACATTTCTTCATAAATATTACTTTAATAAGTAACTATTAAAATCACTGTGCTATAAATGCTTCTACAATTAAAATGTTAGCAAGATAATTTTTTTTTTTAGGTCTTGCTTTGTCACCCAGGCAAGAGTACAGTTAGTTTCAAGATCACAGCTCACTATAAACTCAAACTCCTGGGCTCAAGCGATCCTCCTGCTTCAGCCCTTAGAGTATCTGGGACTACAGGCGCACAGTGCCACTGCTTCCTGCTAATTTTTTTTATTTTTAGTAGAGACAGAGTCTTGCTGTGTTGACAAGGCTGGTCTTGAACTCCTGGCCTCAAGTGATCCTCCTGCCTCAGGATTATAGGCATGATGGGATTACAGGCGTGAGCCACTGCACTAGGCCACAACAATCTTCATTAAATAAGTGTTTTGGGCGTTTTTCCCAGAGAGAAACACTTTTAAATTTCATTTAAAAGCATGCTTATTTTTACAATTTTTATGCCATTTTAAATGACAAATCATTTAAATTTTTATCGTGAGGCCAGGGGAGAGCCGGCGTGATGGTGCGTATCTGTAGCCTCAGCTACTCAGGAGGCCTAGGCAGGATCGCTCGAGCCCAGGGGTTCAAGGCTGCAGTGAGCTATAATTGTGCCACTACACTCTAGCTTAGGTGACAATGTGAAACCCTGTCTCTGAAAAAATAAATAAATACAGACCAGGCGAAAAAATAAAATCAGCATTCCAGAGATGCGTAGTTGAATTATCAGCACCCTCTCAATCCATTTTAAGTCTCTTCCTCAGCAGTCACCTGGGTAACAACATGCACTGCTAACATCAGCCTCCCTCCTCTCCTTGTCCTTGTGATTCCAACCACTGTCGTCAGTGGTGGCATTTCAAGAATGGGTTCCTCAACAGTCTGAGCCTGAGTATTTCTCAGAAAGAGGCTTCTTTGCCAAGTAGTCACACCCTTTGTGGGTTAAGAGATCTTTACAGCCATTAAAGGTGGGGGAAGAGATGCACAAAAACTGACCTGAGAAATCAAGTTGCCCACAAGAGTCCACCCTCCAGCCCTGCCTCCTGGAGAAGCTGTTTAGGCACACAGCCTGCGGGGGCCAACAGATTGGCACTCATTTCAGCAGGTGTCTCTTTGGGCTTCTATATCCTTGGTTACAATGGAAAAACTGAGGCAGCCTACCAGGCTCAACAATCCCCGCTACACTGGGCCAGGCACAAGCACTACTAAACCTTACCAGCATCCTCAAGGGTTGAAGCTCTCCCAGTTTAGACCAGCACTGTCCAATGGAAAGAGCATGTGAACCACATATGTGATTTTAAAATTTTTAGTAGCCACATTTTTAAAAATGGTAAAATTAATTTTAATATATTTTACTAATCCAACAGGTCTAAAATATTTTCATTTCAACATGTAATTAATAGAAAATTATTAATGATCTATTTTACATCCTTTTTTCGTAGAATGTCTTTTAAATCCAATGTATATTTTATACTCACAGTACATGTCAATGCCCACGAGTGGCTAGTGGCTACCAAACTGTACAGCCCAAGGTAAGACTCTTTCTCTCCCAACTCTCTGTGCCCTTCAAACTGTCACTCCCCCAGTCGCACTATCCCTGCTCGTCACCCTTGCCCCAACCTCAGCTCCACCTGATTTACTCACTTACCTACTTAACCGAGACCCTGGTGTAGGTCATTTCAATACCCTAACTAGGACCCAGCATCCTCAGCTGCAATCTATTCCTGAACTCACCAGAATTTCACTTTACTCCCATGATTATAATAAAATTCTCTCAACTATTACAGATGAAATGCAAATTATAAAGTCCAGGGTTTCTCATCTTTCTTGGGAGAGCAGTGTGCAATTAGAAACAGCATGGGCAGCTGGGCGCAGTGGCTCACGCCTGTAATCCCAGCACTTAGGGAGGCTGAGGCGGGCAGATCACGAGGTCAGGAGTTCGAGACCAGCCTGACCAACATGGTGAAACCCTGTCTCTACTAAAAATACAAATATTAGCCGGGCGTGGTGGCGGGCACCTGTAATCCCAGCTACTCAGGAGGCTGAGGCAGGAGAATCGCTTGAATCCGGGAGGGGGAGGTTGAAGTGAGCTGAGATTGCGCCACTGCACTCCAGCCTGGGGGACAGAGGGAGACTCTGTCTCAAAAAAAAAAAAGAAAAAAAAGAAAAAAGAAAAAACAGCATGGGCACCAGAAACAGGAAGGCTGGGTTCTAAATGAGGCTCTGCCACACACCAGCTGGGTGACCAACCCTGAATGAATTACCCAATTTTTCTGACCCCTTAAGAGGTAAGAAAAAAACAGAAAGAAAGAAAAAAGAAAAAAAAAAGCCATGGACCACTGACTACACAGTTATAAAATATTAAATAAGTTTGTATTACAGCATCCATCATCCAGATTGATAACAGCAGCATGCAATCAATCTTAGTTCTTTCCTTCCTGCCCCAACTTCTGTAATCCTTAGTAGTTGCTAAGCAGTGCCCACTGAATCTCTTCCATACTTCAAAAACCGTGGGGCCTGGCACTGTCGTTCTGTCCATTCCCATCCGGTTTCTCAGCTGGCTCCTCCCCCTCATTCTCCCAAATGAACCAGCTCCTGCTCACTTCTTATCTCACTCCCAGCTTTCCCTATCAGTAATCTCATTCATTCCCACCACTTCTGGGATAATCGCAAAACTTTCTATCTACAGACCTGCTTACCCCAAGACCACATTTTCTACTGGACGCCAGACACGCCCCCCAAGCACAAGTCTGCGGATCGGTTCAGGGCTTGCCGCCTAAGAATCCACCGGGAAGTGTGTTAAAAACACACGTTTCTGGCCAGGCGCGGCGGCTCACATCTGTAATCTCAGCATTTTGGGAAGTGGAGGCAGGCGGATCACTTGAGGTCAGGAGTTTAAGACCAGCCTGGCCAACATGGCGGAACCCCGTTTCTACTAAAAATACAAAAATCAGCCAGGCGTGGTGGTGCGTGCCTGTAGTCCCATCTACTCAGGAGGCTGAGGCATGAGAATCGCTTGAACCCAGGAGAAGAGGTTGCAATGAGCAGAGATTGTGCCACTGCGCTCCAGCCTGGGTGACAGAGCGAGACTCCAACTCAAAAAAAAAAAAAAAACCACACATTTCTAAGCCCTTTCCATAGACACTATGAGTGAGTACACCTAGTATAAGGTCAAGGGAGCTGTACCTTTAAAGCTGTGCAGATGATTTTGATGGGAAGCCAGATAGTGCCAGATACTGCCACTGTCCTGTCACCTCCTAATCCTCACACGTTAGAAAAAGAAGCCATAATCTTTCCAAACTTGCTCTCTCACCTGTGCTCCCCATCTCAGCTCAGAATATCAGTTACTTCCAAGGCACTTTTGTCCAAAACCAATCTACCCTTTGCACAGTGGGTAGACCTGCCTCTGAAAGCACAGTCGGAACAAGTCCTCTCTGACAGCACACGGAGCCCAAGACATTTAGCACATCATGCCCAACCCTCTACCACCCACCACTCTCTGCCTCCCACTTCAGCCTTCCCAGAGCCACCACAGCTCAGGCACAGGACACTCCTCCCCACCCCAACCGAGCCCTCTGTGCCCATCCTTTTTGGTCATCTTGGACTGCTCTCCCATGAGAATCACCTCAGCCCCCCAACTCCACCTAACCAAATCTCACTCGGCACTCCAGCTCAACGCAAAGCAAAATCTTCTCACTGCTCCGCTCTCGGTGGTCACAGGGTAAAAGCTCTCTCTCTCCAGCAAGCTGTCAAAGTACTCTTTGCACAAATGTGATAGGAGTTCTCACGCTCTGCCTTACTTCTCTCTATCAAGATGATCTGGGTACCTCTGCCCTCAGAGTAGAAACTATTCTCATTTTTCTCCCATACTCTGAAATTCTTCACAGATTTGCCTTGAATGCACTGTTAAATTTTGAAACCTAACATGTAAATTGCTGAATAGCATACAACTTAGAATTTACAAAACCTATGGCTTCATGAGCCATCTGTGTATTATCAGGCAATCTAGCTTTCTCCAAATCTCTACCCTCAATTTCCACACACTATTACTAATCACATAAAAGAGCTAAAGAGCACACTAAAATAGCACTTCACCTGCCTCCTACCTGTATGCTGTTACCACGTTCCACTAATAGCTGGGCGGGCTGAGCACTGAGTCATTAAGAGTGCCATTTTCTGAATCATCCACACCACTTCCTGCTCTTAATTCTTCTAAGTAAGTTAAATATCCAAGAATTGTGCTGACAAAGCCAAATTCTATCTTAAGAAATAAAATGGGTTTAAAACCTAAAAAAGTATAGCCTTTTTATTTGTCTCACTGAACGTTCACTACAGAATGCATCTTTTTATTTGTCTCACTGAACGTTCACTACAGAATGCATACCTGAGTTGGGGTAGAGACAAACATCATTAAGGTCATGCTCTGGCTCCAAGGAAGTAAATATTTTTCCCTAAAAATAGCAAGCAAAAACGAAGTATTAAAAGTTAAAGAACAACAACTTTGGCAATGTCAAACTGAAGCTGTAACTCAACCATCTACTCCTATGTAAAGAAATAAAATAGCCTACTTCAAATACAAAATTTAAATTCTTAAAAATCTTAGAGAATTTATCTTATCAATTTATCAAAAAATCCCATTTTATAGATGAAGAAACAGGCCTAAGGAGAAGAAGTGACCTGTCCAAAAAAAAGAAAAATTACAACATTTTAAAGATAATGTCAACATGGCAAGAAAAGATGAAGTTTGAATTATGCATCAACTTTAAAAAAAAATCTCTCATAATCTGTGAAGTGTACCCAGCTTAACTTGTATTGAAAGAAATCGGAAGACAGCTGGGAGCAGTGGCTCACACCTGTAATACCAGCACTTTGGGAGGCTGAGGCGTGGAGATGACTTGAGGTCAGGAGTTTAAGACCAGCCTGACCAACATGGTGAAACTCCGACTCTACTAAAAACACAAAAATTAGCCGGGCATCGTGGCCTGCAACTGTAATCCCAGCTACTAGGGAGGCTGAGGCAAAACTGCTTGAACCCAGGAGGCGGAGGTTATAGTCAGCCAAGATAGCACCACTGCACTCCAGCCTGGGGCGACAGAGTGAGATTCTGCCCAAAAAAAAAAAGAAAGAAAGGAAGAAAAGAAAGGAAGGAAGGAAGAAAGGAAAGAAAAGAAGGGAAAGAAGGGAAGAAAAGAAAAAGGAAAGGAAAGGAAAGGAAAAAAGAAAAGAAAACAAACCAATCAGAGGAGAGAGATGGCCAGCATGGAAAATGAGGACAACACTGCCATGCCTGCACCGCAAGGTTTCGAGGAGGATCAAGTGAGACAATGGATATGAAATACAAAATGAAATCCTACAAATACTTAAGTGTTAGTTACTATGTAGTTAGGGCTAAACCATTTCTATTTTAACTGTTGGGGAAAAGTGTTTTATCTTTTAAAAATTAAGAGAAGGAAAGTAAAAGAAAAAGATGCTAAGAAGGTGGGTGTGGAAAAAGGTGATGAGAAAGATAAACAAGGTAAGCAAGTCAGGCAAAACCAAGTAACGTGGGTGTTAGTCAAGAGGAAGTCTTTAGTCATAAGAAACAAAAAAAATGCCAAAATAAAATTTACTGTAGCAATTACAGTGTGATGATTTCAAGAAGTGATGTTGAAAATTTCTGCCAGCTCTTGCATTTGTAACTCATTATGCAAAGTCTGACACTAGGATGGACTAAGTGCCCACGGCGAAAAAGAGCAGTGTTAGAGCACAGACAAGATGGTTTGTGTCCGATGAAGAACACGGCCAAGTCCTAACCCAAGACTAACAGTGAAATTCACACAGCTACCTGCTGTTCTTCTCAAGTTCCCACTGAAAGAGGAAGGAAAAGAGGGGAAACCAGGAAGCAAAGGGAAAGGAATTATAATGGCACGGAACAACAATGACAAAAAGGTGTCAAAGGTGATAATAATCCACATGATGGAAACTATGCAGAAGTTAAAGGGTCTGGAAAGATACATCCAGATTGCTAACAGTCTTTCCCTTTGGTTGGATGAAAGCCAGGTCAAGGATAAATAACTTCTACTTTACCAGTGTTTTATGAATTTTTAAGAATAAAAACATATGCATTTGTAGTATTAAAAATAAATATTGTTTTAACATCAATTAGTTTGAATTGCCAGAAAAAGAGCAGAGAAAGTTCTGGTCTAAGATCATGAATCTTCCTTAAAAAAGCCCTCAAAATCCTTCAAACTCAAAGCCAACAAAGCAGACAGCATAGACACTTCCTGGGCAATCATCAGGGCAATTCTTCCAAGAATTTAGAAAGACTGAAAGCCTGTCTTTTCTTTATGTTCTTCTCTGTAACATAAACAAAGTCACCAGAACCTATGAATTAGGTGAGGGCCTCAGGGATGTAGAACACAGCTCTGGTCTCCAGGACAGATCCAGAGAAAAAAGGAAAAGAAGCCAAGTAAGACCCATACTTCAGGAATTAACAAAATGAAATTTAAAAAACCAAAGTAACAGCCCAGAAAGCCAGAGACTCAACAGGCAGCTGAACTGTGAGGGGCTGTCTGCAGCGTGTGTGCCTGGGCACAGGCAGCCCCCACGGAATAGACGGGCACTTGCGCTTAGGCACGAACTGCTCAGGCTGGTGGGCCGTCCACCCGACTTCATCACAAATGGGAATTTTTTAAAAGTGATCTGTTTTTAAACTAAAAATGCTAAGTTTCTAATGAATTAAATGCAAAGAACTCTTAAAAACATAGCTATACTGAATGCATTTTTCCCATTTATTTGATCAACTCTTTACTATTCTCTCAAAATACTTAGGTTTTAAAATGAAAAATGAAAAGCAGAAGACAGATTAAAACCAGCAATATAGGATTTTGTTACATTTCAAATGACATTTAGAGCTGAGGAGAAGGACCATCAAAATATTCTTAAGAAATATAGCTTTTAAGGCCAGGTGAGGTGGCTCACGCCTGTAATCCCAGCACTTCAGGAGGTCGAGGCAGGCGGATCATTTGAGGCCAGGAGTTCAAGACCAGACTGGCCAACATGATGAAACCCCATCGCTACTAAAAATACAAAAATTAGCTGGGCATGGTGACATGCACCTGTAATCACAGCTACTCTGAGGCTAAGGCACGAGAATTGCTTGAAACTGGGAGGCGGAGGTTACAGTGAGCTGAGATCATGGCACTGCACTCCAGCCTGGGCGACAGAGCAAACTCTCTCAAAAAAAAAAAATCAAATAGGAAAAGTATGAATTTGAGATATGTAATAATACCAACATGCATGGAAGGATAATTAGTAGCTCTGAAGACTTTTCCTACACCTGTGAGGGAATCTCAATATCTAGGGGGTTTCTCGGGTCATAGATCAACTTTTGTAAACCACTATTTTCTCTCTACCTAACTTAACATCTAAAATGCATGCCAATTCTAGATAATTGGGAAAACTTAACAGAAGGAAAGCAATCATGAGTATCTTATCTAAATATGGATATTATCTATCCAAAAGTAACTGACCTCCCGCTAAGTTCCCAAATGTATATTCAGTATCTCTTTCCCAATAACCCACATAAAAAAGGAAAGGGAGAGGAAAGGATCATTCGGAACACCTGCAAATAAAGAAGCAAGTAATTTCAACCAAAAATACATACGGAGTTCTTATTCCACATCTTGACAATTCGAGAGTCAGCAGACAAAATCAGATCTAATGAATCCTGGAAATGAACGGACTTAATGGGCAGCCCATACTGGTGATCTTTAACTAGCAATGGCTTATCAGATCGAAGGTCATATAATAAAACCTGAAAAAAAATTATTTCTGTTTAAACAAACTAGACATTTTATCTTCAAAGGAAATATTTCTAAGTGAGAATAATGGCAGCCATTTGCTTCATCGCTTTGTTATGAACACAATGAACACCCTTACTCAAGGTGCTGAGATTTGAGATTCTTTCCAGAAAGATCTCTTAAATAATCCTTAGAGTATACATTTTATGAATTCAACCCCAAGATTAATTTGTAAGAGCTACTGAACATACTAAGAAAGAACAAAAAATGAAAGCCCATAAGAATTTAATTTGTTCAACAAATATATACTGAGGGCCTATGTACCAGGCAGTGTCATAGCAACAGATATAAACAAAAATGAAAGACATAATCAGGAACAGTCCTAGTAGATCAAGACAGATGGTGGTGGCAAGGCTATGACTTCTTGGGAGAAGGGAGAATCTCTTCGGACCCGTCACTAGAGGCAAGGAAGCCTGGGAAAGCTCCCCTAGGATTAAGTCCCAGGTGACAGATGCCCTCTAGCCCATGATGACAAAGAAAGTAAATCCTCCAAGGCAGGGTTTCAGACCTCTTGTAGGAGGCAAGTGTACAGGCTCTGCCTTGAAGGAAAGAAAGAAGTACTCCTCAGACTAGCACTGCTAATGCATGTTCTGCTGACCACTCATGGCATGTGCTATAGTTAATGATGCTATATTAAAAAAAAAAAAGTTCCTTGAACACACAAATTTTGGAAATATTTATTAAACATATTTCTTGTCTGCAAGAATTCCTGAGAGCCTTCATTAAAACAGTATTGAAACCCACTGTCAATCTTCAAGAGTAAAAGTCTGGCAGACTCCCAAGACTGTCTGACCACAGAATTCTGTTGCATAGACTCTGAAAAATGCTGTTCCAAACCACTAACAAGAGAATACCTATGGCCAAGCCCGGTGGCTCACGCCTGTAATCCCCACACTTTGTGAGGCCAAGGGTGGGGGGATCGCCTGAGCCCAGGAGTTCAAGACCAGCTTGGGCAACACAGTGAGACCCTGTCTCTACAAAAAGTCAAAAAATTAGCCAGGTGTGGTGGTGCAGGCCTATCCCACTGCAGCTCTAAGTCCACAGCACTGCAGACTGACCAAGGCAAGAGTCAAGATTTCTCAAGGTGTGGAAGAATCCAGCATTCTGGAATACCCTCTGGTCTGGCTAAAATAGTATGATCTCATTTTCTGTTCCTGCAGTGTATTTCTCATGACACATACACACACCACTGAAATACCAACTTACATGTGGTTTCCAAATTAAACATATTTACCTGCCCTGTGGTTGTTCCAACTGCCATGGTCAAGGCACCATTAAATTTCAAAGCAGAGATTGTTGGTAAACTGTTTATCCTGAAAAGCAAAATATTCATGCTTCATGAATATACGGCCAAACCTCCTTCCAAGTAACAAGTTCATTATTAGTCTTCACTTCAAATCTAATGGGGGGGGGGGGGAGGAATCACATTTCTAGGCTTCTGTTTAAAAGGTAACTGCAGCCTGGTAAGATGACTCGCACCTGTAATACCAGCACTTTGGGAGGCTGAGGTGGGAGGATTTCTTGAGGCCAAGAATTCAAGACCAGCTTGGGTAACACAGTGAGACACCATCTCTACAAAAAATTAAAAAAAAAAAAAATAGCCAGTTGTGGTGGCACACACCTGTTGTCCCAGCTACTTGGGTGGCTGAGGCAAGAGACTGCTTGAGCCTGGGAGGTCAAGGCTGCAGTGAGCTGTGATCATTCCACTGCGCTGCAGTGGAGCTCTGCTGGGACAACAGAGCAAGACCCTGTCTCAAAAATAGTAAGTAAATAGTAATTTTATTCAAACTTTCATAATCAAAGTTACACTTTATATACAAAACGTAATCTACTTTCTTCCATTTTAATTAAGCCAGAATAAGGTATTTATAGAAACATCCCCTTTCATACTTAAGAAGACATAGTTTTGTTTGGACATGGGTACACCATTTCCACTTTAAAATTAGCCAAGTTCAGCTAAAATAAAAGACTAATCCTCAAATGGGGACCCTAGAGCCTCTGAAAGTACCAAAGACAGAGTGAATGCTATGGCCACGACTCTAGAATATGCTTCTCACATACCAACCAAGACAATCAGCACCAAAAGCAATGATCTCCAGTGGAAAGAGTGCTAGGCGATGAGTCAGAAGTGGACAATATCACTATCAATCCTATCGTCCACATGCCCTTGGCCCAGGACCTAGAGTCCTGGCTGTTGGCTGTCGGCATCATCAGGTCTCTTCTGCCACCTAGAGCTTGAGCCTGTAACTGCGCTGGGGCACCTGTGGGAACCTCGAAGCCTCATATGCACAGCAACTTTAGTCACTTACTCTTCAAAGTATACTTAATCATTTCTTTCAGTATAGTGATATACTTCTCTACTTATTCCTTTGTCATTTTCTTCACATATTTTTTTTGGAGACAGGGTTTCACTCCCGTCGCCCAGGCTGGAGTGCAGTGGCATGATCTCAGCTCTCTGCAACCTCCACCTTCCGGTTCAAGCAATTCTCCTGCTTCAGCCTCCCGAGTAGCTGGGACTACAGATGTGTGCCACCACTCCCAGCTAATTTTTGTATTTTTTTGTAGAGATGGGTTTTCACCATGTTGCCCAGGCTGGTATTGAACTCCTGATCTCAAGTGATCTGCCTGCCTTGGCCTCCCAAAGTGCTGGGATTACAGGTGTGAGCCACCACACCTGGCCCATATATGTTCTTATCGAGTTTTACAATTTTTGTTGTTATTAGAATGTTTTTCCATTTATAACCTTTTTAACTGGATAGTGCTGACAAGGTCACTGATTTTTGAACATTTTATAACCAATTTATTTAACTGTTATATTAGTTCTTATAGATTTTCAGTTATTCTCCTGAGTTTCTCAGGCACAGAAACTTATGTCATCTGGAAATGACAGCCTGCTTCCCCTATTCAACACTTACACTTATTGCCTTCTCGTATTGGTTCCACTAGAAGTGACAGCTTATAAGGTTTGTAGGGAAAACAAACAAAAAAAAAGCAAAGCATTAAAAAAAAAAAAAGTAAAATTACCTAAAACCAAATCAGAAAAAAAACCCTAGTTTTAACACTCGGGTATACATCCAGTCTTCTTCCTATGACTATGTTTGTGTTCACTGCTTTTCTGATAACGATGTGGTAACACTTTATTTATTTGTTTGTTTGTGATGGAGTTTTGCTCTTGTTGCCCAGGTTGGAGTGCAATGGCATGATCTTGGCTCACTGCAACCTCCGCCTCCTGGGTTCAAGTGATTCTCCTGCCTCAGCCTCCCAAGTACTTGGGATTACAGGCATGCGCCACCACGCCCAGCTAATTTTGTATTTTTAGTAGAGACAGGGTTTCTCTGTGTTGGTCAGGCTGGTCTCAAACTCCCGACCTCAGGTAATCCACCTGCCTCAGCCTCCCAAAGTGCTGGGATTACAGGCATGAGCCACCATGCCCAGCCTATTTATTTATGTTTGAGATGGAGTCTCACTCTGTTACCCAGGCTGGAGTACAGTGGGGTGACCTCGGCTCACTGCAACCTCTGCCTCCCGGGTTCAGGCGATTCTCCTGCCTCAGCCTCCTGGGTACTTGGGATTACAGGCATGCACCACCATGCCCGGCTAATTTTGTATTTTTAGTAGAGACAGGGTTTCACCATGTTGGCCAGGCTGGTCTTGAACTCCTAACCTCAAGTGATCCTCCAGCTTCGGCCTTTCAAAGTGCTGGGATTACAGGTGTGAGCCACCGTGCCTGGTCTATATTAGTTCTTATAGATTTTCAGTTACTCTCCTGAGTTTCTCAGGCAGAGAAACTTACATCATCTGCAAATAATGACAGCCTGCTTCCCCTATCCAACACTTACACTTACTGCTTTCTCATATTGTATGGGCTCCACCTAGAAGTGACAGCTTCTAAGGTTTGTAGGGAAAACAAAAACGAAAAAGCTAAGCATTAAAAAAAAATTAAAAAATAAAATTACCTAAAAGCAAATCGGAAAAAAAAAAACCCTCTAGTTTTTACATTCTGGAATACACCCAGCCTTCTTCCTATGACTATGCTTGTGTTCACTGTTTTTCTGATAACAATGTGGTAACACTCTATAGTCAACAGTATGGCTCGCTTTTCCACTGACAGGCGCATTTGGACCACCTTTCCCTAGTAATAAATATGCTTCTGCAACATAATTCCTAAAGGCTGAGTAACATGTATGCCATTGACGAATATTTTTTTCATCTATAAAATAAATACAATAACAGTGCCTACAGCAAAGGGCTGTCGTATTAAATAAGTTAATATATGTAAAGAACTTAGACCCAGTACCTGGCAAATAGAAAGCACTATCTGTCAGCTACTATTTCTACTAAGCTTTATTTAATCAATATCCTCAGGCTCTTTCTAAGACTTATTATTAGCAGTGCTGTGATGGACGTCCCAGGCTGAGGAGAGTGAGCAATGTATGCTCTGGGCATGCAGGGAGACATTTAACCTGAGGTTATGTTTTCTGTAGGGCAATTTAGCAATGTACCAAAAACCTTCAAAACATGTATGCTATTTAATCCAGAAATTCAGGTTCTAGGTATCATTTCTCAGGAAATAATCATAAAACTGTAAATGGATGTATAATAGTGAAAACTCTTCTGATTGGTTTAAATGTAGAAATTAGGCAAACAGGAACAAGAAAATATTAAAAAAACACTTGCTTCCTTCCACCTTAGAATTCAAAGCACACCTCTGTGGACTTTGTGGTGGACTCCTGGTTCTATCACTAGATTCTACAAAATTGGAATACAAATTCCTGTAGTGTAATTGTTTTAATAAAATCGTACAGCAACTAAAGAAATAAGGCCTTCTGTATAGTATTTTGGAAAGAAATTCTATCTGGCTTACTCACTAGTGAGCTTTTACAGGAGAGGATCTTTATGAAAAACAATCATGGAAAGTACAATTTCAGATATCCTGTAGCAATTTATTTGAATTTAATATAGACACATTACTTAAATTAAAAGTTGATGAACATTTACATTG
Source organism: Homo sapiens (assembly GCF_000001405.40). Lineage (NCBI taxonomy): Eukaryota > Metazoa > Chordata > Mammalia > Primates > Hominidae > Homo > Homo sapiens. The sequence goes on from NC_000002.12 coordinate 10,662,940, forward strand.
CAAATTAATTTCTACTTACTCTGAATCTGCTGTGACACTGTTTAAGGCGCAGTCTAACAGGCCAACTCTGTTTCGAGTTCTTGGGTCCCAGCACTCCACTCTACCCTATGCAAATGAAAAACAATTTTAAATAAAAGCTGTAGAAGGCGGGGCATGGTGGCTCATGCCTGTAATCCCAGCACTTTGGGAGGCCGAGGCGGGCTGATCACCTGAAGCCAGGAGTTTGAGACTAGTCTGACTAACATGGCGAAACTCTGTTTCTACTAAAAATACAAAAAATTAGCTGGGTATGTGGTGCACGCCTGTAATCCCAGCTACTTGGGAGGCTAAGGCAGAAGAACTGCTTGAACCCGGGAGGTGGAGGTTGCAGTGAGCCGAGATTATGCCACTGCACACCAGTCTGAGCGACAGAGCAAGACTTCGTCTCAAAAAAAAAAAAAAAGCTGCTAAGAAATCCTTAAAACACATACAAAAATAAACCACATTAACATTGTTTATTTCATAGAAAAAGTCCTTATTTTTAAGAAATCCATTTTAAAGTATTTAGGGAAGAAATATCATAATGCCTGCAACTTATTTTCAAAAGGTTCAAAAAACATTTTTAATACATGTACATTTTTATGGGAAAAGAAAATGCAAAATATATATATCACTAAACTTTTACAAAGATGTGAACTTTTTAAAAATAAAAAGCTGGGGAAAATTTTTTTTAATGAAAAGAAGAATCCCGGCCAGGCGCGGTGGCCACGCCTGTAATCCCAGCACTTTGGGAGGCCAAGATGGGGAGATCACGAGGTCAGGAGATCGAGACCATCCTGGCTAACACAGTGAAACCCAGTCTCTACTAAAAAATACAAAAAATTAGCCGGGCATGGTGGCGGGCGCTTTTAGTCCCAGCTACTTGGGAGGCTGAGGCAGGAGAATGGCATGAACCCGGGAGGCTGGAGCTTGCAGTGAGCCGAGATCGCACCACTGCACTCCAGCCTGGGCGACAGAGCGAGACTCCGTCTCCAAAAAAAAAAAAAATACAAAATTAGCCAGGCATAGTGGCGCATGCCCGTAATCCCACACACTAGGAGGCTGAGGCAGGAGAATTGCTTGAACCCGGGAGGCAGAGGCTACAGCGAGCTGAGCGTGCCACTGCACTCCTGCCTAGGCAACAGAGAGAGACTCCGTCTAAAAAAAAAAAAAACCCAAAAAAACAGAACAGGCCGGGCATGGTGGCTTATGCCTGTAATCCCAGCACTTTTGAAGGCCGAGGTAGGTGGATCACCTGAGGTCAGGAGTTCGAGACCAGCCTGGCCAATGGTGAAACCCCGTCTCTACTAAAAATACAAAATTAGCTGGGCATGGTGGCAGGTGCTTGTAATCCCAGCTATTCGGGAGCCTGAGGCAAGAGAATCGCTTGAACCTGGGAGGCAGACATTGCGGTGAGCCGAGTCCAGCCTGGGAAACAAAGCAAGACTGTCTCAAAAAAAAACAGAATGGAGAAACTGTAGTACGTCCATTTAAACTGAGTATTAGCCATTACAAAGAATGATGTGAATATACATGTACTAGAATTGTGTCCACAAAAAAGCAATTTACTTTTTTAAATGAGGGGTCGTTGTTTGTGTGTTTGAGACAAGGTCTTGTTCAGTCGCCCAGCTGGAGTGCAGGGCACAATCACAGCGTATTGCAGCCTCCACCTTGTAGGCTCAATCCATCCTCTCACCTCAGCTTCCCCAGTAGCTGCATCTATGGTATGCACCACGCCTGTCTAATTTTTGGATTTTTGGTAGAGAAGAGGTGTCGCCATGTTGCCCAGGCTGGTCTCGAACTCCTGGACTCAAGCGTTCCACCCACTCGCACTTCCAAAGAGCTGGGATGACGGACGTGAGCCACCACACCCAGCCAACATTTGTGTTTTTAAAAAAATGCTTGTGCAAACAGAAAAACCTGAGAGGATACACAGCAAATTATTAACAGTATTTACCTAAGGAAACAGGAATAGGACAGGGTGGAAGGGAATTACACTTTTCACTTTGTGTTCTTGTCTATCATTTGATTTTGTAATGATAAAACAAAAACATAAACAAAGATGTTTTAAGATTGTTTAATATATTAACTACCTTAAAAGCAAACCCTTCAATATACTTAGGAGGTTCTGACCTCATTAATCTTTTAATATTATTACAAGTAGGTATGTTGCAAAGATGAATAATCGAAGGGAAACCTTTTTAAACTACAGCAGGTAATTCCAAATGGTCTAGTCTTCTATGTCTTCTCAAAATGAGTTAATAAATTTTATGGACATAAAAAAGAAAAGTTGCATTCCAAAAACACAAAATGGGTATGCAGATAACTTCCAGTGTAAATACAAAATGTATTTTTAAGCACACTGATTTTCTATTACCTAAATTTGAATATTTCCATTGCCAAACCTCCCCTCTTAGGCACTTCAAAAAGCACAAAATGCAAACATTTAGTTTGACAATATTATGATAACTAAGAACTAAAGAAGAAACTAAAATCTGAGATGTAATATGAAAATCAATGTAAAATGAATTTGTTAAGCCTGATCTGACTATGCTTATGAAACTGCAAGCTGCTAATAATCAAGGAATTTCCGGAAGCCCAGTCTTTGAGCATCCCTACCTCCTATCCCTTCAACATGTCCTAGGCTGGTCTTAAACCAGCTGCTGGAAGAGCAGCACGTTCTAATACATAACTTCTCTTAGCACATTGCCTGGTGTCTAGCCTAGACTGCCCTGTAAGGACCCTAAAAACTATTTTCTCAGGGAAACTCTTGTAAAACTTCCCCTTGGTAATCTCAAGTAACCTGACTACCAAGAGAAAGCTTGATTTAGACATAACAGTATTCAAACACATTCAACATAGTTTTACATAATATCTGTCAGATCAAACTTAGTGTCCCATTTCAAATATTAATCTTTTTTTAAAATACAACTTCAACTTCTTTGTTAGACTCTGGGGGTACGTGCAGGTTTGTTACACTGGTATATTGCATAATGCTGAGGTTTGCAGTGTGACTGATCCCGTCACCCAGGCAGTGAGCATGGTAGCCAACAGTTAGTTTTCAACCCTTGCCTCCCTCCCTCCCTTCCCCATCCAGTAATCCCCAGTGTCTAGTGTTGTCATCTTTATGGTCATGAGTACCCAACGGTTAGCTCCCACTCATAAGTGAGAACACGCAGTATTTGGTTTTCTGTTCCTGTCTTAATTCACTTAGGGTAACAGCCTCCAGCTGCATCCATGTTGCTGCAAAGAACATTCTTTCATTCTTTTTTGTGGCTGCATTAATCTCTCAACATAAAAATAATTTGAGTAAAAAAAAAACCATTAATTCCATCCATATGAAACTGGTTTAATAAATTATAGTACAAACAACAGAATGCTATCTGTAAACTATCATTTTTTTTTTTGAGACGGAGTCTCGCTCTGTCACCCAGGCGGGAGTGCAGTGGCCCAATCTTCATTCACTGCAACCTCCGCCCCCCTGCCTCAGCCTCCCAAATAGCTGGGATTACAGGTGTGTGCCACCACACCCGGCTAATTTTTGTATTTTTAGTAGAGACGGTGTTTCGCCATATTGGCCAGGCTGGTCTCAAACTCCTGATCTCAAGTAATCTGCCTGCCTTGGCCTCCCAAAGTGCTAGGATTAGTGAGCCACTGCGCCTGGCCTGTAAATTTTTTTAAAATTAGTTTAGCATCGTAAGTAATTATAAGTACCAATAAGATGTATATTATATACTGTTATGTCTAAAAAAAAAAAAGCAAATGGAGAACTACAGTAGAATACAATTTCAGTTTGGTAAACCACTTTAAAAAATATGTATGTACACATATGCATATTGGCATATAGCACTTAGGAAAAAAAATTTGAAAGGATACTACTCCAAACCATTCAAGTGTTACCTCTGGGGTGTAGGATTTGGTGACTGGAAGGTATAAAAGGGCACTTTTTAAAATTACATGCTTCTGACATATTTGCATTTTTTAAAACTATGAGTATTTATCATTATTTTAAGTGAAAAATGCAAATCTACAAAAAACTATTGGTAAGTGTGAAGGACATTGATTCAAAGATATTATCATTTAAAAGAAAAATGTTGTGTACATTCATCTCAATATTTACTGAATGTTACTCTACAGGATGTTCAAGCTATCACCTCATTATCATCCTGCTCTAAGGAATCAAGCAACTCAGTCTTTAAATAAAAATTCCAATCAAATATAAAACAAATATTCTAAAAAATAAAGTCAACATATGCTTACCTCTATGGTTCCTGTGGCAAACAAGCCATGCACTGAATTTATGTCACAAACATTATTCTCCCTAACACAGGAAAGCAGTAAGAAAGAATGAATTAGTTAGCACCTACTTTAGTGGGGAAGGAATATTAAATAAATAAACAGTCAACCCAAATTCTGAGTAGAAAGAAGACACACAGATTCTCTCTTACTAATCTGCAAATGGAAAACACCAAGGTATGAAAGGGTTAAGTGCTTGGCTCAGTCACTGGAGTTTCTGATCCCCAGGGTGACACTCTACCTGCTAGGTGACAAACAAGGAGGGACTTCCTTCTGAAATACTATTCCACTACCATGAGAAGAAAGGGTCACTCTATTTTTCAAGGTATTTTCTTCCAAGGCAGGTAACATTCTTAAAAGAACACACGCTATCACCATGACAATCCTGAGCCTTGACAGGCTTGTCCTGGGTACATCATTCTAAGTCTCATTTTCTTTCTCTGTAAAATGGATATTTCACCTACCTCGGGGGGTTGTTATGGGGATTAAATGAAAAAGACTGCAAAGCGTTCAGCAGTATCTGGGGTACAGAGGACACTCAATATAATGCATTTGTGAAGTTACTACTACAAGTTTTTTTTTTAATAAAAATAAAAGCATTTCTACCCAATGTGAAATAAAAAAAAATTAGAGTTTATTTGGTTCTTATCACAACATGTTCACCTAACCTTTAAAAATCCTCTCAAAGCAATACGAGAAATTCAGCAAGCTCTTCATATACACAATGAGAAGTAATCCAGCTTCCACCCTTGACTAGTTGTGTGGCCTTGGGCAAACTACTTACCTCTCTGAGCCTCAGCTGCCCTATCTGTAAAATGGTACTTACCACAAAAATCTGTTCTAAGTTTAAAATGAGATAATAAAGGTAAAATGACTGAATAACACCTGGCACAAAGTGCTTTCCTACTGTGTTTATCACTATTATTTGTTGTGATGATGATGATGATGGATTCATTCCTAAAAATTTTTGCTGCATAGTACATATGTGTAGACTATAATGTATGATAAAAGGAAACCTTTAAAAACCTTAAATGTCCGCTAGCAGAGCATAAAAATTTAAAAATGGCACTCCAAATTAATTCAAAAGTTCTCCACAGGAGAAAATATCACAAAACAAAACCATGAATGTAAATTTAAAGAACACTACAAGTAATAATAATAAACTGAGTATTTTTAACTGACTTAAAGTTGAGTAGATGAAAAAAAGCTTTCATTTAATTTTTAAAGTAATCACCAGATCTTTCAGTGAATTTTTTGTCTGAGAATAAATTCAACAGTACTTTTTAACTAAGTTGCTGGGAGTTTTGCTTAATTGCAATAGTTTATGTTACTTGTTAACAAACTGAGCATCTGGCTCCACCTCCTGGTCAAAATGTATATAGCAGAATTACTAAAACTACTCACGCAGCATCAGTTTGTAGAGGATTCAGGTATCGTCCTTGTTCTAAGTTTAACCTATAAACTTCAGAACTGTAAAGTAATAAAGAAAGTTAAAAACCTGCTAAACTACAATGAAACTTTAAGTAAATATAAATTTTATAAATATATATATTACTCATAAGCCACCACTTCCTTTTGTAACACTGATACAAAAACGTATTCTAAATCTGAAAAATATCCACTTTATGAATTTGTTCATGTATAAAAGTGATTTAAACCATTCATGTGCCAAGGAAATATGAAGTCATTACGTAGAATACTATTTACAAATAAGATGGAGAATACAAGATCCAAAAGTATATGTAATGTATCTACATATGTATATAAGAAAGGACTAGAAGGAAATATAATAAGGATCCTCTCTGGGTGGTGTAATTATGGCTGAATTTTTTCTTTTTTTTTGTTTTTTTGTTTTTGATATGGGGTTTTGCTCTTATTGCCCAGGCTGGAGTGCAATAGCGCAATCTCAGCTCACGGGCGCCACTCACTACACCCGGCTAATTTTTTGTATTTTTAGTAGAGACAGGGTTTCACCATGTTGGCCAGGCTGGTCTCAAACTATTTTTTTGTATTTTTAGTAGAGGCGAGGTTTCACCATGTTGGCCAGGCTGGTCTTGAACTCCTGACCTCAGGTGATCTGCCCACCTCAGCCTCCCAAAGTGCTGGATTACAAGCATGAGCCACCATGCCCAGCCTGAATTTTTTCTTTTCTATATTTTCCCAATTTTCTAAAATGGGTATGTATTTGTATATATATATATATTTTTATTTTTTATATATATATATATACACACACACACACATACACACACACATATATACACACACACACACACACACACACACACAAACATAATAGCCACCAGTCAAATACCTGGTCAAATGCTACCTTTTTGATGACCATAAAAATAACACAGGGCTGGGCAGCGGTGGCTCACGCCTGTAATCCCAACACTTTGGGAGGCTGAGGTGGGCGGATCACGAGGTCAAGAGACCGAGACCATCCTTGCCAATATGGTGAAACCCTGTCTCTACTAAAAATACAAAAATTACCTGGGCGTGGCGGCGCATGCCTGTAATCCCAGCTACTCGGGAGGATGGGGCAGGAGAATCGCTTGAACCTGGGAGGTGGAGGTTACAGTGAGTGGAGATTGCACCACTGCACTCCAGCCTGGCGACAGAGCGAGACTCCATCTCAAATAATAATAATAATAATAATGATAATAATAATAATAAAGGCCAGGTACAGTAGCTCACACCTGTAATCCCAACATTTTGTGAGGCCAAAGCAAGAGGATCTTTTGAGCCCAGGAATTCAAGACCAGCCTGGGAAACATAGTGAGACCCCATCTTTATAAAAAACTAATAATAAAACCAAAAAGGTACTTAGAATAAAAAGTTTTGAAATACTGTGCAATAGGGCTAAGAAACTGACTTTATCAACTAGATTATACATGTCTATCTCCAAATTTAGCACCATACTAACAGAAGCCAAAGATATCACTCCTAAATGAGTCACATGTAGGAATTATACCTTCACTTTCAGCAACTTAAAAGCAAAGATCATGTCTTATTCTTCTTTAAAGAAATTAGTCCTTCAAATACTGCTGTATTTTCAGGGGAAAAAAAAGGGATATTTCTATTGAAATTGTACTGAATTTTTGCCTACAATTTATCTCGTTAAATATTGTAAATAAATTGCTAATACTAATAGCCAAAAAGATACACTAATTGCTTTGTTAAAAACAAAACAAAACAGGGCCGGGCACCGTGGCTCATGTCTGTACTCCCAGCACTTTGGGAGGCCGAGGTGGGTGGATCACCTGAGGTCAGGAGTTCGAGACCAGCCTGGCCAACAAGGTGAAACATCGCCTCTACTAAAAATACAAAAATTAGCTGGGCATGGTGGCAGGCGCCCATAGTCTCAGCTACTCAGGAGGCTGGGGCTGGAGAATCACTTGAACCTGGGAGGCAGAGGTTGCAGTGAGCCAAGATCGTACCACTGCACTGCAGCCTGGGTGACAGTGTGAGACTCCCTCTCAAAAAAAGAAAATGAAACAAACAAACAAAAAAAACAGAAAAAACAAAACAAAAAGACATGGGTAGGTAGTGGTGTTCTAAAGTTATGACATCTGTCCTAATTAGTTTCTTAAATACATTTACTACTTAATGGTTTTGAAACAACTGTTTTTTAAATTTTTGAAAACTTGCTAATAAACTTTTGTTCAGAATTTAGTAGACTGTTTAATGTAGGACATCAACTACATAATGAAAGATGCTTTAAATGCTTTTGTCATTTCATGCAAATCAAATTAAATCAAACTATCAAATTACCAAAAATAATAACAATAAAACCCTCTCCCAATTTTTTTAAACTAGAGTCCATAACCACATATGACCTATTAATCACAAAGTGATCAGATAGAAACTGATTACTGACATGAAGCAAACTTAAGGTCGAGACAAAAGTCTAGAAGATAAACAGATAAATAAAACAATACTATGTCTCATAAATTGTGGCAACCGGGCTAAACTGAAAAGGCTCACACACTTCCCATCAGTATTTCCCAATGAGGCACATAACTATCACAGATATTTTTAACATTAGAAAATATTGTATTAAGCAAAACAACAGTTGTTAAAACAGTATATGGTACTTATAAGTAAACCAATATGTAGAAAATAGAATTTTTTGCCTATCCTGTGTTTTCTTTTCTTTTTTTTTTTTTTTTTACAAGAGCCACGTATCACTTTTTTATTAAAGCAAGTTACCTAAACAGAGAAAATGTACACGAAATTTAGGAACAGAAGTTGGTTGTTTTAGGAGGTGAAAAGGAGAAAAAGGGACTGGATCCAATACCTTGCACCAACAAAGTACAAGTCACAGGATGGATAGTGGTAAGAGAAATCTCTCCCAAACTTTGGTATTCTGGTTTTGTAGTAAAAACCTGATTGCGAATGAAATTCAATGTATCTATCATTATGTAAGAAGACAATCTGAAAATAAAACAAAAAAATTAGTTTGCTTAGGTTTCTAGTTAGGTGTTTACTTCATTATCGCTAAAAAACTGGCAAACCAAGGAAAACCCTTACCTCTCTCTCACTTTCTGTATCTAAACACACATGTCCATGCACACACACTCCACTGGGATTAAGAATGAAAACACTCCATCGGCTCCTTAATGCCTTCCTGTATCCTGATAGCTTTTCTGCAAACCTTACATACTAATTAAAGACTTGAAACAAACGCCCTTCATTTACATGGCACCAGCATGTCATAACATAGAGCACTCTCATGGTACCCTCAATGATCAGTTCCCTCTTTCACTTGGGAACACATTTAAATAATCCTGGCCGGGCATGGTGGCTCACACCTGTAATCCCAGCACTTTGGGAGGACAAGGCGGGTGGGTCACCTGAGGTAGGGAGCTTGAGACCAGCCTGACCAACATGGAGAAACCCCATCTCTACTAAAAACACAAAATTAGCTGGGCATGGTGGCGCATGCCTGTAATCCCAGCTACTCAGGAGGCTGAGGCAGGAAAATCGCTTGAACCCAGGAGCCGGAGGATGCAGTGAGCCGAGATTGTGCCGTTGAACTCCAGCCTGGGCAACAAGAGTGAAACTCTTGTCTCAAAAAATAAAAAACAAAAAATAATAATAATCCCACCATTATCACACAAGTTATGATAAACTCCTTGTATACATTTGACTTTAGTGTACTAAAGGGGTATCTTAAACATCAACAGATGGTATTTAAAGGCAAATTTGTCAGTATTTAGAGAAAATACATTCTAAAATGACATGTTCCAAAACGTATGATAAATGATACCATAGACAAAAGGATAAGCTGTACCCCATAGTTTCCAAAACTGAAAATATAAAGCCATGTCAGCTAAGAAAATTCAATTTTCTTTCAAGATGCCATTTGACATCACTAAAAATGTTTCATTTTAAATTCAAGAGTTTACTGACAATTTTATAATTGTTGAAAGTGATTATAAGAGTTGAAAGATGGGTCGGGGGCAGTTGCTCACGCCTGTAATCCCAACACTTTGGGAGGCCAAGTCAGGTGGATCACTTGAGGTCAAGAGTTTGAGACCAGCCTGGCCAACCTGGTAAAACCATATCTCCACTAAAAACACAAAAATTAGCCAGGTGTGGAAGCACATGCCTGTAGTTCCAGCTACTCAGGAGGCAGAGGCAGGAGAATCACTTGAACTCGGGAGGCTGATGCTGCAATGAGCTGAAATTACGCCACTGCCCCTCCGGCCTGGGTGACAGAGCAAGGCCCTGTCTCCAAAAAAAAAGAGTTGAAAGATGGACTAATGGCACCAAAAAAGAGAAATAAATCTACTTAGCTATATTTTGAACTGTTTCAGAATATACCACAACCATTTGCAAAGTTAAAAAAAAATTAAACACACAACCCTGCTAGTTTACATTTCACATATAAATAAGAAAATGAAAGCAACCTGGCAAATAAATCTAGGTTAAACGTAATAATCAGAATCACAAATCTAGAATACAGGATGATATAAAAGATGACTGCTGCCAATTCTTAAAAATACAAATAAGGTTTCATATACGATATGAAAAATTACCTTTGATATTAGATTGGCCAAAGGCTATCCGTATCACTGTATTAATATTAATAAAAAATGATGGGTTACATTTTACTACACAGCCATTTTTGTTTAACAATAGAACTACACAGCCATTTTAGTTTAACAATAAAAATATTATAAAACTGCTTATCATTAAAATAAATTCCACTCACTCATTTCTTGGGTCTAGTCAGTACAAACCAATGCTATAAAACATACCTTTGAGTAGTCATCAGACAAAATTTCAAAGGTGACAACTGAAAAACAAGAAATAGGAAAAATACAATTATCAAACAATATTCTTAGTAACAACGCAAACCTGATGCAAAGATTCTAATTCAACACAGAAATTATATACATACCAGTTTTTTTCTGCCTCTACGTGAAACAAGAAGAAAATTGTCATAGTATATTGTCCCAAAACACCAACAAAAACTTAAAAGCCTCATAATTTCTCAATACACATCAACTAGATTTCTTGTAGAACTGAATGCAAATTCACAAAATATAATGACTTCTAAATTCTGACACTCTGAGATGTTGAAAACAAAATAATTTTAAAGACTTTCAAATATACATTAAAGAACAAAAAAATTGTTGCTTAACAAAAAAGATGTCATTTTTTACCCATTCATAGTCTACCTGATAAAGAAAAAGAGCGAAAAATAGCCATTATTAGTGGCACACAGAGTTTCTATTGTTTTCAATAAACAAAGATATAGTAAGACCCTATCACTATGGGAAAGAAAAAAAAAAACAGAAAAAAAATTAGCCAGACATGGTGGTGCATGCCTGTGATCCCAGCTATTTGGGAGGCGGAGGTAGGAGGATCTCTTGAGCCTGGGTAGTTGAGGCTGCAGTGAGCTGTGATCATAACACTGCACTCCAGCCTGGGTGACAGAAAAAGATCCTGTTTCTAAAAAGTAAAAATAAAAAAAAAAACAACAAAGGGTGAAACAAGTTGGGAGACTATGCATATAATTCCACAGACCACATATCCCATTAACTCCTTTCCCCTCAATCCCAAATTCTAGGCCAACTGATAAAAGCACTTGAACTTTCCCATTTTAACTTGACTTCAGTGCCATTCAAAATTCTAAGAATGACCCCCAGTGACCTTTACCCTCGTATAACCCCCTTCCCTTGAGAGTGTGGGTAGAAACTGTGAATTGATAAGACATTGCTCCCATGATTACATTACATTCTATGGCAAAGGGGAGATTTATAATCATATGAGCCCTTTAAAAGCAGAGTTTCAGCTGGGCGCAGTGGCTCATGCCTGTAATCCCAGCACTTTGGGAGGTCGAGGCGGGTGGATCACGAGGTCAGGAGTTCGAGACCAGCCTGACCAACATGGTGAAACCCATCTCTACTAAAAATACCAAAATTAGCTGGGTGTGGTAAAGTGCGCCTGTAATCCCAGCCACTTAGGAGGCTGAGGCAGGAGAATCACTTCAATCTGGGAGGTGGAGTTTACAGTGAGCCAAGATTGTGCCTCTGCACTTCAGCCTGGGCGACAGAGCAAGACTCCGTCTCCAAAAAATAAATAAGTAAATAAATAAAAGCAGAGTTTCTCTGGCTGGCAGCAGAAGAAAAAGTCAGAGAGATCCAAAACACAAGGGGCTGGGTGCAGTGGCTCATGCCTGGAATTCCAGTACTGTGGGAGACCAAAGCAAAAGGACGGCTGAGGCCAGGAGCTTGAGACCAGCCTGGGCAACATGGCTAGACTCCATCTCTACAAAAAATTATAAAATTAGTGGGGCATGGTGGTTCACATCTGTAGTTCTAGCTACTTGGGAGGCTAAGGTAGGAGGATCACTTGAGCCCAGGAGTTCAAGGCTACAGTAAACTATGATCATGCCACAGCACTCCAGCCTGGGCAACAAGACCCTATCTCTTTAAAAAAGTAATAAATAAATAAATAAAAGAAAGAAAAGAAATACAGGGAGGATCTGATGAGCTGTTGCTGGCTTGAAGGTGGAGGTGAGTGTGTGATGAGAAATGCATGCAGCCTCTAGAAGCCTAGAGTGGCCCCCAGCTGACAGCCAGAAGGAAATGGGAACCACAATCCTATAACCACAACAAACTGAATTCTGACAACAACCTGAGTGTATTTGGAAGCAAATTCTTTTTTATTTTTTATTATTTTGGGGGTTTGGGGGGGGTGCATTCTCTGAAAACAAGAAAAGCTGCCAGTCAATTCTAAAAGAACTACAAACTAACACGTGGAAGCATATTCTTGCCCAGCACCTCCAAGTCAGAGCTCCACCTGGTCAACACCCTGACCTCCTGTCTGAGCACAGAACCTGCATAGACTTAAGATCTACACAACTGTGAGCTACTAAATGGATGTTTTAAGCCATCGGGATTGTAGTACAGTAATTTGTTATACAGCAATAAAAAACTAATTACAAACCATTCTCATTTTAAAACCAGAAAAGCAGACAACATAAAAAGCCATTTTCATGAATTCAAATTTAGCTTTTTACTCACCTTCTGAATCTAAACACCTTTCAAACTTCAAGGATAATTGATAGGTGTCATAACATCGAACCCGAGGTTTATATGTTCCTACAAAAAATTAATGTGATGTAAAACCTAAAGACATACTTTCATAGTCAAAACATCCAGATACATTGAGTGTACTTCTTGTTCAGAGACAGGCAGGATTAATTGTAACCAAATCAAAAGAAAGGAATGTAAAAGCAGCCCCTCTCAAACACCCCAAGGAAAAACTGAGCAAAAGCTAAACAAGCAAGTCATAGAAAACCAAACAAAATAACTAAGAAACCTACAAGTAATCTAACAAAATACATGCAAACAATGAAACAGTTTTGTCCACCAGAATGGCAAAGATTAAAAAACGGTTAATATCTGTGTTGGTGAAAGTATAAAATATTCCCCTATACTGTTGTTGATTAGTATACAATTGATACAACTTCTTTGAAGGACAATCCCTAAAAACACACGATGTTTCCATACTTTCAATCTATATTTCAACTTACATAAATTGAACTCACAGAAATATATCCACAAGCCTGCCAAAGATATTAAGAATGTTCACTGCAGCATTATTTATAAATGGTCAGCAACTGAAAGCAATAAAATGTCCACTGACAGGAAAATAGTTGAATAAATGACAATAAATCCACACAAGGGAATATTACATAGCCCATAAAGTGGATGAGGCAGACCTCAGTAGTAACCATTGACATGGAAAGCTGCCAAAACGTACTATAAAGTAAAAGTACAGGGGGAGCACAGGTGAGTGCTGGAGAATGATCCATATAATACGATCCCAATTTTGTACAATGAAATGGTAACTTTGGCACTTTGTCTTTTTTTTTTTTTTTTTGAGACAGAGTCTCATTCTGTCATTTAGACTGGGGTGCAATGGCGTGATCTCGGCTCACTGCAACCTCCGCCTCCCAGGTTCAAGCTATTCTCCTGCCTCAGCCCCCTGAGTAGCTGGGATTACAGGTGCAGGCCATGATGCCCAGCTAATTTTTGTATTTTTAGTAGAGACGGGGTATCACCATGTTGGTCAGGCTGGTCTCGAACTCCTGACCTCAGGTGATCCACCCACCTTGGCCTCCCAAAGTGCTGGGATTACAGACATGAGCCATCGAGGCCGGCCTCTTTTTTTTTTTTTCTTTGAAATGGGGTCTTGCTCTGTCGCCCAGGCTGGAGTGCAGAGGAGTAATCTCAGCTCACTGCAACCTCTGCTGCCTGGATTCAAGTGATTCTCCTGCCTCAGCCTCCCAAGTAGCTGGGATTACAGGTGCCTGCCGCCACATCTGGCTAATTTTTGTATTTTTAGTAGAGATGGGGTTTCACCATGTTGGCCAGGCTGGTCTTGAACTCCTGAGTTCAGGTGATCTGCCTGTCTCCGCCTGCCTAAGTGCTGGGATTACAGGAGTTAGCCACCATGCCTGGCCTAACTTTGGCACTTTGTAAGGCAAAAGTTGGAGGAACTAACTTCACAATGATAGTCTATCTCCGTGAAGTGCAATTTCGGAGACTTTCATATTTTATGTTATGTATTTCCAACAAAGACATCTTAAAAATAAAAGAATGAGGTAGTCCTTTGTTTTCTGGCATAGATCAAAACCCAAGATTTCGTTTAAAGAAAAAAAAAAGGTTATTTTGTGGGGTTTTCTTTGGTGTTTTTTTTTTTTTTCCTTTTTTGAAATGGGGTCTCACTCTGTCAACCAGGCTGGAGCACAGAGGTGCAATCACAGCTCAATGCAACCTCAACCGCCCTGGGCTCCAGTGATCCTCCCACCTCAGCTTCCCAAGTAGTGGGGACCAAGAGGCGCCTGCCATCACGACTGTGTAATTTTTGTATTTTTTGTAAAGATGGGGTTTCACCACGTTGCCCAGGCTGGTCTCAAACTCCTGGGCTCAAGTGATCCACCCACCTCAGCCTCCCAAAGTGCTGGAATTACAGGCGTGAGCCACCGCACCCAGCTTAAAAAAGAGAAGTTTAAAACCAGTAAATATGAGCCCACTGTCGTATGGCAATAATTTTAATACATTTGTGTGTGTGTGTGTGTGTGTGTGTGTGTGTGTATACACATATATATGCGTGTGTATATATGTGTGTGTACATATATATCCATATAGACAGATACATATATATACACACATAATTTTATGTGCACACACACACACACACACATAATTTGAAAGGCTATACATAAAACTTTTAATATAGCCAGGACCTTTATTCCACTGTCGTTTGTTTTTGGGGCTTTAATTTTTTTTAGAGACAGGGTCTCGCTGTTGCCCAGGTTGGAGCACAGTGGTGCAATCATAGCTCACTGTAACCTCAAACTGCTAGGCTCAGGCAATCCTCCTGCCTCTGCCTCGTGAGTAGCTGACACTACAGGTGCACACCACCACTTTCAGCTAATTTTTTTTTTATTTTTTGTAGGGACAGGATCTTGCTGTGTTGCTCAAGCTGGTCTTGAACTCCTGGCCTCAATTAATCCTCCTGCCTCAGCCTCCCAAAGTGCAGGGATTATAGGCATGAGCTACTGTGTACCCTGCTGTTTTTTATTGCTATGTTCTTTGAAAGGCTTACAAGTATTACTTTGGCCACTAGGGGAAAAAAGTGGTAAAAAAAAAAAAAAACACTAATAAAAGTAGAGCCTCTATTTCTTATCTTTCATCCCCAAGTAACAGAAAAAATTAACACAACCACTAAGGATAGGTTTGAATCTGGCATGATCATAAACCCAATGCTTCCAAAAGGAATCAAGAGGCCAGTCACTTCCGTAACAAATCAATACTTTGCACATCCCCTGAGTTCATTCCCTTAGATAATCTATTTCCCCAACCAGAATGAAAGGTCTTCAGGGCCAATCTTACTCAACTTTTTAGCCACAAGGCCTAGAACACCAAAGGGAATCTGAGAAAGAAGTAGGGATAGATACCGAGATTGAAAGAAAAACCTCTACCAAATTAAATGGAGAAGCAAGTGACATTCCAACTCCATTTCCCCTACCAATACCAGAAAAAGGCCTCTAGGAAAGTCAAACCAGGACTCTGGACTCTACAATTGTGCTGTCCAATATGGCAGCCACTAGTAATGTGAGGCTAAGTTAAAATGAATTAAAATCAAATTAAATTTAAGATTCCAGCTGGGTGCCGTGGCTCATGCTTATAATCCCAGCACTTTGAGAGACAGGCGGACAACTGCTTGAGTCCAGGAGTTTGAGACCAATGTGGGCAAAATACTGAGACCCCATCTCCATTTAAAAAATATTTTTTTTGGCCGGGTGCGGTGGCTTACATCTGTAATCCCAGCACTTTGGGAAGCTGAGGTGGGCGGATCACCTGAGTTTGGGAGTTCAAGACCAGCCTGACCAACATGAAGAAACCCCATCTCTACTAAAAATACAAAATTAGCCGGGCGTGGTGGTGCATGCCTGTAATCCCAGCTACTCAGGAGGCTGTGGCAGGAGAATCACTTGAACCCAGGAGGCAGAGGTTGCGGTAAGCCAAGATGGCACCACTGCATTCCAACCTGGGCAACAAGAGTGAAACTCTGCCTCAAAAAAAAAAAAAAAAAATTTCATTAGCAAGGCATAGTGGCGAGCACCTATATTTCTAGCCACTCAGGAAGCTGAGGAAGGAGGATGGCTTGAGCCCATAAGTTCAAGGTTACAATGAGTGAAACCCTGTCTCAAAAAAAATAAAAATAAAAAAATTCAGTTCCTCAGTCTCACTACCATGTTTCACATTCTTTCTTCCTTTCTTTCCTTTTTCTTTCTTTCCTTTTTCTTTCCTCTCTCCTTCCTCTCTTTCTCTCTCTTTCTCTCTCTTTCTTTCTTTCTTTGAGACAGAGTCTCGCTCTGTTGCCCAGGGTGGAGCGCAGTGGCGCGATCCTGGCTTACTGCAACCTCCGCCACATGGGTTCAAGCGATTCTCATGCCTCAGCCTCCAAGTAGCTGGAATTACAGGTCCACGCCACCATGCCCAGCTAATTTATTTTTTATAGGGACAGGATTTCACCATGTTGGGCAGGCTGGTCTCGAACTCCTGGCCTCATGCAATCTGACTGCCTCAGCCTCCCAAAGTGCTGGGACTACAGGTGTGAGCCACCCCGCCCAGCCCACATATTATTTATTAAATATTTTTAAGATAAAATAAAACCGAGGCATTCTGAATAAGAAGGAAAGCCATTAGGCCAGGCGCAGTGGCTCACACCTATAATCCCAGCACTTTGGAAGGGCGAGTTGGGCGGATCACTTGAGGCAAGGAGTTCGAGACCAGCCTGGCCAACATGGTGAAACCCTGTCTCTACTAAAAAAATACAGACATTAGCCGGGTGTGGTGGCGAGCACCTGTAGTCCCAGCTACTCAGGAGACTGACACAGGAGAATCGCTTGAACCCGGAAGGCGGAGGTTGCAGTCAGCCAAAATCATGCCACTGCACTCCAGACTGGGTGACAGAGTGAGACTCTTAAAAAAGAAGGAGAAGAAGGAGAAGAAGGAGAAGAGGGAGAAGAGGGAGAAGAGGGAGAGGGAGAAGAGGGAGAGGGAGAAGAGGGAGAGGGAGAAGAGGGAGAGGGAGAAGAGGGAGAGGGAGAGGGAGGAGAAGGAGAAAAGGAACCATTAATTTTGCATGGGAATAGAGGACGATTTCATAAAAGAAAGTGTCATTTAACAAATCTATATCCTAGCTTTCTTAAGTACTAGATCTGTGAGCCTAGACAAGTCACTTAATATCTCTGGATCTATAAAATGAAGAAAATTTGAGTTTCTTCTAGTCTTCAGTAAGGGTGTCCATGTATCTTAGATTTCCTCAATTCTTTTTACCAGTTTCTGAACATAAAACTGAAGGCTAAGAGATGTAGATAGTGTTAGTTAGTACTGAGATAATCATTAACACAAAGCAAAAGAGACTGGCCTGTGTATGTATAAAAGGTATTACCAAAAAGAAAGTGGTTGGAAAAGGAATACTGTTATCAGCAAAAAATGTTTGGACAATATACAGGACTTACGCGCCAAAATCACAACCACTAAAGGTTGGGTGATACTGTTCAACACTCCAACACACTAAAAGTTTTCTACATTTCATGATTTTTTGATAACGATAAATACTGTTAATGTAAAATCTTAGAGATATTTTTAAAAATTAGTACATTATACAGAAAATCATGTTATAAGTGACCTTTCCTAAAACTCTCATTCATTGTTAGTAGGAGTGCAAATGATATGATCACTTTGGGGAACGACTTAGAAGTTTCCCAGAACACTAAACATACACCTACCTAGGACTCAAAAATTCCACTCCTAGGTATTCACCAAAGACATGAAAGCTTATACCCACAAAACAGACTTCTATACGATTGTTCATAGTGCTTTATTAGTAACAGCCAAAAACCTGAATGAAAACAGCCTAGCTGTTCATCACATGGAGAATGGGTAAATAAACTGTGGCTTAGTCATAGAATGAAATATCTTTTGGTAATAAAAAAAAAAAAGAAGCTATTGACACATATAACAACATGTATGAACCTCAAATACAAAATCCTACATGAAATAAGTCTCACAGAGAAAGAATATACAGTGTATGACTACATTTATATTAAGTTCTGAAACAGGCTAAACTTGTCTATATTGAAAAAAAATCAGCAATGGTTGTCTCTGCATGGGTGGGAGAAATTTTCTGCAGGAAAAAAATGTTCTGTATCTTGATAGAGCTTTGAGTTACACAAGCGTGTGCATTTGTCAAAACTAACCAAATGGTAAACTTAGGATCTGTGCATTTCACCAATATAAATGTTTTTACCTTGAAAAAGGCTATAAGTAAATACTGATAAATATTGAACTCCAGCTAATGATATACTTGCTGAAGTGTTTCAGGGTGAAGTATACTGGTATCTTCAACTTACACTGAAATGCATCAAAGAAACAAGATGGACTGATACATGAACAAAGAGACAGATGCATGGGATAAATCAAATACTGCAGAGTAAACTATTTATTGCAGAATTTAGGTAGTAGTTAAATGGGTGTTTACTATACAATTTTTTCAATATTTCTGTGTGTTTGAAATTTTTTATAATAAAATATTAGGGTTAAAAAAAAAAAGACCTTTCCCATCGCAGCATTTCCTGGTACAAAATGCATGAAAATCATAACCAAAAAGATGCTTACCAGTTGCTAAAATGTACTGTCCATCTTTTGACACCTTAATAGTGGTACACACAGTAGGCATTTCAAAGTCCTGAATAAGTTCAATTCTCCTACGGACATCTAAAAAGAGAGAAAAAAACAACTAGTTTAACTAACATGTGCTTATTCTCTATCATAAGAAGACAAATGGGTACCAAGCAGTCACCACAACTATAAACAGGTGAAATTCATCCCAAATGCTTCCTGGCCTTGGGAAAGGTCACCAGCACAGCCCAACCATTAAACAGCAGAGGTTTTTTCCTTAGCTCATACGTTGTTTTTCTAAGCTAAGTATTTCATTTTTACTTTTCAAGAATAAAAAAAGTAGCATCATTAATTGAAAAAAAATTTTCCACAACAGTGTATCAAACATCCAGTGTTACAGGAGGAAGAGCATAAACATTAAACCACTTTTTTTTTTTTTTTTTTGAGACAGGGTCTCACTCTGTCACCCAGACTGGAGTGCAGTGGCACAATCATGGCTCACTGCAGCCTCAACCTCCCGGGCTGAAGCGATCCTCACACCTCAGCCCCCCCAAATAGCTAGGACTACAGGCGCATGCCACTGCACCCAGGTATTTTTGTATTTTTTGTAGAGATGGGGTTTCGCCACGTTGCCCAGGCTGGTCTCAAACTTCTAGGGCCAAGCAATCCTCACACTTCAGCCTCCCAAACTTCTGGGATTGCAGGAGTGAGCCACCGCACTGGGCCCCTAAACCACTATTACTACTCAATCATGGCAAAGACAAAAATCCAACTTTTTTTTCTCCTAAGTAACAGGTTTAAGCCCCCAAACTCTCCAAACTCTTTTTTTTTGAGACAAGTCTCACCTGTTGTCCAAGCTGGAGTGCAGTGGCACAATCCTGGCTCACAGCAACCTCCACCTCCCAGGTTCAAGCAATTCTCCTGCCTCAGCTTCCCAAGTAGCTGGGGCTACAGGCACGCACCACCATGCCTGGCTAATTTTTGTATTTTTAGTAGAGACGGGGTTTCACTACGTTGGCCAGGCTGGTCTTGAACTCCTGACCTCATGATCTGCCCGCCTGGGCCTTCCAAAGTGCTGGGATTACAGGCATAAGCCACTGTGCCTGACCCAACCTCTTAAGTTTATATAAGAAACTGCTACGAAGCTGACTTATACCTCTTTTGGAACCAATTATCTGCAGACAAGAGGAAACCCCTTTGATACCTTAGGTTTTTAAAGAGTAAGTTAAACAAAATATATGGGAAAATAAATTTTCTTTCATATGTGACAAGCTATAATGAAGAAAATATAATGAAAACTTGTGCACCAAAATTATTTAAGTTAGAAATTTTTCTTACAATTTCTTGCTGCCGTAAATTTAAAAGAACCAACATCTTCTGCAATCACCTTTAACTGTTCAGATTCATAAACCCTACATGTAAAATTCCTTTCTTCAAGAAATGCTCATTGTCTCTGTATCTCAAACACTGATAAATGGATTTAATTTACACGATAAGATTTTGATACACAAGAGAGCAAAGCAATTAGGGACCTGTTAGGAGAGACAGTCCTCCTTGGACCTGCATGCTTACTGGGTATGGCGAGATTGCAAGACCCCAGCCACTCTTACCTGAGCCATTTCTCAGGGTTGTTTACACTGCTGAGAACCTTGATAGACAGGTAACCTGTCCCTTCTGGACAAAACACAGGTTTGCTTACTGCTTGCCAGAAAAGCAGTGGACTTCCCAAGCTGTGTTGCTCGGCCACAACGCAAATCCACTGTGTGCCAAGCATCCACCTGGACTGTGCTAAGTGTCCCCAGGAGACCCAAGAGGGGAACTGGCACAAATATGCTGATGTTCATGCTATCTACTGTGCTGTGAGTAATAACATCTGCATTTCTAGCCCAGGAGTCTTGCGTCTACTATTGTTATCCATGAAACGGTAACAGGCTAACTTATTAGTTAATAAGGTAAAATCAAATCCCATACCCACCAGGAACATACCAACCACAACAAAAAGTTTCTTAAGAAGGAGAAAGGCGGCCGGACGCGGTGGCTCACACCTGTAATCCCAGCACTTTGGGAGGCCAAGGCAGGTGGATCACCTGAGGTCGCAAGTTCGAGACCAGCCTGACCAACATGGAGAAACCCCATCTCTACTAAAAATACAAAAAAAATTAGCCGGGCGTGGTGGCTTGTAATCCCAGCTACTCAGGAGGCTGAGGCAGGAGAACTGCTTGAATCCAGGAGGTGGAGGTTGCAGTGAGCCGAGGTCACACCATTGCACTCCAGCCTGGGCAATAAGAGTGAAACTCCATCTCAAAAAAAAAAAAAAAGGAGAAGAGCTGCGTACAGTGGCTCATGCCTGTAATCCCAAAACTTTGGGAGGCCAAGGTGGGAGGTCTGCTCAAGCCCAGGAGTTAGAGACCAGTCTGGGCAACACAGTGAGACCCCATGTCAAAGGAAAAAAAAGAAAAGGGACAAGAGCATTCATTTTCCACTACATGTTACCGCATTCTTATAAATCCTCACTTATATATAACAGCAAATGAGTAAAAGCATTAGAACATGGATCACTAACGCAGCTGAAGTGGGAAAAAACAATACTCACCTACATCTTTCTTCTGTAGCGCTCTCTTCTTCCTATCAGAAAGCCACTTAAAGAAAATGAAGAGAGTTTATTTTAAAACAAATTTAGCTAAATTGTTTTTCGGCTTGCAAAATCAATACATGCTTATATTTAAAAATTCAAACTTCATAGGAATATATAACATAGGAAGCAAAAAATATTCTCTAATCCTAACTCTACTCGTAACGTATTAAATATCTCCTGGATTTTTTTTCTTGTGTATACTTACATACATTAGATAATTTCTTTTATTTTTACTTTTTTAGAGACAGGGTCTCATGCTTGCCCAGTCTATAGTACAATGATGCGATGTGACTGTAGCTCACCGAAGGCTCAAACTCCTGGGCTCAAACAATCCTCTCACCTTTGCCTTCCAAAATGCTAGGTCTACTGACATGGGCCACCAGGCCCGGCCAGATAAGAAATTTTTTGAACTACAATCTTTTACATAGAGAAAAACTAACCCATCTAAGCAATCTAAAGGAAAGCAGAAAGCCTCAAATATTATGGGTTATAACTAAATATATGGAACAATTTAATCTATTTAAGTGAGAATTTAAAAAGTAAAACATTTATAGGAGAATGTTTCTTATAGAAATATATTTTTTACAAGGAATAAAACCAGATAAATAACTGACCAAATAGCTGATACTTGGCCAGGCATGGTGGCTCACGCCTATAATCCCAGCATTTTGGGAGGCCGATTGAGACCAGCCTGGCCAACATGGTGAAACCCCGTCTCTACCAAAATACAAAAAATTAGCTAGGTGTGGTGGTGGGCACCTGTAATCCCAGCTACTCGGGAGGCTGAGGAAGGGGAATCACTTGAACCCGGGAGGCGGAGGTTGCAGGGAGCTGAGATCTTCCCACTACACTCCGGCCTGGTGACTGAGAGAGACTCCGTCCCCCCCCCCCCCCCCCCCGCCAAAAAAAAAGAAAAAAACAGGCTTAACCACTAGAAAACTAACGAAAATAAATTTAACGGCATTAAAAATACAACAAAAGCTGATTAACTCCAGAATGGGAGACTGTAGGTCAAATTGTGTGAATAAAAATCGTAGCCCCAAGTCAAAAGTGTGATGGAGCTGAAAATGAAAATTAACTTTATTCATCAATACATTAAACAAATATTTATTTAGTACTACTAAATGCCAGTAATTAGGTATAGCAGTAGTAAATAAAACAGGAGGGAAAAAAAAGCCCTCTTGGCCAAGTGCAGTGGTTCATATCTATAATCCCAGCACTGAGGCAAGGGGATCACTTGAGCCCAGGAGTTCGAGACCAGCCTGGCAATAAAGTGGGATCACTGTCTCTACAAAAAAAAAAAAGCAGCTGGGCATGTTGGTACACACCTGTAGTCCCAGCTACTCAGTAGGCTGAGGTGCAAGAATCATTGAGCCCAGAGAAGTCAAGGCTGAGGTGAGCCATGATTGTGCCACTGCACTCCAGCCTGGGCAACAGAGTAAACCTGTTTCAAAAAAAAAAAAAATTTAAAAATCTAAAAACCCCTCCTTTCATGAAGCTTTCTTTCAAGTGAGGGAACACCAACAAATAAGGAAGTAAAACAATTAGAATGTCAGATGGTTATGTATGCCATGGAAAAAATAAAGCAAGAAAAGGAGACGAAGTGTTGGTGGAGAATTATAATTTTGAATAAGGTTAAGGTCCTCTTGAGCAACGACCTGAAAGGCATGAGGAGGCAAAGCCTGGAGAACATCTGGGAAAAAAGCAGGCAGGCAGGACCTGTGCCAAGGTCCTACGGCAGGAGTGTGCCTGGTCTCGAGCAGTGAGACTTGTGAGGCCAGTGTAAGGTGGAGAACAGTGACCGCTGAGCTCAGAGAGGAGGGCAGGAAGGCACAACATCAAGTAGGACCTTAAAAGTCACTCAAAGGACTCTGCTTTTCACCCCCAAGAGAGCAGGAGCCACTGGACAGTTCTGAGTAGAGGATCACCCTGGCAGCTTACTGATAACAGACTGTGGAATAAAGGGGTAGAGGGTGGAAACTGAGAAACTGCTTAGAAGTCAACTGCAATAACTGCAATTGCATAGTCAGGGGTGACAGTGTCTTGAATCAGTGACAGTAATGGAGGTGACTGGATTCTGGATCTATACTGAAGATAGAAGCAACAGCATTTTCTAGTGGATTGTATGAGAGCAAAGAAACAACAACAAAAAGCCTCCAGTGTTTTTGGCATCAACAGCTTGCGGGATGGAGTTGCCACTGGCTGAGGGAGGGAAGACCACTAGGTTGCAGGAGGGGGAAATGTGGGGGGAAAGCTGGTGTTCTACTTTGGACAAGTTAAGTTTGAGATGCCTATCAGACATCCAAGCGGGGATGTCAAGAAACAGTTGGATACACAAGTCCAGTTCAGAGTAGAGGTAAGGGCTAGAAACATCAATGTGATAGTTATCGATATGCAGATGTGCTTAAAGCCAGGAGACTGCCTAGGATCACCAGGGGAGTAAACGTAGAGGCTTCTCTACATTAATAAAAAGGTAAAGCCCAGAAGGAGAGAAGCAATATTTGCACAGATCAGACAACAACTGGGGTTCCACGTGTAGTTTAGGCACCACACCTCAAAGAAATAACCAGAAAATATTAAACAGGACAAGCAGGGGTTTCCAAATCCACTCAGCTCAAGCTACCCTCCCCACCACTCCACTGGAGCTCCTTGCCAAGGTCAAGGGCGCTCTGCATCATGCCAAAGTCGATGGTCATTTTTCTGCCTTCATCTTACTGAAGCTCTCAGTAGCAGCTGACACAGGTGACCACCACCTCCTCCTTGAAACACTTACTTCTACAAAACTACACATTTCCCAGTCTCCCCTTCCATCAGTGCCCACTACTCTTTCTTCTTTGCTGGGTTCCCCTCCTCTTCTTGGATGACAAATGCTAAGACTGCCTCAGGTCCTCAGCCTAGTTATCTTCTCTGTTCTTTCTCTCACAATTTGATCTCACCTAGTCCCAAATAACGACAGTAAATTCACCTGCAATCTCCATCCTAGTATCCATGCAACTGCTAACTACTCAACATCTCCATTTGGTATGTATTAGAACTTCAAATGTTCACTATTGAAAATAAAAACCTTGGGCCGGGTGCAGTGGCTCATGCCTGTAATCCCAGCACTTTGGGAGGCCGAGGTGGGTGGATCACAAGATCAGATCGAGACCATACCGGCCAACATAGTGAAACTCCGTCTCTACTAAAAATACAAAAATTAGCTGGTGTGGTGGCACGTGCCTGTAGTCCCAGCTACTGGGGAGGCTGAGGCAGGAGAATCGCTTGAACCCGAGAGGTTGCAGTGAGCCAACATCAGGCCATTGCACGCGACCTCAAAAAAAAATCTTGATTCTTTTTGCTCACTACGTTCCTCCTCTCCACCTTTCAATGTGTTCCTTCTTGATTCTTCTCCATGTCAGTTAGCAGCACCACCGTGCACCCACTTGTTCAGACTCAAAACTGAAGAGTTCTCTGATTCCTTCCTTTTTGTCACCTCAACTTCCCTCTACCAACAGTCCAATCCATTAGCAAGTTCCATTACCCTATCTACAAAGTATGTCCTGAATCTCACTGTGTTTTAGCATCTTCTTTGTTACCAGGCAAGCCCAAGCCACCGAAGTCGCTCACCTGGACTACCTAATTCATCCCGACTTGAACCCTCCCCAGCTAGACATTTGTCGCACAGCAGCCCACACAACAGTGACTTCCAGCAGCACTAAGAATAAAACTTGAACTTCCTACCTTTCCTACCAGGCCTACCTCTCCAGCCTCATCCACCCTGCTCTCGCCCCCTCACTCAGCATAGTGCAATCACACCTGTGCCTCTTCCGTCCTCCTACATGTCCAGTGCATTCCCATGTGGGGCTTTTGCACTTTCTGTTCTCAGCACTGAAAACTCTTCCCCACATCTTCACACGACTGGCTCCTCTTCATCATCCAAGTTTCTGCTCATATGTCACCTCTTGTAGAGAGGCCTTCCCCGAAGGTTTTATCCAAAACACTTTCTCTCAATATTTTATCCAAAACAGCTCTCTTCTAATCATTCACCACGAAAAGTACTTTTTGACTACCTTAAATTGCCTTATTTGCTCACTTGTTTATTTCCCTTTTCCCCAACAGGGAACCTTATCTGAAATGTCCACTATAGATCCCAATACTTAAAACAGAGTTGCTTGCACACAGTAACTTCTCAATACATGTGGAGAATGAATGAACAAAATGAGAAAGCTCATGGGGTGTGAAGAACAACTGGAAGACAGGGAATTATTCAAACCAGAATTTTAGGAAGAAAGGAAAAACCTAAGCACTGGCTCCAAATTTTTGTAGAAGCAGACGCATGGAAGGAGAGCTATATTTATTCTGTTTTCCAAGGGCAGGACTCAGGCCAACAGTGGCATGCTATAAGGTGACATATTTGAAAACCACTTTCTAACAAGTGCAGAGTCTCAAAATGGAAATGAGCTTCCACAAAAGGTAGTGCTCAGTGGTAGTGCTTGGACAGAGGCTGGATCATCACGTATAAGAAACAAAAGACAAGTTTCAGAGCCTAAGTGTGTCATGCTGGACAAGTCACCCTTCCCCTTGCTGGATCTCAGCTGCATATTAAACGCATTATTAAATCTCAGCTGCATTACTAAACACGAGAAGATTGGAAGAGAATTACCGACTTGTCCAAGCCCTCTCCAACTTTAAGACTAGGAATCAGGTTAAGTTCAACAAGTCTCGAAAATACTGTCCTCTACACCATAAATTCTGCAGATGCGAAGTCTGTATCTCCCTTGTTCACTGTTGTATCCCTAAGACCTGGCAAATGATAGGGACTCCACAAACAGCTGATGGCCATATGGGGGAGAGATGTGTCAACGAATCTGCCACGTTTTCCTCCTCGATGTACGGCAGGGACTGTGAACACCCAAAGAGGCCCAAATGGTTGCGTTCTCTGGAACAGAGAACTTTACAAAAGTTCCAGCAAAGCTCACTGACCCTGATTATCCCTTGGTCCAGTTTCTGGCGCGGTGACGGCAGTGTCCTTGTCTCCCAATGCCGACACCTCCCCCGGAAATTGTCAGCCGCCTCTGGGCCTCCCCGAGTCGGGGGGTGACCAGCGTCCAGCTAAAACAGAGGCTAGGGCCGAGGAGAGGGGCGGCTGCCCCACGAGGAGGACGACCCCCAAGAGCTCGAGAGTGAGGGGGCCGGGAAGTGACTCACCTCAGGAAGGGACTTGCCGCAGCTGAGGCTGTAAATCTTCACCTCATTGAGGCTGGAGACCTGCATGGCGCCGCACAACACTGTTCAAGTCCCGGGTCCTTTCCCACCAGCGTGCTCGAGCACCGTAATCCCGGGACCTCCGAGCCCCTGCTCCGCGGCGTGCGGCCGCTGGCGCCGACTGATGACGCACTTCCTGGAGCCGGAACACGCGGGCAAGTTCCCGGAAGAGGGAAGGTGGCTGAATCCGGGAAGAGCGGCGGCCGGGAGAAAAACTAGTGAGGCTCTGACAACCCGGCGTGGCTGTCGGCGACGCTGCTACGGGCAAGACTAGACACAAGCCGGGCGCGGTGGCTCACGCCTGTAATCCCAGCACTTTGGGAGGCTGAGGCGGGCGGATCACCTGAGGTCGGGAGTTCGAGACCAGCCTGACCAATATGGTGAAACCCCGTCTCTACTAAAAATACAAAAAAATTAGCCTTGCGTGGTGGCCGGCATCTGTAGTCCCAGCTACACGGGAGGTTGAGGCAGGAGAATTGCTTGAACCTGGGAGGCGGAGGTTGCAGTGAGCTGAGATCGCGCCGCTGCACTCCAGCCTGGGGGACAGAGCGAGATTCCCTCTCAAAAAAAAAAAAAAAAAAAAAAAAACTAGACACAGCTCTCCCTGCTGTTAGCATCCCGAGCGGCAGGAGGAGGCTTTCGAGTCTCTGCCCAGGCCGAGATGTCATCCTCCCGGGCGGGGGCGAGGCAGTTCAGCGAGTGAACCCAGCGAATGAAGGCGACCAGGGTGCGAATTCCGAGTGGAAGTGTATTCTCTTCTCTCCTCCAGTGTTTCTGCGATGTTACGTTAGAAGTACTGTAGGCCGGGTGCGGTGGCTCACGCCTGTAATCCTAACACTTTGGGAGGCCGAGGCGGGCGGATCACCTGAGGTCAGGAGTTCAAGACCAGCCTAGCCAAGATGGTGAAACCCCGTCTCTACTAAAAATACAAAAATCAGTCGGGCCTGGTGGCGCGCGCCTGTAATCTCAGCTACTCTGAAGGCTGAGGTGGGGGAATCGCCTGAACCCGGGAGGCAGAGGTTGCCGTCAGCTGAGATCGTGCCACTGCAGTCCAGCCTGGGCAACAGAGTGAGACTCCGTCTCAAAAAAAAAAAAAAAAAAAAAAGAAGACTGTGGCGTCATCTTCAACCCATTCCTATCTCTGGCCCTCACTTTCAGTATCTAAACCTGGATATTTCTAATTATGAAATATTTCCTTAAAGTAATCTGTTTTCATTCCTCCTGCTGAAACTCAAATACTTAACTATTTTTGGATTATAACTTTCCCAAGTGATCTTCTTACTTCCTTTGATTTAATGAACAAATTATTTTATGCCTTACTTTCTAAAACCCAAATATTATTGTTTTGCTCTCCTACCCACAACATTTTGGAAACTCTCAAATACCAACACCACATTGCATCAGAATTAGGTTGAGAGTTCTTCGTGGACCCTATATCATTTGTCCTTATATTCCCTATCCACCCCATCCACCCCTACCCAGAGTACCAGAACAGTGCCTGGCCTCTATTAGGCATTGCTACATATTTACATTTAGCCATGTACGTAGGGATATATTCCTTAACTCTGTCCTCAAATTTAAGATCCTCCACAAATTTTTAATTTTCTACACTGGTTACAGTTAAGAAAAACTGTAAACATCTTTGGGAAAGGTGGCATAATAGAATGGTTAGATCACAGACTCTGGCTTGGCTTGGTGGTGCAGGCCTATTGTCCTAGCTACTAGTGAAGCCGAAGCAGGAGAATCACTTGAGCCCAGGAGTTCTTGGCTGTAGCACGCAACGAGCGTTGGGTGTCCTCAGTTTGGCATCAATATGGTGACCCCACAAGAGCCAGGGACCACCATGTTACCTAAGGAGGTGTGAAGCGGCTCAGGTCAGAAATGGAGCAAGTCAAAACTCCCATGCTCACCAGTAATGGGATCATGCCTGTGACTAACACTGTACTCCAGCTTGGGCAACACAGCAAGACCCTATCTCTTGAAAAATAAATAAAGATCACAGACTCTGAAGCCAGACTGGCAAGATTCAAATCCCGACTGCCATTTTTAACTGAAAGACCTTAGGTAAGTTACCTAACCTCTCTGTACCTGTGTAAAATGGAGATAACAGTAGTATCCACTTCACAGAGTTATGAGGATGAAATACATTCATATTTATAAAACGTTTGGAACCCAGTACTTGGCACATAGTAAGACCATGTAAGTGTTTGTAAAATAAAACTGAAAATAAAGCCATATACCAAATAAGTGGAAATGTATCCAAATTCCATTAACATTTCCTTTTTAACAGTTTTATTGAGATATAATTAACATACTGTAAAATGTCCCCATTGAATGTACAATGTAATGACTTCTAGTGTATTCAGAGTTCTGCAACCATCACCACAATCATTTTTAGAACAAAAAGAAACCCCAGCCTCAATTAGCATTCACTCCATGCCCCATCCCCCACCCAAGCCCTAGACAACCACTAATCTACTTTCTGTTGGCGTTGTGGGTTTTTTCCATGGGGGCATCTCACTTTGTTGTCCAGGTTGGAATACAGTGGCATGATCATGACCCACTGCAGCCTCAAACTCGAGCTCAAGCTGTCCTTCCACCTTATCCTCCTGAGTAGCTGGGAGTACAGGCACACCACCAGAGCTGGCTGTTTTGTTTTTATAGAGATGGGTCTACCAGTTAAGCATCCCTAATCCAAACATTTCAAGTCCGAAATGCTCCAGTGAGCATTTCCTTTTGAGCATCACATTGACATTCAGAAAGTTTCAGATTTTGGAGCATTTTAGATTTTGGATTTTCAGATTAGGGATACTCAACCTGTATTTTGTAAGGGCACCAATCCCATTCATGAGAGCTCTGCCCTTAAGACCTAATCATGGGCTGAGCACGGTGGCTCACGCCTGTAATCCCAGCACTTTGGGAGGCCAAGGCAGGCAGATCACGAGGTCGGGAGTTCAAGACCAGCCTGGTGAACATAGTGAAACCCCTGTCTCTACTAAAAATGCAAAAATTAGCCGGGCATGGTGGCACGCACCTGTAGTCCCAGCTACTCAGGAGGCTGAGGCAGGAGAATTGCTTGAACCCGGGAGGCAGAGGTTGTGGTGAGCAGAGATGGCGCCACTGCACTCCAGCCTGGGCAATAGACCGAGACTCCGTCTCAAAAACAAAAACAAACAAACAAAAAAAAACTAATCATGACCAGGCGCAGTAGCTCATACCTCTAATCCCAGCACTTTGGGAGGCTGAGGCGGGCAGATCACTTGAGGCCAGGAGTTCTAGACCAGCCTGGCCAACACAGCAAAACCCTGTTTGTACTAAAAATACAAAAATTAGCCAGGTGTGGTGGTTGGCACCTGTAGTTCCAGCTAATCTGGAGGCTGAGGCACAGGAATCGCTTAAACCCGGGAGGCGGAGGTTGCAGTGAGCCAAGATTGTGCCATTGCACTCCAGCCTGGGCAACAAGAGTGAAACTCCGTCTCAAAAAAAAAAAAAAGGCTGGGCATGGTGGCTCATGCCTATAATTCCAGCACATTGGGAAGCCGAGGAGGACAGATCATGAGGTCAAGAGATCGAGACCATCCTGGCCAACATGGTGAAACCCCATCTCTACTAAAAATACAAAAATTAGCTGGGCATGGTGGCACACACCTGTAGTCCCAGTTACTGAGGTGGCTGAGGCAGGAGAATCGCTTGAACCCAGGAGGTGGAGGTTGCAGTGAGCCAGGAGGTGGAGGTTGCAGTGAGCCAAGTTTGCGCCACTGTACTCCAGCCTGGCAAAAGAGCGAGACTCTGTCTCAAAAAACAAAAAAACAGAAAAGTGAGTTTACGCCATAAATCACTGATTTCAGGACATTCATTTTTTTTTAGCATCTCTGAAAGGATGAGTCTAGTGTATCGTGCATATCTTGAGGGAATGGTGCATCTTATAGGTAATGGTCTTTTAGAGTCAATAAAATAAAGTGCATATAAAGCACTTAGAACAGTGCCTTACACAGAACACTACATAAGTGCTAGTTATTAGAAAACCAAAACATTAAAAACTATTCCAGAAAAACTAGTTGTTACAGATTCCAACTAACCTTAAATGTTCTGCTGTTAGTTGCCATTCCAGAAACCTTCAAATAACATTCAAGCTTGCTCTCCTAAATTTTTTTTTTTTTCTGAGACAGTGTCTCACTCTGTTGCCCAGGCTGGAGTGCAGTGGCGGGATCTCAGCTCACTGCAACCTCTGCCTCCCGGGTTCAAGCGATTTTCCTGCCTCAGCCTCCTGAGTAGCTGGGATCACAGGCGCATGCCACCATGCCTGGCTAATTTTTTAGGCTAATTTTTGTATTTTTAGTAGAGACGGGGTTTCACCATGTTGGCCAGGCGGGTCTCGAACTCCTGACCTCAGGTGATCCTCCCACCTCAGCCTTCCGAAGTGCTGGGATTACAGGTGTGAGCCACCGCGCCTGGCTCCTCTCCTAATTCTTTACCTCCATGGCCAGTAGGTCTCCGAAGCATTTGGTTCCTTCTTTCCAATATCAGATTCCTTCTCTGTTCCTGCTGCCGCAGGAGTTCAGACCTCATTGTCTCCTACCTGGCCCACTGTAGTCCCTTTTCCTGTTCTCCCAGCCTCAAGTCTGCCTCCCATAAGAGACAAACTCATTCTCTCTAACAGGCAAATCTGATTATGGTGCACTCCTACAAAAACTCTTCAATCCTCCTAAAGCCAAAAAGAACACACCTGAAGGTCGAGTACAGTGGCTCATGCCTGTAATCCCAGCACTTTGGGAGGCTGAGGTGGGTGATCACTTGACCTTAGGAGTTTGTGACCTGCCTGGGCAACATGGTGAAACCTTGTCTCTACAAAAAATACAAAAAATTAGCCAGGTGTGGTGGCACATGCCTGTAGTCCCAGATACTTGGGAGGCTGAGGCAGGAGGATCACCTGAGCCTAGGGAGGTCAAGGCTGCAGTGAGCCATAATCGTACCACTGCACTCCAGCCTGGGTACCAGAGTGAGACCCTCTCTAGGAAAAAGAAAATACTACATTCGAACACCTTTGCAGGTTCTGGCCTTATAGGCACCTGGCCCCTCCTTCCTTTTCCAGCCAGTGCCGAAGCTGCTGCCTCTCTCCTGCATTCACTACCCTCTCCAAAAATCCTGGATTACTGACAGCCTGAAAAATACAAGGCCTCTCTCACCCTCTTCTTGCCTTTGCTCCTGCTCCTCTGGCTACTTTTAACACCCTCCTCTGCACAGTGCTGTGGTTTGAATGTCCCTCCAAATCTCACAGTGAAATTTAATCTCCAATGAGGCTGTATTGAGAGCTGGGGCCTAGAAGAAGTGATTGGATCATGAGGACTCTGCATTCATGGATAAATGGGTTAATGGATTCATAGGTTATCATGGGAGGGGAACTGGTGGCTTTATAAGAAAAGGAAGAGAGACCTGAGCCGGGACACTCAGCTCCTTCACCATGTGATGCCCTGCACCGCATCGGGACTGCAGAGTCCCCATCAGCAAGAAGGCCCTCTTCAGATATGGCGCCTCGACCCTGGGCTTCACAGCCTCTACAGCTGTAACAAATAAACTCTTTTCCTTTATAAATTACCCAGTTTCAGGTATTCTGTAGTAAACAACAGAGAATGGACTGAGACACCTGGGTAACTCTCCTGAATCTTTCTTCCCCTGCAAGAGGCCCTAGAGATCAAAGTTCTCATTGTGTATCATCTCACTGTTTTGTTTCTTAAACTAGGGCTTACAATTTTTTTTTTTTTTTTTTTTTTTTGAGATGGAGTCTCCCTCTGTCGCCCAGGCTGGAGTGCAGTGGTGAGATCTCGGCTCACTGCAACCTCCACCTCCCTGGTTCAAGCAATTCTCTGTCTCAGCCTCCTGAGTAGCCGGGATTACAGGCAGCCACTACCATGCCCAGCTTATTTTTGTAGTTTTAGTAGAGATGGGGTTTCACCATCTTGGCCAGGCTGGTCTTGAACTCCTGACCTTGTGATCCACCCACCGTGGACTCCCAAAGTGCTGGGATTACAGGCATGAGCCACCACACCTGGCTGTTTTTTTTTTTTTTTTTTTTTTGAAATGAAGTCTTGCTCTGTTGCCCAGAGCTGGAGTGCAATGGTGCCATCTCAGCTCGCTGCAACCTCTGCCTCCCAGGTTCAAGCGATTCTCCTGCTCAGCCTCCTGAGTAGCTGGCATAATAGGCGTGCACCACTACCTGGCTAATTTTTGTGTTTTTAGTAGAGACGGGGTTTCACCATGTTGGTCAGGCTGGTCTCAAACTCCCGATCTCAGGTGATCTGCCTGCTTCAGCCTCCCAAAGTACTGGGATCACAGGCATGAGCCACCGCACCCGGCCTACACTTGTATTCTATTTTTTTTTTTTTTTTTGAGATGGAGTTTCACTCTTGTTGCCCAGGCTGGAGTGCAGTGGCTCAATCTGGGCTCACCATAACCTCCACCTCCCGGGTTCAAGCGATTCTCCTGCCTCAGCCTCCCAAGTAACTGGGATTACAGGCATGCGCCGCCATGCCCAGCTAATTTTGTATTTTTAGTAGAGACGGCGGGGGGGGGGGGGGGTTTCTCCATGTTGGTCAGGCTGGTCTCGAACTCCCAACCTCAGGTGATCTGCCCGCCTCAGCCTCCCAAAGTGCTGGGATTACAGGCGTGAGCCACCATGCCCAGACTATACTTGTATTCTTAAAATAACTGGCGCCAGGCGCGGTGGCTCACACTAGTAATCCTAGCACTTTGGGAGGCCGAGGCGGGTGGATTGCCTGAGCTCAGGAGTTCGAGACCAACCTGGGCAACACAGTGAAACCCCGTCTCTACTAAAATACAAAAAATTAGTTGGGTGTGGCGGCGTGGGCCTGTAATCCCAGCTACTCAGGAGGCTGAGACAGGAGAATCACTTGAACCTGAGAGGCAGAGGTTTCAGTGAGCTGAGACCCCACCACTGCACCCTAGCTTGGGCAACAGAACGAGAGTCCATCTCAAAAAATAAAAAAAAAAATAAATACAATAACTGGCTGGGTGTGGTGGCTCATGCCTGTAATCCCAACACTTTGAAAGGCCGAGGTGGGAGGATCACTTGAGGTCAGGAGTTGGAAACCAGCCTGGCAACATGGCGAAAACCCATCTCTGCTAAAAATACAAAAATTAGCTGGATGTGGTGGCACGTGCCTGTAATCCCAGCTACTCGGGAGGCTGAGGCGGGAGATCGCTTGAGGCTGGGAGGTGGAGGTTGCAATGACCCAAGATCTCGAGTTCGTGCCACTGCACTCCAGCCTGGGTGACACAGTGAGACTTCTCGAAAAAGAAAATAATGAAAGAGAGATAATCTTTAGGTGTTTTTCTTCTATTAATACTTCAGTGATAATAAGCACACCCAATTCTCTGGTTGGCCATCTTCTAAGAAGCACTGCTGCTTGATTTCAGTGCCAAGTTTGCATTTAAGTTTACAGTTCACTGGTTCCATGTGCCACTACTATTTTTTCTTTCTTTCTTTCTTTCTTTCTTTTTTTTTTAAGACGGAGTCTTGCTCTTGTTGCCCAGGCTGGAGTGCAGTGGTGCAATCTCGGCTCACTGCAACCTCCATCTCCCGGGTTCAAGTGATTCTTCTGCCTCAGCCTCCTGAGTAGCTGGGACTATAGGCATGCACCACCACGTCCGGCTAATTTTTGTATTTTTAGTAGAGACGGGAGTTTCACCATATTGGCCAGGCTGGTCTAGAACTCCTGACCTTGTGATCTGCCCTCCTTGGCCTCCCAAAGTGCTGGAATTACAGGCGTGAGCCACCACGCCCGGCCTCCGGCTAATTTTTTGTACTTTTAGTAGAGACGGGACTTTCACCATATTGGCCAGGCTGGTCTAGAACTCCTGACCTTGTGATCTGCCCTCCTTGGCCTCCCAAAGTGCTGGAATTACAGGCGTGAGCCACCACACCCGGCCTCCGGCTAATTTTTTGTACTTTTAGTAGAGACGGGATTTCACCGTGTTAGCCAGGATGGTCTCGATCTCCTGACCTCGTGATCTGCCCGCCTCAGCCTCCTCAAGTGCTGGGATTACAGGCGTGAGCCACCGCGCCTGTCCCACTAGTTGTATTGTCTTGACCCAGTGATTAGGAGAGGCTCTGGGCCGGGCACAGTGGCGCACGCCTATAATCCCAGCACTTTGGGAGGCCGAGGCAAGCAGATCACTTGAGGCAAGGAGTTCGAGACCAGCCTGGCTAACATGGTGAAACCCGTCTCTACTAAAAATAGAAAAATTAGCTGGGCATGGTGGTAGGTGCCTGTAGTCCCAGCTACTCGGGAGGCTGAGATGGGAGAATCACTTGAACCCAGGAGGCAGAGGTTGCAGTGAGTTGAGATTGCACCACTGCACTCCAGCCTGGGTGACAGAGTGAGACTACCTCTCAAAAAAAGAGATGAGATGGGTCTGGTAGGAGGTAATAAGATACGGGCAAGTTTGAGCCCAGTGAAAGTCAATGACGTCATGGCTCACTGTGGGAAAAAGGGTTTTGCAATTGACCAAATTGAAGTCAGGGGCAGGAAGAATTAAACCATCCCAGGGAACGTGATAGCACAGGGGTAGAAGCAAGAGAACTCTTTTTTTTTTTTTTTTTTTTTTTGAGACGGAGTCTCGCTCTGTCGCCCAGGCCGGACTGCGGACTGCAGTGGCGCAATCTCGGCTCACTGCAAGCTCCGCCTCCCGGGTTCACGCCATTCTCCTGCCTCAGCCTCCCGAGTAGCTGGGACTACAGGCGCCCGCCACCACGCCCGGCTAATTTTTTGTATTTTTAGTAGAGACGGGGTTTCACCACGTTAGCCAGGATGGTCTCGATCTCCTGACCTCGTGATCCACCCGCCTCGGCCTCCCAAAGTGCTGGGATTACAGGCGTGAGCCACCGCGCCCGGCCGAGAACTCTTGCCATAGCAGAGCTCTCCATTCATTTAGCAAAGAGCAGGTTTCCATCAAAACGATATCAATCATCGTACTAAATTAATTTGAATTATACTAGGTTGAAGTTTTAAAGTTTTGCTTGAAAATAACTTATAAAGGGCTGGGTGCGGTGGCTCATGCCTATAATCCCAGCACTTTGGGAAGCCGAGGTGGGCGGATCACGAGGTCAGGAGATCGAGACCATCCTGGCTAATATGGTGAAACCCTGTCTCTACAAAAAAAAAAAAAAAAAAAAATACAAAAAATTAGCCGGGCATAGTGTCACATGCCTGTAATCCCAGCTACTCCGGAGGCTGAGGCAGGAGAATCGCTTGAACCTGGGAGATGGAGGTTGCAGTGAGCCAAGATCACACCACTGCACTCCAGCGTGGGTGACACAGCGAGACTCTGTCTCAAAAAAAAAAGAAAATATAAATTTGTTTTGGTTTGGTTTATAATAATACAAGAGTTAAAAGCATAATACATTTTGTAACTAGGTTTCTATTTGTACATCTTTAAGTAACATTTAAAAGAATTATGTCTTTAGTCAATGTGGTGTCCTGGACTCAATGCTGGAATAGAAAGAGGACATTAGTGGAAAAGCTGGTTATATCTGAATAAAATCTGCAGTTTAGTTGACAGCATTGTATCAGTGTTCATTTCATATTTTGATATATATACCAGGGTTATGTATGATGTTAACAACCAGAGTGCTGGGTGCGAGGCGGGGGGTGGTAAATGGGAACTCTAGGATATTTGTAGATTTACAACTTACTTTCTCTTTTTTGCAATTAAAAAGTCTTAAGAATTTTTTTTTTTTTTTTTTTTTTTTTTTGTGAGACAGAGTCTCAATCTGTCAACCAGGTTGGAGTGCAATGGTGTGATCTCGGCTCACTGCAGCCTTGACCTCCCGGGCTCAAGAGATCCTCGCACTGAAGCCTCCCAAGTAGCTGGGACTACAGGCACACACCACCCCACCTGGCTAATTTTGTTCATTTTTTGTATTTTTAAAAAACTTTTATTTTTTATTTTTTTGAGAAGGAGTCTTGCTGTGTTGCACAGGCTGGAGTGGTGTAACCACTTGAGGTCAGGAGTTTGAGACCAGCCTGACCAGCGTGGTCAAACCCTGTCTCTACTTAAAACACAAAAAATTAGCCGGGCGTAGTGGCACGTGCCTGTAGTCCCAGCTACTCGGGAGGCTGAGGCACGAGAATCACTTGAACCCGGGAGGCGGAGGATGCAATGAGCTGAGATTGTGCCACTGCACTCCAGCCTGGGCGATAGAGCAAGACTCCTTCTCAAAAAAATAACAAGTAGAAATAGAAATAAAAGGCTGGCTGAGATGTTTGTCTGCATTGATGAAGCATTCTAGGGACTGATGAATGAAGTCAGGTGGCTTGGCAGTAGGACAGACCAAAAGACACTTAGACTTGCCCATGAAGACCTTTGCTAGAGCCTGGGTCCCAAACCATGCCACAGTCAACACCCACACCCTGCCAAAACCAGGGGATGCTAGCTCACTGTACATTTCCTCCTTTAATCACACACCTAAGTGTTGTATGAGTAATACCAAGTACAAATAAATGTGCATTTCCAATCTATTCTGGGGAGGGACATTTAATTTATAGAATCCTTTGAATAAGAACATTGTCAGATATTTACTGAGAATAAGCACAGGCTAATTATACTACACAGAATACAAATTGACCCCAAGGTAACTTCTGTGTCTGAATGCTTATCACAACCTCTATCTTTGTGATGAAACTGCTGACTGACATTGTGACCACAGCAATCCGTTTAATCACGACTCACGATGCCTGATCTTAGGGGTTCTCACACATTGTCATTAGTTAACTGCAGTTTTCAGAACTGAGTAACTGGACTGTAAAACTATGAATGTTTGACCTTGTAAGAGCATTTACGTTAATCAGATTATAACAAAAGCCAAAGCCATTGATTTTGGAAGAAAGCAACTTACCTCATGGATGATTTGCCTGGGATCTCCAGAGCTCTAGGGCTGCCTGTTTGTATCACAGAAACAGAGACAATAACAAGCATGAGATGTGCCCAGGCCCGGCATGGTCATATAGGGTCCCCCTGCTCAGATGGGCCCCACACTTGGTTTAACATTCTACTGTCACCTCTTGAAATTCTTAACCATTTTTGAACAAGGGGCCCCATGTTTTAATTTGGCACTAGGTTCTTGAAATTGTGTAGCTGGTCCTGTGTACAGAGCATTATGGGCACACTAAGAAGGGACCCTTATTCATCTGTGGGGTCCCTTCTTAGTCACAAGACTTTCAGAAAGAACAGAGTACAGGGAATATCAGGAAATGCAACTGAAGGGTGGGAAAGGGCCAGATCATGAGCACGCTGCATCTCAGGTCAAAGCCATCAGGACTGCAACTTAGAACCCATGGGCTTTGAGCCAGAGTGGCATGGTCAGATTTGCAAGAGCCATCTTTCTGAGGCTGAGTGCAAAGTAGATTTGCAGGGTCCAGCCTAGAGCAGAAAAACTAGTTATGCTGTGATTGCAGTTACCCCGGTGAGAAACGAGGAAGGCCTACATTAGCATAGCAGTCATGGGGACAAAGAGTCATGAATGAATCCAGTAAGATTTAGGGGGCAAATTCAGCCAGCCTTAAAGATTGTTGTTAGGGCTGAGGAAGAGGGCGAAGTTAAAAGTGCCTCCCAGTTATAAAGTCAGCCAGGATAGTAGATAATGGTACTCTACCTAAGACACAATATACATCAGTAAGAGGAAGTTTTGGTGGACAGTTGGAGAATAGGGGAAATAAGTAAACAATTCAGGATAAGACTTATTTAAGATTCCAGTTTTCACCACATTAATCTATACATTCAACACAATCCCACAACCAAAATCTCAGTAATCTTTTTTTTGATAGAAGTTGACAAGCTGATTCTAAAATGTATATAGGAATGCAAAGTGTTTTTTCTCAAAACACTTTAAAAAAGAACAAAGTCAGGCCAGGCATGGTGGCTCACGCCTGTAATCCCAGCACTTTGGGAGGCTGAGGGGGGTGGATCACCTGAGGTCAGGGGTCCGAGACCAGCCTGGCCAACATGGGGAAACCCCGGTCTCTACTAAACATACAAAAATTAGCCGGATGTGGTGGCACTTGCCTGTAATCCCAGCTACTCGGGAGGCTGAGGCAGGAGAATTGCTTGAACCCGGGAGGCAGAGGTTTCAGTGAGCCCAGATTGCGCCACTGCACTCCAGCCTGGTCAACAGAGTGAGAATCCATCTCAAAACAAACAAACAAAAAACAAAAAAAAGAACAAAGTCAGAGGACTTACCTTGCCTCATTTCAAGACATACTACAAAGCAACAGTAATGAATTATGCACTTTTAGTTTGAGAATCTACAAACAGATCATAAAAATAATAAAGAGCTCAGGAGTCTATTCCAATTTATGTAGTTATCCGATTTTCAACAAAAGCACCAAAGCAATCCAATGGGGAAGGAAAATGCTTTTCAACAAATGGTACTGGGATTTACTGTGTATCTGTATGGCTGAAAGTGGACCGTGAGTCCTACTTCATATCATACAAAAAATATTAATTCAAAATGGACCATAGGCCAGGCATGGTGACCCACACCTGTAATCCCAGCACTTTGGGAGGCCAAGATGGGCGGATCTCTTGAGGCCAGGAGTTTGAGAACAGCCTGGCCAATGTGGCAAGACCTATCTCTACTAAAAATACAAAAATGAGCCAGGCATGGTGGCATATGCCTGTAATCCCAGCTACTTAGGAGGCTAAGGCACTGATATTGCCTGAACCTGGGAGGAGAAGGTTGCAGTGAGCTGAGATTGTGCCACTGCACTCCAGCCTGGGTGATAGAGCAAGACTCTGTCTAAAAAAAAAAAAAAAAAAAAAAAAACAGACCTAAATATCAAAGTTAAAACTGTAAAGTTTTTGTTTTGTTTTGTTTTTTTGAGATGGAGTCTCACTCCATCACCCAGGCTGGAGTGCAGTGGCGTGATCTCAGCTCACTGCAATCTCTGTCACCCAAGTTCAAGCGATTCTCCTGCCTCAGCCTCCCAAGTAGCTGGGATTACAGGTGCCTGCCACCATGCCCGGCTAATTTTTGTAGTTTTAGTAGAGACAGGGTTTCACCATCTTGGCCAGGCTAGTCTTGAACTCCTGACCTCGTGATCCCCCGGCCTTGGCCTCCCAAAGTGCTGGGATTACAGGCGTAAGCCACCGTGCCTGGCCCGAAAAGGTTTTTAGAGGAAAACCTAGGAGGATATCTGTGTGACTTGGGGAATAGGCGGAGATGTCGTATGTCACAGAAAGCAACAATTGTAAGAGTTGTTAAATTGGACTTCATCAAAATGAAAAACTTTTGATCATCAAAAGACATAATTAAGAAAATAGGAGCTGAGGCCGGGAGCAGTGGCTCACGCCTGTGATCCCAGCACTTTGGCAGGCAGAGGTGGGCGGATCACGAGGTCAGGAGTTTGAGACCAGTTGGACAAATATGGTGAAACCCTGTCTCTACTAAAAATACAAAAAATTAGCCAGGAACCAGTAGTTTAGACTACTGGTGCGTGCCAGTAGTCCCAGCTACTCGGGAGGCCGAGGCAGAAGAATTTCTTGAACCTGGGAGGCAGAGGTTGCAGTGAGTGGAGATCTTGCCATTGCACTCCAGCCTGGACGACAGTGCGAGACTCCGACTCAAAAAAGAAGAAAAGAAAATAGGGCCCGGCGCAGTGGCTCATGCCCATAATCTCAATACTTTGGGAGGCCAAGGTGGGCGGATCACCTGAGGTTGGGAGTTCCAGACTAGCCTAACATGGAAAAACCCTGCCTCTACTAAAATTACAAAATTAGCCAGGCATGGTGGCACATGCCTGTAATCCCAGCTACTCGGGAGGCTGAGGCAGGAGAATTGCTTGAACCCAGGAGGCAGAGGTTGCAGTTAGCCGAGATTGTGCCATTGCACTCCAGCCTGGGCAACAAGAGTGAAACATTGTCTCAAAAAAAAAAAAAAAAAAAGAATAGGAGCCGGGCATGGTGACTAGTGCCTGTAGTCCAAGCTACTCAGAAGGCTGAGGCAGGAGGATTGCTAGAGCCCAGGAGTTTGAGGCTGCAGTGAGCTATGATGGTGCCACTGCACTGCAGCCTGGGTGACAGAGTGAGACTGTCTCTAACAAAAAAGAAAGAAAAGAAAATAGGCAAGCTATACACCAGGAGAAAATATTCACAAAGTATGTGTCTGACAAAGGACTAGTATCCAGGATATATATAAAGAATTCCTACAACTCAATAATATAAAAGCAATCCAATAAAAAGTATATTAGTGTATTAATAACAATTAGCACATAAAAAATGTCCTCTACATGATTAGTCATTGGGGAAATAAAAATTAAAACCACAACCAGCTGTCATTACACACATACCTGAATGGTGAAAGTTAAAAATTCTGGCAATACCAAGTGTTGGTAAGGATGGAGATGTACTCACACATTGCTGGTGGGTGTGTGAATGAGTACGATCACTTTGGAAAGCTATTTGGAATTATCTACCTATGTTGAACATATGTATCTCCTATGACCCAGCAATTCCGCTCCTAAATACACACTCAACAGAAAAATGTACAGCTGGCCCAGTGTGGTGGCTAACACCGGTAATCCCAGCACTTTGGGAGGCTGAGGCGGGTGGATCACGAGGTCAGGAGTTCAAGACCAGCCTGGCCAACATGGTGAAATCCCGTCTCTACTAAAAATACAAAAATTAGCTAGACGCGATGGCAGTCACCTATAATCCCAGCTACTCGGGAGGCTGAAGCAGGAGAATCACTTGAACCTGGGTGGCAGAGGTTGCAGTGAGCTGAGATTGTGCCACTGCACTCCAGCCTGGGCGACAGAGTGAGACTCTGTCTCACAAAAAAAAAAAAAAAAAAGAAAGAAAGAAAGAAAAAGAAAAAAGAAAAAGAAATATGTACAGTCCAGCACAGTAGCATGTGCCTGTAGTCTCAGCTTACATAGGAAGCTGAGGCAGGAAGATCACTTGAGGTCAGGAGTTTGAGGCTGTAGTGTGCTATGATGGCACCTGTGAATAGCCACTGTACTCCACCTGTCTCTAAAAAATATTTAAAAATTAAAAATAAAGAAATGTGTGTCTGGGCACGGTAGCTTATGCCTGTAATCCCAGCACTTTGGGAGGCTGAGGCAGGCAGATCACGAGGTCAGGAGATCGAGACCAGCCTGACCAACATGAAGAAACCCTGTCTCTACTAAAAATATAAAAAATCAGCCGGGCATGGTGGCACATGCCTGTAATCCCAGCTACTCCGGAGGCTGAGGCAGGAGAATCGCTTGAACCCAGGAGGTAGATGTTGCAGTGAGCTAAGATCACACCATTGCTCTCCAGCCCGGACAACAAGAGCAAAACTACGCCTCAAACAAAAAAAAAAAGAAAGAAAGAAAGAAAGAAAAGAAATGTGTACTTATGTTCACCAAAAGTCACGTACAAGAATGCTCAAAAGACACGTACGAGAATGCTCACAATAGCATTATTCAATATAGCCTAGAACTTGAAACAGAAGTCCATCAAAACACACTATGGGACATCAGACAATGAATACTGGACAGCAGTGGATGAGAAAGAACAATTGCTACGGCCAAGAAAGTAGAATCTCACAAGCATAACAGACGAAGCCAGGTGAATGGAAGAGCCAACGGCAGATGATTCTACTTATGACAGGCAGAACTGGTCACTGGTGTGCAGGTCAGCATGGTAGATTCCTTGGGGGGTGGGCAAGGATAGTGACTGGCAGAGGGCAAGAGGGGGCTTCTGGTCACATTCAGGGCTCATTTTTGACCTGGGTGGTGGCTTCATGGGAATCCCCACTTATGATCTGTCAAGCTTCATACATGTAATTTGTTCTCTTTCCTACATATGATTCATTTTTAAAATAACAGGCTTTTTAAAAATTTTTTTATTTTTAGATGAAGTCTCGCTCTTGTTGCCCAGGCTGGAGTGCGATGGTGCAATCTCGGCTCACTACAGCCTCCGCCGCCCAGGTTCCAGTGATTCTCCTGCCTCAGCCTCCCAAGTAACTGGGATTACAGGTGCCTGTCACCGCACCCGGCTAATTTTTGTAATTTTAGTAGAGATGAGGTTTCACCATGTTGGCCAGGCTGGTCTCAAACTCCTGATCTCAGGCGATCCGCCTGTCTTGGCCTCCCAAAGTGCTGGGATTACAGGCGTGAGCCACCGTGCCTGGTCAGACTTTATTTTTTAGAGCAGTTTTAGAGCTTTGTTCTTCAGAGCAAATTGAGCAGAAGGTTCTCAAGAGATGTCCCATATACCCACTACCCCTACACACTCACAGCCTCCCCCTTGATCAACACCATCCACCAGAGTGACACATTTGCTATAGTGGAGGGACCTACACTGACAAGTCATTATCACCCGAAGGCCACAGTTTACATCAGGTTTCACTCTTGGTGCTATATATTCTGTGGCTGTGACAAATATACGATGACATGTATCCACCATGACAGTATCATATAGATCTTCTGTGTCTGCCCATTCATCCCTACCCACCTGAATTTTCAGGGTCTTTTTGTTTTGTTTTGTTTTGAGGCGGAGTCGTACTCTGTCACCCAGGCTGGAGTGCAGTGGCGTGATCTCAGCTCACTACAACTTCCGCCTTCCTGGTTCACGTGATTCTCCTGCCTCAGCCTCCCGAGTAGCTGAGATTACAGGTGCCTGCCACCACGCCCGGCTAATTTTTGTATTTTTAGTAGAGACGGGGTTTCACC
This sequence comes from Homo sapiens, assembly GCF_000001405.40. Taxonomy (NCBI): domain Eukaryota; kingdom Metazoa; phylum Chordata; class Mammalia; order Primates; family Hominidae; genus Homo; species Homo sapiens. The sequence continues at coordinate 10,706,586 of NC_000002.12, forward strand.
GTGTTGCCCAGGCTGGTCTCAAACTCATGACCTCAAGTGATCTGCCCGCCTTGGCCTCCCAAAGTGCTGGAATTACAGTGCAGTTTTCAACTTTAAAAAGCTATAAACAGATAGTACTGTGAAAATAGATGGAATCTTTCTGGGACAATGTAGAAATGAAGCTTCTTAATTTGGAGTTCACGACACTTAGGGGGACCCTCAAACCCCTTCATGATGTTGTATGGAAAAAATCATATGTATGTATTATGTGCACTTATTTTTTTCTGGGAAGAGTGACCAGCAGAGAATCAAAGGAGTCTATGACCCCAGAAAATGTTCTGACCCTCTGGTGTGGAGTGAGGGAGCAGTGGGCGAGAATGGAGACTCAGGTCAAGCACACCTGAAGGGCAGTCAGGCAACCAGCACGGGAAAGGAGCCAGGCAGGGAGTGGGCACGGATGCAGGGAGGGTGGGGGTGCTCTGAGTCATGGAAGTCACAAGAGGGGGTGGCTCCGGAAGAGAAGATCAAGGAAGGAGAAATAGAGCAGGGAGGACTAATCAATATGGCAGAGCCCTCTCACTGGGCTCACAAAGGAGAAGAGTGTGGCTTCCAAGGCAGTGGCAGGGGAAGAAACCAGGCTGTGGAGGGCTGAGGAGGGCGTGGCACCCACCCGCACTTGCTTTCCCTAAGCCATGCGGTTTCTTAGCCCTGGGCACTGCATTTTCTGTTCCCAGGGCCCCTCATGCTCTTCCCTCCACTCCTTACATATCTGGATCATTCCAAACTTTCAGGCACTAGACCGGGGGCAGTGGCTCACGCCTGTTATCATAGCACTTTGGGAGGCCGAGGTGGGTGGATCACCTGAGGTCAGGAGTTTGAAACCAGCCTGACCAACATGGTGAAACCCCATCTCTACTGAAAATACAAAAATTAGCTGGGTGTGGTGACGAGCACCTGTAATCTCAGTTCCTGAGGAGGCTGAGGCAGGAAAATCGCTTGAACCTGGGAAGCGGAAGTTGCAGTGAGCCGAAATCGTGCCACTGCATTCCAGCCTGGGCAACAAGAGTAAAACTCTGTCTCAAAAATAAATAAAGAAATAAACTTTCAGGCACTGTTGTTGCTTCAGAAAGAACACTCACTGAAGTGCATTTTCTCAGTTTCTGTCAGTCTCTTTCTCTCTCTCTTTTTTTTTTTTTTTTGAGATGGGGACTCACTATGTTGCCCATGCTGGTCTCAAATGATGTCCCACCCTTCCCCACTTTGGCCTCCCAAAGTGCTGGGATTACAGGTGTGAGACCCCATGTCCCGCCTGCTCAGTCTCGTTGCCTCTTTTTATCTTCTTCATAGGACTTTAAAAGAATGTGTGCGCTTCTCATTTTTAGTTACCTATCTGCTTGCCGATTTCCTCCCTTCTGCACTGGAATGTAGGCTTCAGGAGGTCGGCGGCCTTGTCTGTCCTGTTTTCCTGGCTCTCCCCAGCCATGAGCCTGATGCACGTGCAGGTAGGTCCTCCCCTGTCAGGGGAGTGCATGTATGTGCAGGCAGGTGCTGACGACTGTGATGAGGCCTCCCTTCTGAGGAGGTGAGATGCACAGGGAAGGAGAGAGATTAGATGACGGCTGATGGGCATCAGGGACCAAGGAGGATGGGCGTTAGGACAGAAGGCAGTGGTGCATGTTTGCCAGCTGAGGGGAGGGGTCAATCTAATGAGTCTGAAGATAAAAGAAAATGAGGAGATAGCTGATGGGGAGCTGGGGAGGATTCTGTGTCCAAACAGGAGGTGGTAATGACCTTGAACCACAGGTGCTGCATCCCCTGAGCTAAGAAGAAAGAGGCAACCTTGGGAGAGGGTGATATTGTGATATAACAAAAAATGTAGCCAGGCACAGCGGCTCACGCCGGTCATCCCAGCACTTTAGGAGGCTGAGGTGAAAGCATCATTTGAGGCCAGGAGTTCGAGACCAGCTTAGGCAACATAGTGAGACCCCCATCTCTACAAAAAATAAAAAAAATAGGCAGGCAAGGTGCCTGTAACCCCAGGTACTCAGAAGGCTGAGGTGGGAGAATCCCTTGAGTCCTGTGCTCCAGCCTGGGTGACAGAGGAAGACCCTGTCTCAAAAAAAAAAAAAAAATGCTGAGCTAGGCTGGGGTTCTGCTGAAACAAGGTGAGGCACAGAGAAGGAAAGGTGCTGATGAGAGGGAGGTTCAGGCAGCCTGGGGTTCAGGCTTGGCTGGAAGAGAAACAGGACCAGGAGGAGGTGATGGGGTGGCAGGGAGCAGAGGCGGTGTGTGAGTTAAGGGGAAGGTGTGGTGGGAGGCAGGCATGGGGGATGGAGGTGGGGTACTTGTATTCAAGATTTCAGGGGCGGAGCAGTTTCAGGTGATGACAAGGTACAGGGTGTGGCACAGGAGTGGGCACCTGAAGGGAGAGAAAAGGGAAGGCCTTGGAGTGGAGGAAGTGAAGGTGCACAGAGGCGGCCATCCGGTGTCCTCCACGGGGCACTGAAGCCACCCTTCTTGGGCTGGAGCGAAATACTGCTCTAAAGCTAGATGCCTGAGTATTCACCGCGCAATGGGGAGTGGGCAGGTGTTAACATTCATTCATTCATCGTTCATTTGTTCATTCGGGGAAATAGTTACTGTTTATTAGCTTTACCATGTGGTGAGCCAGGCAGATGCAGATGCTTCCCTAGTGGATCTGACCATCTCCTGCGAACCCATCGTTGCAGACACACATGACTTTCTCTGCTCCCTTCCTAGGAGGGGCAGAGGGTGTTCAGCAGGATGGCAGGAGCCCTGGGGAGCAGGGGCTTCTACACAAGTGTGGAGGTATCGGGGTCTGGCAGCAGCAGCCTGGAGGGCGGAGACCTGCAGTTGCCCACAGCATCCTCAGGTGAGGGCTATGGCAGGGGGTGGAGGCAAGTGGATGATGTTGCAGAGTCTGTTTACTCCAGAAGATGGCTCCAGGGAGCTGCAGGGCTTTAGGATCTAGGGAGGACAAAGGCAGATTGGGAAGAAGCAGAGGTTCCCGGGAAGCAGACGGGAGGTATGGTCTACAACATGAGGGCCCCCCCGCATCAAACTCCACATTCTTGGGCAACTTCCACAATGCTCACGAGGCTCAGGCTCGCACCCAACCCAGACCCACAGATGCCTTTGACACCCTCTGCCCCTCCTAGGAAGGGACCAGTGCTCCCCTGTTTCTACTGACATCTCAAAAGTCCTACCTTGTATGCTGTCATAAGTTGCAATGGCTTCCCTCTGCCAATAGACTCAGCAGGCTTCCACCAAACAGGATACCTGGAGAAAACCAGTGCTGTTATTCCATGGCTTTTGTGTGGTTGAGAACCATTATTCCTTCACAATATTCAAATCCAAAATTCCCTATTCTCATAGCACCCATTTCCCAAGTGGATACACCTTAAAAATGATGTGTGCTGAAAAGAAAAGATGCTGTTATTTCCTGATGCTGTATTCCATCCATCTATCAGTGTGCTACTCCCGCCAAATAAATCCCAGGGGAGAGCGAAGGAGGTCACTCACATTAGCATAAATGTTCATAGGTGAAACCATGAACATAAGTGGGATCTTGAAAACCTCTTTAAGAAAATGATGGGGGCTGGGCACTGTGGCTCACGCCTGTAATCCCAGCACTTTGGGAGGCTGAGATGGGTGGATCACTTGAGCTCAGGAGGTCAAGGCCAGCCTGGCCAACATGGTGAAACCCTGTCTTTACTAAAAATACAAAAATTAGCTGGGCACAGTGGCAGGCGCCTGTAATCCCAGCTACTAGGGAGGCTGAGGCAGGATAATCGCTTGAACCAGGGAGGCGGAGGTTGCAGTGAGCTGAGATCGCGCCACTGCACTCCAGCCTGGCGACAGAGCAACACTCTGTCTCAAAAACAAAAAAACAAAAAAACATAAACAAAAAAGGACAAGTATTCTTCTGAGAATTGGACATTACTGACCTCTAAAGTTATTAATCACAGTGTGTGTTCTCTGAATTTTAAGTTTCTGCAATGTTTATCAACTATTGGCAAATTAAGCGCATATTATTTATGGCAATGAGCAATATATATTTTCCAAATAGTTAAACATTTGATATACTTACTAAAGAATTAAAAATCACAATGTTTATCAAAATAATTATAAGAATTCACATATTAACCAAACATTTGCCGACAACCTACTTTATGCCAGGCGTGGTGCTGGGCATTAATATAGAGCTGAGGAAGGGAGTGCCCTCTAGTAGCTCGCAGTGTGAGATCAGACAGATGAGGAATCCAGGACTTTGGGATCAGGCACTAAAGCTGTGATAGAGGGATGGGAGATGCCAGGGGCGGAAGCCCAAATGAGGATCAAGAATGGTTTCAAGGGCAGGTCATGCTTGAGCTGACTTGATTTTTTTTTTTAATTAAAACATTTTAAAAAATTATTTTATTTTTTCAGACGTGGTCTCACTATGTTGTCCAGAGGCTGGTCTCAAACTCATGAACTCAAGCGATCTGTCTGCCTTGGCCTCCCAAAGTGTTGGGATTATAGGTGTGAGCCACCGTGCCCGGCCATGTACCCCTGAACTTAAAATAAAAGTTATAAATAGGCTAGGTGCCCTGGCTTATGCCTGTAATTCCAGCACTTTGGGAGGCCAAGGCAGAAGGATTGCTTGACCCCAGAAATTCAAAACCAGTCTAGGCAACATAGTGAGACCCTGCTCCATTAAAAAAAAGAAGACATAAGTAGGTTAGTCAGGTGTAGGGGTATGCACCTATATGTGGTCCCAGCCACTCAGGAAGCTGAGGTGGGAGGAGGATCACTTGAGCCTAGAAGGTCGAGGCTGCAGCAGTGAGCCATGATCCTGCCACTGCATTCCATCCTGGGTGACAGAGCAAGACCCTGTCTCAAACAAACAAACAAACAAAAACAAAAAAAAAAACCACCCATAAGTAAGGATGGGAACAGTGATGGGGAGAAGGGGACTAGAATGAGAGGGAGGAACTTGGGGGTCTGCAGGTCACCATAAAAAGAAGGGTAAAGGGCGGTTTGTCCACACGTCGCTGCCCAACACAGTAGCACCATCCGTGTAGTCAATTTAAATTAATGCAAATATTAAGGCTGAGCCTGGTAGCGTGCCCCTGTGGTACCAGCTACTCAGGAGAGGCCTCAGATGGGAGGACCACTTGAGCCCAGGAGGACAAGGCTGCAGTGGGCTGTGATTGCACCACTGCACACCAGCCTGGGCAACAGAATGAGACCTTGTCTCAAAAACTAAATTAATTGGCCAGGCACAGTGGCTCAAGCCTGTAATCTCAACACTTTGGGAGGCCAAAGCGGGAGGATTGCTTGAGCTCAGAAGTTTGAGACCAGCCTAGGCAATGTGGCAAGACCCTGTCTCTACCAAAATATACAAAAATAAGCCAGGTGTGGTGGCATGTGCCTATAGTCCCAGCTGCTCGGGAGGCTGAGGTGGGAGGATGGCTTGTGCCTGGGATGCCGAGGTTGCAGTGAGATCACACCACTGCACTCCAGCCTAGGCCACATAGCGAAACTCTGTCTCCAAAATAATTAAATAAATAAACTTATCTAATTAATGAATTTAAAAAAATCAAGTAATGAAAATTAAATGAAATGTAAAACTGTTCCTTAGTTTCTCCAGCCTCCTTCAGGTGCACATGTGGCCAATGGCTTCCGTATTGGGCAGTGCCGTTATAAAGCATTCCAGTCATCACAGAGAGTTCTATTGGCCAGGGCTGGTCTATGCCGAGATTGGAAGCTAGGGGTGGGGACAAGGGGAGTTAGGGCAGAGTGCGGGAGAAGGGCCTGATGTGGCAAGATGGAGCAAGGAGAATTGCCCCAGGGCTGGTAGGTGTGGGGACAGGAAACAACCAACCCCTGAGGGGTTCTGAGTAAAACAGTGTCCTCAGGGGAGTACACAAGGTGGGGAAATTGAAAGAAGTTGGGAGCCAGAGGTTTTGCGGATGAGGGACATGAATGCCAGAGAGCACAGATGAAGGGCGGAGGGTGGAGGAGGGACAGGAAGAGGGACGGAAGAGGGGGTGTGCTGAGCCGCATGGAGATCAGAGTGAGCAGGGGAGGGTGACCTCGGAGCCCGTGGCTTCCTGAACTGTCCTCTAGGCAGAGTGGGGCCAGGCTGAGAGCTGGGGGTGGGAACAGGACCACCCTTCTCACTTCTACTAATGGAAGCCTGCCAAAGGGATTTTCCTGTTGTTGGTTGATAACTTTTTATTTTAACATAATTTATTTTCTTTTTCTTTTTTTTTCTTTTGAGACAGGGTCTGGCTCTGTCACCCAGGCTGGAGTGCAGTGATGTGATCTCGGCTCACTGCAACTTCGACCTCCCAGGCTCAAGCGATTCTCCCACCTCAGCCTCCTGAGTAACTGAGACTACAGGCATGCACCACCACACCCAGCTAATTTTTTGTATTTTTTGTAGAGATGAGGTCTTGCCATATTGCCCAGGCCGGTCTCAAACTCCTGGCCTCAAGTGATCTGCCCACTTCGTCCTCCGGAATTGCTGAAATTACAGGTGTGAGCCACCGTACCCAGCCTCGTAAATTTCAGCCTTACAGAAAAGTTGTAAGACTAGCACAAGGAACTTCCATAGACAGATATGGGTATATGATAGGACTATTATATTGGCATGTAATATATATGACATAGTTCTCTATATCACCTAATATATACTTACAATATGTACTATATATTATATAATGACTTAATTATATGTAGAAAATATTTGAGAGTAAACTGACGTATCTGTTAACTATCCTCTAATCCAGCCTGGAAGCCACCCATTTCTCCAAGGTTCCCTGGTTCCTTTTAGTGGATGGTGGTATTAGAAACTAAGATCTGGACTACTGGTATATTCAGTGCTACTGGTAAATCATTGCTTCTGAGGTCTCCCAGCAAACAGAGCTAGTAAATGGTTTATTTCTCTCTCTCTCTCTCTCTCCCTTCATCCACCCATTTTAAAATCTGGGAGTTTAGACTGGCACCTCCAGTTTCAGTTCAGCAGCACAGGATTTATTCTAGTTTTCTCCTTTTCCATATTTGGTTTGGGGTTTTATTTTTATTTTTCAGAGAGGAGGTCTTGCTCTGTCACCCACCCTGGAGTACAGTGATGCAATCATAGCTCACTGCAGCCTCAAACTCCTGGGCTTAAGTGATACTCTTGTATTCAGCTTTCTGAGTAGCTAGGAATACAGGTGCAAGCCACTGCACCTGGCTAATTTTTATTTTTCGTAGAGTTGGGGGTCTCACTATGTTACTCAGGCTGGTCTTAAACTCATGGCCTCAAGTGAACCTCCCACCTTGGCCTCCCAAAGCACCGGGATTACAGAGAACGGGACTTTCTCTCTTTTTTTTTCTTTTTGAGACGGAGTTTCGCTCTTGTTGCCCAGGCTGGAGTGCCATGGCGCATTCTCAGCTCACTGCAACTTCTGCCTCCCAGGTTCAAGCGATTCTCCTGCCTCAGCCTTGCTAGTAGCTGGGATTACAGGCACCCACCATGCCTGGCTAATTTTTTTATTTTTAGTAGAGACTATGTTGGCCATAGTCACCATGTTGGCCAGGCTGGTCTTGAACTCCTGGCCTCAAGTGATCCTTCTGCCTTGGCCTCCCCAAGTGCTGGAATTACAAGCCTGAGCCACTGTACCCGGCCTGAGAATTGGAATCTGATTTTGAATTTTCTGCTTAAAATTTAATGATCAGACCGGGCATGGTGGCTCATGCCTGTAATCCCAGCACTTTGGGAAGATGAGGCGGGCGGATCACCTGAGGTCAGGAGTGCGAGACCAGCCTGGCCAGCATGGCGAAACCCTGTCGCTACTAAAAATACAAAAATTATCCAGACATGGTGGTGGGCGCCTGTAATCCCAGCTACTCAGGAGTCTGAGGCAGGAAAATCGCTTGAACACAGGAGGCGGAGGTTGCAGTGAGCCGAGATGGTGCCACTGCACTCCAGCCTGAGCGATGGAGCAAGACTGCATCTCAAAAAAAAAAAAAAAAGTTAATGATCATTTATTTTTTAATTAATTAGTTAATTTTTAAATAGGGGTGGGGTTTTGCTACATTGCTCAGGCTGGTCTCAAAGTCTTTCCACTTCGGTCTCCCAAAATGCTGAGATTATATGATCACTTATGTCATTTAATATTCCTCTAAAATGTTTTTAATGACAGCATGATTATAAAATTACTAATTTGTTCAATCCTCTTGTTGGACATATATGTTGTTTGCAATTTTGTCTTATAAACATAATTGAATGGTTACAGATGTCGCTCATCCATAACGTAGATACCCAGTACTTAAATATACAGTGTTATATTTTCATGTCTCTTTCAAATCATTTCATATTTCTAAAAGAGACCGATCTAAGAGCAAAAACATTTACACTCAGCTTCCTCTGATTCTCCAGACATCCTCCAGCATTTAAGCCCCTTGCTTGAAGTGCAGTGATCCAAAATATATTGTCTATTCAGCACTGTGAACTTGGCAGTGAACAGAGTGCCTTCCTGAACTCTATAATCTAAATAAAATGATGGGAGCACTTACTGTGAGCACACCAGGCTCAGTCATGCTTAGACATTTTGCATGCGTTATCTCATTCCATTTTCATCACAATTCTCTAACTTGAACTTGAAGTCCCCATTTTCAAAACTGGGGTATTGAGAGATTGGGTAACTTGGAAAGGGCCCAGCTAGTAAGTGGCAGAACTGAGACTTGAGGTCCAATCGTTTTGACTCCAAAGCCAGAGCTCAAAACTCCTGCAGAGGGCTCTTGGCTGTAGCCCAAAGACTCTTCCCTAAGCACCAGCCACACTCCTTCTCTTCTTTCTCTTCTTTCTCCAGCCCAGGACTCTTGAGGTCAGGGACCTCTCCTATTCCCTGTGGTACCTCCAAGATGTAGTTAACCTACCATGTAGGCTAACTCCATCAAAGATAGGTTGAAAGTGACTGAATGCAGGAGTGGCAATGTGCCATATATTTATAATAGGGCAAAATTCGCATCTTCCCAAAGAACCCTGTGAGGAGAAAAAGGAACTTGGAAGTGAGAAATAAAAGGAGGAAAAGAAGCAGAGATGAATGGAGCTTTTTAAAGTAGTAAATGCTAATAGCACGTCGTTGCCAATTGCTTAATATGCACTGTTCACTCTGCCATATCATTTAATTCCCGGGAAAACCTTATGAGGCAGGTACTTTTCTTTTTTCTTTTCTTTTCTTTTCTTTTTTTTTTTTTTTTGAGACAGTTTCGCTCTTGTTGCCCAGGCTGTAGTGCAAGGGCGCTATTTCAGTTCACTGCAGCCTCCGCCTCCCAGGTTCAAGTGATTCTCCTGCCTCAGCCTCCAAAGTAGCTGGGATTAGAGGCACGTGCCACCATGCCCAGCTAATTTTGTATTTTTAGTAGAGATGAGGTTTCTTCATGTTGGTCAGCTGGTCTCAAACTCCTGACTTCAGGCGATCTGCCTGCTTTGGCCTCCCAAAGTGCTGGGATTACAGGCGTGAGTCACCACGCTTGGCCGACAGGTACTATTATTAACCACAGTTTACAGCTCACCAAAAAGTCCACTGACGTTATGTAGAAACTTATGTAGGCCAGTTACAGTGGCTCCAACTTGTAATTCCAGCACTTTGGGAGGCTGAGGTGGGTGGATCACCTGAGTTCAGGAGTTCAATACTAGCCTGGCCAGCATGGTGAAACCCTGTCTCTACCAAAAATACAAAAATTAGCTGGGCATGGTGGCGGGTGCCTGTAATCCCAGCTACTCAGGAGGCTGAAGCAGGAGAATCACTTGAACCCTGGAGGCAGAGATTGCAGTGAGCCAAGATCGTGCCACTGCACTCCAGCCTGGGCAACAGAGCCAGACTCTGTCAAAAACAAACCAACCAACCCACAAACCTGTTGTCCCAGCTACTCAGGAGGCTGAGGCATGAGAATTGCTTGAACCCAGGAGGTGGAAGTTTCAGTGAGCTGAGATCGCGCCACTGCACTCCAGCCTGGGCAACAGAGCCAGACTCAGTCTCAAAAACAAACAAACAAACAAACAAACAAATGCAATTACAGGCTGAGTGCTAGTAACTAGGTCTTTGCATGGGGCCTAGAGGGGTGGTTTAGAGCTTGTAATGCCAGAGACACTTGGAGGTAGAAGAATGAAGTTCAAGACCCGGTTCTACCACTAAGTGTGCTTTGATCAGCTCAGTTAATCTCCTTGAGCCTGCTTCCTCATCTGTGAAAGAGGATCATGGTCTTCCTGGTATGTCTACACCTCGTGTGTATGCACATATCACATCCTGCTTAGTGTTTTGTGTTCAGACCTTAGTGAGTTGGAACTGCTCAGTATTCTGTTTATCAGACTTGCTTTGCTCTAGTACTAGTATGAAAATGCTGATTTATTTTTGCATGCTCCACAGTGCCTGGCAAATATTGTGGGGGGAAAAAAAAAACTTGTTAGATGAGGAAGTGAGCAGAGGTGACTTCTCCTTGTCTGTGTACACTAGGACAAATCCTGAGAATTCCCTGGCCTTAATTTCTCTGACCAAAACAGTGACAATGATAACAATGGCTGTCCTAAAATCACAAAGGCTTTTTGGGTGAAAAAGAAAATACAGATGAGAGGACTTTGGGCCCTGAAGAAGGATGGTAGATGATTTCGAGAGATTATTACAATGTGCTGCACTTAATATGTAAAACCGTAAAGAAACCTAAGAAAGCAGGAGAGGGAGAAGTGAGGGGAGCTCTTATTCGGTTGCTCTCACCAGAAATGCTGTTCTATCTTATCCTCATAACAAGCCTAAAAAGCAGGCATAATCTTGCTCCTTTGTTTTCAGCTGGGAAACCTGAAACATAGCAAGTGTAAGCGGCTTTTCTGACTGTCTGATTTCAAAGCCTAATCTGTTTCTACAGCACCGTATTGACTTGCAAGGGACAATTCTACTTGCATTTTTCTGTACTATAGATCTGTCCCCATAGAAAAACTCCCCAGGGCTCTTCTCAGCAAAAGCCAGAACAACCCACGTGAGCTGATTGAGATTCAAGGATATCTGGGCTGATTTGGAAAGGGCATCATCTTCGGATGGCTATGAAGTAATAAAGAAGTTCAAAATATGTCAGCTGGGAGTGGCCAGAGGACAACAGACCAACGAGGCCAGCCTCACCCTTCTGGTTCCCAAACCTGACGGGACTGTTCAATGTTGCACAGACTTCAGCTGGCTCAATGCACGATCAGTGCCAACTGCAGAAACATTTCAGAAGTAACTAACTAAAGCCAAATTCATAATAAGCTGCAGATGACTCAAGACTCCTGGCATTTCCTCCCCAGCCTTTATTCCTGGGAAGAGATGGTGTTTATTATGACCTGGGTACTATATTTTTCATAACCTGGGGAGTATTTTAAAAGCAGTGATTAAGGCACACAAACTTTTAAGTCTTTTAGCAGCAGATTTCAGAAACTTTAAAGTTGTATAGGGAGGGGACAGAAAATGGGTTGCTAAATGGTGCTTCAGGTTGAAATATGGAAGAAAAATACTTTCCTTATACAGTGTAAATGCTAAATCATACTCTTTTAATATACCAAGGGAGCAGGCTCCAGAACTTTTTGTTGTTTTCTCCCTATTTATCTGTTAAAGGCTGATCTTTGTGAGAGAAAAACACAAGTTAGCTCAAAACTGGTAAGTACACATGTGGTTGCCTTTGAGAAATGCAAATCAAACAACCTCTTGGACAAGATTCCCGCCCGCCTTGCCACCTTTTCAAGATGTAAGTTGTTTAACAAGGCATCTTTATTTGGCTTCAGAATCTTACTCAAGTTCTGAGCTGTGGTAAACTCTGATGACATTGGATTATCCTTTACTGATAAGATACATTTGATAACTTTTTTGATCTTTAGAAAGCAAACAGCAGAATGCCAAGATTTATGAATAATATATAATCTCAATCATGCAAAGAAATCTGCATCTATACATGAATATGCATTAATGGTAATAAAGAATTTAAATGTTAACAGCAGCTAATTATAGAATTACAAGTAATTTTTATTTTCTTCCTTATACTTCTCTGTTTGCCAAATTCTTTTTAAAAAACAGAAATTTCAAGCTCATTCTTGTTGGAGAAAAGAAAAGGAGAGAATTACCTATATAAGCAGATAAAAAGTTATTTGAAAAATATCAAGCTACCCCTGCAGCAGTAGACATCATCCATTATAAATTCAGCTATGAAACAAGAAACTTAAGATGTGAAAGACCAGAAAGATTTTAGATTTTGAGTAGGAAGATTTTGAGGAAGACAAGGAACACTGTAGGTCCTTATTATTTTCTTAATCAGATGATGTCCAGAAGTTATTTGTGTGTTTTTGTTTTTGTTTTGTTTTGTTTTTTGTTTTTGGAGATGGAGTCTTGTTCTGTCACCCAGGCTGGAGTACAGTGGCATGGTCTCGACTCACTGTAACCTCTGCCTCTCAGGTTCAAGTGATTCTCGCGCCTCAGCCTCCCTAGCAGCTGAGACCGCAGGTGCGTACCACCATGTCCAGCTAGTTTTTTTTTTTTTTTTTGGGACGGAGTCTCGCTCTATCGCCCAGGCTGGAGTGCAGTGGCGCAATCTTGGCTCACTGCAACCTCCGCCTCCCGGGTTCACGCCATTCTCCTGCCTCAGCCTCCCGAGTAGCTGGGACTATAGGCGCCCGCCACCAAGCCCAGCTAATTTTTTTGTATTTTTAGTAGAGATGGGGTTTCACCGTGTTAGCCAGGATGGTCTTGATCTCCTGACCTCGTGATCCGCCTGCCTCGGCCTCCCAAAGTGCTGGGATTACAGGCGTGAGCCACCGTGCCCAGCCAGTTTTTGTATTTTTAGTAAAGATGGGGTTTCACCATGTTGGCCAGGCTGGTCTCAAAGTCCTGATCTCAAGTGAGCCACCCGCCTGGGCCTCCCAAAGTACTGGGATTACAGGCATGAGCCACCGTGCCTGGCCTATCCAGGAGTTATTTGTGTCTGACTCTCTTAATTCACAGAACAAAGTTTTGTTTTGTTTTGTTTGTTGTTGTTGTTGTTGTTTTGGTTTGGTTTGGTTTGGTTTGGATTGGGTTTTTTGTTTTCTTTTTTGAGATGGAGTTTCACTCTTGTTGCCCAGGCTGGAGTGCAATGGTGTGATATCGGCTCACTGCAACCTCTGCCTCTGGGTTCAAGCGATTCTCCTGCCACAGCCTCCCGAGTAGCTGGGATTAAGGCATGCGCCACCACACCCAGATAATTTTTTATTTTTAATAGAGACGGGGTTTCTCCATGTTGGTCAGGCTGGTCTCGAACTCCTGATCTCAGGTGACCTGCCCACCTGGCCTCTCAAAGTGCTGGGATTACAGGTGTAAGCCACCACACCTGGCACAAAACAAAGTATTTACAGGTAACCAGGTGTATAGAAAGAGTGGTGCCACGAGCCAGGTCACAGATACTTCTAAATGTGTTGCTCAGTCTCTGAGAAGCCAGGTCCATGGCTTTGAACCTTGCAGATGGGAAAATGTGGACTAAAATAGAAAGCATGTGTTCTTCCTCACCCTGATTATCTAGTCCTGCAGGCTTGTTGGGAGCAGTAGAAAGGACATAAGACTCAGCCACAGGCCCGAGTTCCAACTGTAGCTCTGACATAACCAGCTGTGTGACACTGGGCAATTCACGTAACTTCTGTGGGCATCTCCACCCTTGTTTGCAGATGAGATCTGCCCCCAGCTCTAAGATGTTTTCCCTGGCTGGATAAAATGTCGTGCCTGGATAACGTCCAAGATTGGAGACCACCCCGCTTTAATGTCTAACTGGGCCACTCCTTCCCTGGAATAGCCACTTAATGTCCTCAAACATACCGGAGTTTCCCCATCCCTTGGTTTCAGGTATCCTCCCTCAGGAAGATGTTGCAAGGACTGACTAATGCACATTAGTGTCCCAATAACGATGCCTGCTGCAGGTGCTGGGACTTCCAAGTCTAACCTAGGCTGGCAGTACGACCCCACTGTGATCTTAAAGCCACCTTTCTGTCCCGTCTCTGGGGCTTCCCATCCCACCCTATGTGATTACAGCTTAAGTCTCAGATGATGTCAAATCCTTCTGCCAAAGACCCTGATGCATTCACAAGAATGGGTTGATAGATAAGGCTAGTTTACACAGGAGGGGGAGTCCACGTTTAAGGAAGCAAGAACACCGTCTCCAATGCCCCCTCGAAGGACACTCTTGAGATCTTCATCTTTCCCAGAAACCACTGAAAACATCGCCCACATGGAAGGATGCTTTAAAGCCTTCTCCTTCGGTCCAGAGAAAATGAATTCTCCGAGTTTTCCTTTGGTTTTGTCTTGTTTTTAACCTTCACACGTTAATTTCCAGGGTTTCCCCCTCCTGGTTCCAGACAGCACCGATCATGAACTCATCTCTGATCGTCGTACGGTGAGTTGTAACCGCCCCCCCACCCCCCATCCACAGGGCAATTCGGAAGGTGGAGAGGGTGAGGTGGGAGTTTCCTGGGCAACCGGGCGCACACCCGCGCCCACACGGACAGGAAAAGCTTCGCTGTCTACGCAGGTGCGTCCCGAGCACCTGCGCACCTGTTGCGCGGCTCCCCACAGGTGGGCCCTGTCTCTTGCACTGGCCTGGAGACACCTGGGAGTAGGTGATTCCCCTGAGATCCGCGCATGTCTCTGTGAGGCGAGAGTGGGTGGGCAAGCGGGGCTGCGGCGGCCGCAGCGGGAGGGCGGGGTGGTCCCGAGCTCAGAGCCTTTTCCCGACTCCCACCCGGCTCAGCCGTCCACGCGTCCCGGACGCGGCAGCGCAGTCGTGCGGCAGGAGACCCCGTGGGACGCGCCGCAGAAGCCCCCAGGGCCCCGGCCCTCGCGCGTAGGGGACTGGAGACCCTGCGCGTCTCCTCCGCGCCTTCCTGCCCGGCGCCTGCACCTGCTCCCCGGCTCTCGGGCCCCTGGCTGGAGCGAGGCGGGAGGCGGACGGCCCGTATGCAAATATCCTGCGGGGCCGGGGCCGCCTCCAGAGCCCGGGATAAAAGGCGGGGCGGGGCGCGGGGCAGCGAAGCCGCTGCCTCCCGGGAGCCGGCAGAGCGCTCCGGCCCCGCACCCGCCGCCCGTCGCCCGCAGCCCCCTACCGCGCGGCCCGCGCCCCGCCGGCTCCCGGTAAGGACGCACCGCGGAGCGGGGACCCGAGGCAGGGGCGGGGTGGGGACACAGGCACGGGGTCCGGCTGCGCACCAGCCTGCGCTTTCCCATTGGAAACGTGGGCAGCGTGCACCTCCGCGCGCTTCCCCGCGGCCGGGCTGGTAGCATCTCCGCAGGTGCTGCGGCGGGCCAGTTCGTCCCCAGGCCATGGGCAGTCAAGGCGGAAAGGAGCTGCGTTGGGTCTGCGCGGGGTTAGGAGAGAACAAAATGCCCTCGGATTGGAGCGGGACCGGGAGTCCGAAAGGAAGAGGTTCCACCAGGGGTCTCTGGCTCCTCAGAGCTTATCCTGCTTTCCCCCAGCCGTCCGGAGACGCCGCGGGGAGGCAAGCGGAAAGGGGGAACCTGGCCGAGGGGGAAAGGTGCGGGTGTGGACACCTGTGAAGGAGCAGCACGAATCGAATCGGCCGTAGAGGCTGCAGACGCGGCCGCGAAACCACCGGCCACGCCGGGCAAGGGACCCAGCACTGCTGAGCGGGCACCTCGCCTAGTGGAAAAAAGACTTTAGTAGTTCCCCTCACCCCCTACTACTTTTTTTTTTCTTATTTAAAAAAATCCTCTGAAGTCTATTTTTAAAGCTAATACCAATCACAAGGTTGGCCAGTTTGACCTGCGGTTTGACCTGGTAGCCTGTTGTGAAAATCCCTTCCTCATCCCACGCCTTCCTCCACCCCATCCTGCATCCCAGAAGATGCAGTGTGGAAGGAAGACAAATATTCCCCCAGAAGGTGTCCGCCTCCAGCTTACTGTCCTCCCGTTTTATGATGCCTGATAGGGGTTGTTCACTGAGGTGGAGAGAAAGAAAGGAACCTCTCCCTCCTCCTCTGCTCCTGAAAACCAGCCAGAACCACTGCAGGGACCAAGGAGCTTTGGAGTTTCGGGAACACCTGAGGGCTGCCCAGGTGGAGATAAGAGCTTTGCTTTTGCAAATGGATGTCCTTGGAGCTCATCCTAGAAAGGATGAATTGGAGGGTAGGGAGTGGTGAGGCGGGGATATCTGACACATCTCTCCTTCTGTTTCTGTTTGTGTATGTTTGTCCTGGTTCTGGGCAGTCACTGGGTAAGAGAAGACTGGAAGCATGTCGGAGTTTTGGTTAATTTCTGCCCCTGGCGATAAGGAAAATTTGCAAGCTCTGGAGAGGATGAATACTGTAACCTCCAAGTCCAACCTGTCTTATAATACCAAATTCGCTATTCCTGACTTCAAGGTAAAATTCTTGGGGAGGAGTGAAAAAGGGATGGATTGGTCAGGGGGAGACAGGAGAGGGAGACAGGTTGCTACCTCAGGAAGCCAAGGAGAAAGTATCAAGGCAAAGCAGGGGCTCTGAGGACAAGCTGAGGTTTGAGGATGGACGGGGAGGTGATGGGCTAGGTGGGATATCATGCCATAGTCCCAAATAAATTGTGATACCTATGTAGATGCAGCCACAGGAAGGAATGAACAGGGGGACAAGGTTGTGGGTAGCAGTGTCTAATGCTTCAAAAAGTGGGAAGCACGTTAAATGCACACTCAGGTTCTCTTGGGTGTTCCTCTGGCTCCTCCTGGTTTGTCTGCAACATCTCAGAAGACCCACCATATAGTTTAGATGTGCAGGCTTGGGGGGCTTCAGCCTTGATTGTACTCTTGACCTGGGGGCAGGGGAGGAAATCTAGGATCCCTTTGGTCCTGAGGGAGGGGAAGGGAGGGAATTTGGTGACAGAAGAGAGTTTGGGTCATGCCCAGGCATCTAAGGGTTCTTGGAGTGGAGGGCAAAGTTCAAACGAAACCAACATTAAGGAAGAATGAGGCCAGGCGCGGTGGCTCACGCCTGTAATCCCAGCACTTTGGGAGGCCGAGGTGGGTGGATCATGAGGTCAGGAGATCGAGACCATCCTGGCTAACACGGTGAAACCCCGTCTCTACTAAAAAATACAAAAAAATAGCCAGGCATGGTGGCGAGCGCCTGTAGTCCTAGCTACTCGGGAGGCTGAGGCAGGAGAATGGTGTGAATCCGGGAGGTGGAGCTTGCAGTGAGCCGAGATTGCGCCACTGCACTCCAGCCTGGGTGAACGGCGAGACTCTGTCTCAAAAAAAAAAAAAAAAAAAGAATGAGACATGTGCAATTTTTTTCCCCCCGAGTAGCTGGGATTACAGGCGTGTGCCACCATGCCCGGCTAATTTTTGTATTATTAGTAGAGATGGGGTTTCACCATGTTGGGCAGGCTGGTCTCAAACTCCTGCCCTCAGGTGATCCACCTGCCTCGGCCTCCCAAAGTGCTGGGATTACAGGAGTGAGCCACCACGCCTGGCCACACAATTATTTTACTTCAAAAAGAGTGGACTTACCGTGGTGCTTTCTGAGGCTGTAGGTTTCCACGGGGAAGACACTACAGCTTTCTCCCAGACCACATGGCACAGGTGCTGGTGAGATGGCACTGACTGCCCAGCATCTGCTCTTGTAGAAAACTGCCATATACTCCCTTTTCAAACCTCACTTTGCCCCTCCGCCCAAACAGCTGCCCCATCAGCTACCAGGGTTGTAATGCTACCCCATTTGCTAACGTTTGTTGAGCAAAGAGCTGACGGCTAGATACTTGAAATGCATCACCGGGAAGCTGACTCTGGGGACAGGCTGGGAGAGGCTAAGTGTTGTCAGGCTGGTAAGTGGCAGCAGTGGGTTCTGAAACCACATCTTGCTGCCTTTTTAAGCCTGCCTCTGCTTGTCCAGCAATGGACACTGTACGGGTGAGTAAATTCTGCATCCACTCATTGATACTGTGTGTGAGGCACTGTGCTGGACTCTGGAAGGTAAAAAGATAAAAAAAGAAGACACAGCCCCTGCAGAAGTTGCTTAAAATTAAGTTACTTGAGAAGAAGCGACTTGTCTTGGTAGAGATATTCAGGCTTCATCATTTCCTAATTACTTTTTTTTTTTTTTTTTGGTTGGAGCCTCGCTCTGTCACCCAGGCTGGAATGCCGTGGTGCAATCTAGGCTCACTGCAACCTCCGCCTCCTGGGTTCAAGTGATTCTCCTGCCTCAGCCTCCCCAGTAGCTGGGATTACAGGCACATGCCACCATGCCTGGCTAGTTTTTGTATTTTTAGTAGAGACGGGGTGTCACCAGGTTGACCAGTTTGGTCTCAAACCTTCGGCCTCCCAAAGTGTTGAGATTACAGGTGTGAGCCACTGTGCCCAGCCTCCTAATTATTTTTCTTAATTTTTTTTTTCTTGAAATTCTGCCAAATCTCAGAACCTAATTACTTTTTAACATCTAGTTGGTGGTACCACATGATAGCAACCCTTTTCTTTCTGATTCTGTGAAAAGACCTTTAAATACAATTTTGGACATTGTAGTAATTTCTACACTAAGAAATAGATCATGGCCAGGCACGGTGGCTCACTCCCGTAATCCCAGCCCTTTGGGAGGTCGAAGTGGGAAGATCACTTGAGGTCAGGAGTTTGAGACCAGCATGGACAACATGACCAAACCCCATCTCTACTAAAAATATAAAAAAATAAGCCAGGCGTGGGGCACATGCCTGTAATACCAGCTATTTGGGAGGCTGAGGCAGAAGAATCACTTGAACCTGGGAGGTGGAGGTTGCAGTGAGCCGAGATCTCAAAAAATAAAAAACAACAACAACAAAAAAAACAGATCATAAGTTCTCTGAAAAGAAAAGGACCTAGGTGAATGATGAAGTGGGAGGAAAGGAAAAGCTGCCTCCTTCCCCAGCAAGAATTTTTTTTTTTTTTTTTTTTTTTGAGATGCAGTCTCGCTCTGCTGACCAGGCTGGAGTGCAGTGGTGCGATCTTGGCTCACTGCAACCTCCACCTCCGAGGTTCAAATGATTTTCCTGCCTCAGACTCCCAAGTAGCTTGGATTACGGGCACATGCCACCATGCCCGGCTAATTTTTGTATTTTTAGTAGAGACAGGGTTTTGCCATATTGGCCAGGCTGGTCTCAAACTCCTGAACTCAGGTGATCTGCCCACCTTGGCCTCAAGATCATGGTTAATAACAGCAAAGAACAGAGAAAAAGACGGTGGGGCCGGGTGCAGTGGCTTGAGCCTGTAATTCCAGCACTT
Source organism: Homo sapiens (assembly GCF_000001405.40). Lineage (NCBI taxonomy): Eukaryota > Metazoa > Chordata > Mammalia > Primates > Hominidae > Homo > Homo sapiens. Next base: position 10,725,837 of record NC_000002.12, read on the forward strand.
TGGGAGGCCAAGGCAGGCAGATCACCTGAAGTCGGGAGTTCGAGACCAGCCTGACCAACATGGAGAAACCCTGTCTCTACTAAAAATAAAAAATTAGCCGTGCATGATGGTGCATACCTGTAATCCCAGCTACCTAGGAAGGCTGAGGCAGGAGAATCACTTGAATCCAGGAGGCGGAGGTTGAGGTGAGCCGAGATCGTGCCATTTCACTCCAGCCTGGGCAACAAGAGCGAAACTCCATCTCAAAAACAACAACAAAAAACACAACTGATGGGACTGTCTTGGAGCAGAAAAGCTTTTAGGAATGAGAACTTCTTTAACTTGCTTTCTGGTGTATCTCTTCCTCAGCTATGGGGATTAACAACATGACTGACTAGCAGGCTGCCATTCTAAGAGGAAAATGAGCTGAGGTCAGATGGTAACATCATAGTCACTCCTTCCTATGGCAGGCATATGACAGTTTATCCTGTTGGTCAAAAATAAGTAAATAAAGACACCCCCAAATCCACTGGTTTCCATTAAGAGTTTTTTCTACTTTCCACTTTGGCCATTGACCAAGGGTGACAAATTCAAGATGAAGTGACAGAGTCCCTGCCGTGTTGTTGAGATGGCATCATGCTTGGCCAGAAACCTGTGAGCCTCTGACGTTTTTATGATCTGTCTAGGTGGGGACCTTGGATTCCCTGGTTGGCCTCTCTGATGAGTTGGGGAAACTCGACACCTTTGCTGAAAGGTAAAATATTCCTTATTTACTACATACAAGTGAGAATTTGACATTGTTGTCAGAGGACACAGTGTTCTTGCTTTGGCTGAACCGGAGTATGGACTTGTCTAGACCTGGTTCCAAAAGTGAGCAGAGAAAACCGATCAGTCCCCCTGCGGGTGCTGGGTCTGCAGGAGCCCGCCTGATCCCTCCTGGTGTTTTGTCTGCTGGAGGCAGCACTTGTTAAGGGGTTGCCTTCAACCTGAAGATCATGCATAGGTGCCGAGACACTTGGAAAAGTCCTTGGTGTAGTTTCCCACCAAGCCTTTTTAAGTTTGTTTATTTTTTAGTAATAAATGCTCATAGCACAAAATTTCAACTACAAAAAGAGGCCCGGGGCAGTGGCTCACACCTGTAACCCTAGCTACTCCACAGGTTAAGTCAGGAGACTCGCTTGAGCCCAGGAGTTCAACACCAGCCTGGACAATATAGAGAGCCTTCCTTCCTTCCTTCCTCCCTCCCTCCCTCCCTCCCTTCCTCCCTTTTTTGAGACAGAGTCTCACTCTGTTGCCCAGGCTGGAGTACAATGGTCTGATCGTGGCTCATTGCAACCTCCGCCTCCCAGGTTCAAGTGATTCTCCTGCCTCAGCATCCTGAGTAGCTGGGACTACAGACACCCTCCACCATGCCCAGCTAACTTTTGTATTTTTAGCAGAGACAGGGTTTCACCATGTGTTCCAGGCTAGTTTCGAAGTCCTGACCTCAGGTGATCCACCTGCCTCGACCTCCCAAAGTGTTGGGATTACAGGCCATGAGCCACCATGCCCAGCCAAAAGACCTTGTTTCTAAGAAAAAAAAAAAAAAAAAATAGCTAGATGTGGTGATGTGTGCCTGTAGTCCTAGCTACTGGGGAGGCTGAGGTGAGAAAAATGCTTGAACCCAGGAGCTTGAGGCTGCAGTGAGCTATGGTTGTGCCACTGCACTCCAGCCTAGACAACAGAGTGAGACCCCATCTCAAACAAACAAACAAAAACCCAAAGTACAAAAAGGATATATATAGTGAAAGTGAAGGTTTCCGGCCAGGAGTGGTAGCTCACCCCTATAATCCCAGCATTTTGGGAGGCCGAGGCAGGTGGATCACTTGAGATCAGGAGTTTGAGACCAGCCTGGCCAAGACGGTGAAACTTCGTCTCTACTAAAAATACAAAAATTAGCTGGGTGTGGTGGCGGGTGCCTATAATCCTAGCTACTCCGGAGGCTGAGGCAGGAGAATCGCTTGAGCGGGGGAGGGGGGATGGGGGTTGCAGTGAGCCGAGATCGCGCCACTTCACTCCAGCCTGGGTGACAGAGCAAGACTCCGTCTCAAAAAGAAAATTAAGTTTTCTTCTCACCTGTTTTTCTCTTTCCTGTCCCCTAGTCCTCCATTGCCCCTCTTTTAAGGCAATTTTCCTATAACTTTCTAGGTAAGCCTTCCAGAGATAGCCAATACATGCACAAATAAATATGTCTTAAAATTAATATTATTCATTCATGTATTTGTTTACTTATTTGTGTTTTTTGCAGACAGGGTCTGGCTCTGTTGCCTAGGCTGGAGTGCAGTGGTGCAATCATAGCTCAGTGCAGCCTTGAACTCCTGGGCTCAAGCGATCCTCCTACCTCAGCCTCCCAATTATCTGAGACTATGGTCACATGCCATCATGCCCAGCTAATTTTTGTATTTTTTTGGTAAAGACAAGGTCTCACTGTGTTTCCCAGGCTGGCCTTGAACTCCTGGCCTCAAGTGATCCTCTTGCCTCGGCCTGCCAAAGTGTTGGGATTACAGATGTGACTCACCACATTCAGCCTTAAAATTAATTTTGTACAAATGATAGCATATATTCTGCATCTTGCATTTTAGTTAAATAACGTATCTTAGAGGTAGTTTCATATCAGTCCATAACTTCATGTTCGTTCTTTTAATGGCTGTGTTACTGTGAATAGATGTACCCTCATTTATTTGAATAGACTGGTGGATTGCTTGACTCCAGGAGTTCGAGACCAGCCTAGACAACATAGCAAAACCTCATCTCTATTAAAAATACAAAACATTAGCTGGGTATGGTGGTATGTGCCTGTAGTGCCAGCTATGCAGGAGGCTGAGGTGGAAGAATCACCTGAGCCTGGAAGTTTGAAGCTGCAGTGACCAAGATCATGCCACGGCACTCCGGCCTGGGCGAAAGAGTGACACCCTGTCTCAAAAAAAAAAAAAAAAAAAAGTGTATGAGGATGTCGTGGAGTCTTAAAATTATATATCTTTGTTTAAATTATTACAAATCTGGGCCAGGCGTGGTGGCTCACACCTATAATCTCAGGACTTCGGGAGGCCGAGGCAGGTGGATCACGAGGTGAAGAGCTTGAGACCATCCTGGCCAACATGAAAATACAAAAAAAAAAAAAAAAAAATAGTTGGGTGCGGTGGCTGGCGCCTGTAATCCCAGCTACTCGGGAGGCTGAGGCACAAGAATTGCTTGAACCTGGCAGGCGGAGGTTGTAGTGAGCCAAGATCGTGCCACTGCACTCCTGCCTGGGACAGAGCAAGACTTTGTCTCAAAAAAAAAAAATATTACAAATCTGGTGTATAATCATTGGAAAACTTTTTTTTTTGAGATAGAGTCTCACTCTGTCACCCAGGCTGGAGTAGAGTAGCACGATCTGGGCTCACTACAGCCTCTGCCTCCCAAGTTGAAGCAATCTCCTGCCTCAACCTCCCGAGTAGCTGGGATTACAGGTACATGCCAACATGCCTAGCTAATTTTTGTATTTTTAGTAGAGACGGTGTTTCACCATGTCGGCCAGGCTGGTCTCGAACTCCTGACCTCAAGTGATTCATTGGAAAGCATTTATAGATCATAGAATAGCATGAAAAAAATACAAATCACCCATAATTAAGCCATCCAAATATAACTATTATTATATTGTGTTTACAGTGTGTACATCTAATTTTCTCAACATATAAATATAATTTCTGGATAACGTAGTAATAGAAGTAAGATCAGGCTGGGTGCCGTGGTTCACGCTTGTAATCCCAGCACTTTGGGAGGCCAAGGCAGGAGGGACAGTTGAGCCCAATAGTTTGAGAAGAGCCTGGGCAACATAGTGAGACCCTCTCTCTACAAAAAGTAAAAAATACTAGCTGGCTGTGGTGGTGCACCTGTAGTCCCAGCTACTTGGGAGGCTGAGGTGAAAGGATTGCTTGAGCCCAGGAGGTCGAGGCTGAGCTGAGCTGTGATCGTGCCACTGCCCTCCAGCCTGGATGACAGATTGAGACCCTGGCTGTGGGGTAGATGAGGGCAGCATTCCCCAGGGGCTGGGTGGTGGCCTGCTGGGCTGCAGTGCTGGGACTCAGTGCTCTGACTGCTTCCTTAAAGGGTTTCAGGGATTCCTTTTCTTTTTCTTCTCCTACCCCTTAACATTTGTGAAACTTTCAGGTTTTTAGGGCCCATGGACTTGCTCTTTTCTTCTTAGTGGAATGGTGATATGGCTGCTACTGCCTTGTTTGATGAACTGTATGGAATTAGGAGTTCTAGTGAACATACTTTGAGTATTTCTTTTTTTAAGACAGAATCTTGCTCTGTTGCCCCAGCTGGAGTACAGTGGCACAATCTTAGCTCACTGCAACCTCTGATTCCTGGGCTCAAGTGATTCTCCTGCTTCAGTCTTCCAAGTAGCTGAGATTACAGGCGTGTGCCACCAGGCCAGGCTAATTTTTGTATTTTTAGTAGAGATGGGGTTTCACCATGTTGGGCAGGCTGGTCTCGAACTCCTAACCTCAAGTGATCTTCCAGCTTCAGCCTCCCAAAGTGTTGGGATTACAGGTGTGAGCCACTGTGCCTGGCCACTTTGAGGATTTCTAATCTGCAGATTAGTGCTATGGGCTAAAAATTGGGTTCTCTGTGTTCTGTTGCTATTTACCTTCTGATTGCCTAAGAATAGTAGGATGCCTTTGTTAGTGACATTTTGCTTTGTATGGGATGTTGGACTAACACACAGGCACTCCTAGTCACCAAGTAGTTTGCTGTTCACAGTGGGTTTTTTTTTTTTTTTTTTGAAATGAGATAATACACAGGTGTAAACCTTTTTTTTTTTTTTTTGAGATGGAGTTTCACTCATGTTGCCCAGGCTGGAGTGCAATGGCACAATCTCAGCTCACTGCAACCTCCGCCTCCTGGGTTAAAGCGATTCTCCTGCCTCAGCCTCCCGAGTAGCTGGGATTACAGGCATGCGCCACCATGCCTGGCTAATTCTGTGTTTTTTAGTAGAGACGGGATTTCTCCACATTGGTCAGGCTGGTCTCAAACTCCCGATCTCAGGTGATCCACCCACCTTGGCCTCCCAAAGTGCTGGGATTACAGGCATGAGCCACTGCGCCCTGCCAACAATTTTTTTTTTCATGAGACAGGGTCTTGCTCTGTCGCCAGCCTGGAGTGCAGTAGCACCATCAGGGCTCACTGCAACCTCCACCTCTCTGGCTCAAGTGATCCTCCCGCCTCAGCCTCTCAAGTAGCTGGGACCACAGGTGCACACCATGCCCAGCTAATTTTAAAATTTTTTGTAGAGACAAGGTCTTACTATATCTCCCAGGCTGGTCTCGAACTCCTGGGCTCTAGCAATCCTCCCACCTTGGCCTCCCAAAGTGCTGGAATTACAAGCATGAGTCACCACACCTAGCCACCATTCATAGTCTTTGAGAAAGAAAACTAATCTTTGGCTCTCTCATTCATAAAATCTGTCTGCTCTCAGACGAATGAAGGGAAGTAAAATCATGCTAAATCAAGTATTATCAAATCTCAGGGCCTGTCCTGTAAAAGTTAATATCCAAGAAAAAGTGACTTGATCCGGAAATGTTGACTCCCTTCTTAGGCTTCTCTGCACCACAGGGAGGTATGACTGGCCTTGTACAACTTATGGCCTAGCTGAGAAGACACATATTAATAAAATAATCACATCACATAATCAAATAATGCTAAACCTAAGAAAGGCCTGTAACAGATGCCATTGAGAACAGCCCACTGCCCTAGGCTAGTGAATGCCTTAGGTTTTCCTGGGCAGCAGTGACAAACCGCAGAAGGAGACTGGTCTCGTGCAGGAAGGTTGGCTTAAGAAATGTGAACTGGGCCAAGCGCAGTAGCTCATGCCTGTAATCCCAGCACTTTGGGAGGCTGAGATGGGTGGAATGCTTGAGCCCAGGAGTTCAAGACCATCCTGGGTGACATGGTGAAACCCCATCTCTACAAAAAATACAAAATTTAGCCAGGTGTGGTGGTGCATGCCTGTAGTCCCAGCACTTGGGAAGTTGAGGAGGGAGAATTGCTTGAGCCCAGGAGGTCGAGGCTGCAGTGAGCAGAGATCACACCACTGCACTCCAGCCTGGGCAACAGAGTGAGACCCTGTCTCAGGAAGAAAAGAATAAAAGAAAAAAAAAAAGTGTGAATAGTTCCCTACCTGCTGCAGAAATGGTAGCAATTCTAGAGCTGTCTTTGCTACCAATTTTCTGTCCTAGTGCAAGTCTTTTAACCTCTTATTCACTAAAACCCCTTTAGCTCTGAAATTCTGTGATCCTGGATTGTTATTGTTTCCATTTTAGTTTCTTTCTTGCTTTCTTGCTCTTCTTGCTTTCTTTCGCTTTCCCTTCTTCCCTCCATCCCTCCCTCTCCCTCTCTCTCTCTCTTTCTCTCACTCTTTCTCTCTTTCTTTCTTTTTGACAGAGTCTTGCTCTACTGCCCAGGCTGAAGCGCAGTGGCGTGATCTTGGCTCACTGCAACCTCCGCCTCCCGGGTTCAAGTGATTCTCCTGCCTCAGCCTTCCAAATAGCTGGATTACAGGCACCCACCACCAAGCCCAGCTAATTTTTGTATTTTTTTAGTAGAGACGGGGTTTCCCCATGTTGGCCAGGCTGGTCTCGAACTCCTGACCTCAGGTGATCCGCCAGCCTTGGCCTCCCAAAGTGTTGGGGTTACGGGCGTGAGCCACCATGCCCAGCCCTACTTTAGTTTCTTTTTTGTCTGTTTGCTCTGTTTCCCCAGTAAGTATATTAGTGTTCTGTTCTGTACATACTTGTTGCACAAGTTGCTTTTAGTGGTAGTATAGCATATGTTTAAGAAAAAGAAATGAAGGCCAGGCGCGGTGGCTCACGCCTGTAATCCCAGCACTTTGGGAGGCCGAGGCGGGTGGATCATGAGGTCAAGAGATCGAGACCATCCTGGTCAACACGGTGAAACCCCATCTCTACTAAAAATACAAAAATTAGCCGGGCCTGGTGGCAGGCGCCTGTAGTCCCAGCTACTTGGGAGGCTGAGGCAGGAGAATTGCTTGAAACCAGGAGGTGGAGGTTGCAGTGAGCCGAGATTGTGCCGCTGCATTCCAGCCTGACGACAGAGCAAGACTGTCTCAAAAAAAAAAAAAGAAAAAGAAATGAAAATGCGTGAACAGGCAAGACTGTGGCTATAATTGTGAAACAGATAGAACCTGTGCAAATTTAAGTGTTTTCTAAACAATAAGGACTAGGTGTGGCAAGAATGAAAAATCACTGTGCATTGTTTTCGTTTTCCTTGTGGGTATATATTCTTAAGAGCCTTCCTATCAGGGGGAAGGAAAATGGTGTGGTCTGAGCACGTCAAAATTCTAATCTTAGCTTTTTTCTAGTCCAGGGGTCAGGGTGTCCTGTGTTGGGAGTTGGTAGAGGTTGGGGTAAAAGAGTGGGTTATATGTACTAATAAATCTGGAGAATGGCATCAGTTCTTTGAAAAGTCCTCGAGTGTTATTAGGTAAATAAATGCTAGCTGGGTCTGTAACCTCGGTAGCATAAACCTGTCAGCACTGCTTCTGCCCAGGAGAACAGAGAAGGCACAAGCGTTTTCAGGGTGTATTGTTTCAATATCCTTTTATTATTTATTTACTTAGGGCACTAGAGTGTTTTTCCATGTAGTTGGAAGGCAGCTTTTGCTTACGAGAGCTTTCTCTCTCTTTTTTTAATTTATTCCTTCATACTGCCTTTGTTAATTTATTCTGTATTTGCCCTATCATTCATGAACATTTGAAAAACCAAATGCTATTATCTTAAAAAAAAAAAACCTCTCTCCCTGTTTTAAAAAAAAAGTTTGAGTCCTTCACAGTATCTTAGCCTGTTTTGCGGTGTTGATTGACAGAGTGCATTTCCCAGGCGCTGGGGCGGTCAGCGGGACCTCAGCAGGACCTTCTGGGTGCTGTGGTGCTTGGTGACCGTTGCTTGCCCCTAAGTGCTTCCCCTGTCGTTGCTTGCCCCTGAGTGCTTCCCCTGTCTATGGAATAGCTGCTGGCTTCTTCTTTACCCACATGGTTCCATGGAGCTGACTGAGGGTTGGCTGATCAAAGATTTCATAGCTGAGTGTGGATGTCTGCTTAGTGATACGTGTGAGTCAGTTCTTGTAAGGGCATTCTAAAGAGAAGTAAACTGGAATTGTAAAAAGCATATAGGCTTTTCTTCTCTGTTGGTGGAAGAATGTCAGATTGAGATGACCTATGTGGCATTTCATGGGATTCAGTGAATAGACCGCGGTTGCATGTCTCTGTATGCCGCATGCATGGTGGGTTGCTCTAAGCTGCTGGCAGCCCTACTGTGTGTGTCTGCTGGGCTCCCACTTTCCATGGCGGCTGTTCCAAGCCTCTTCACCCCTCCTCCTCCCATCTGCCCCTGCTGAGCCCTCTTCCTCCTTCCCAGCTCCTGGAGACTCTTTTCCCCACCTCTTCCCACACCCTCTACCATCACACTCACAGATTTACCCTCTCTAACACACCCGGTGCTCCCCTCTTTCATGGCACTTGCCACAGTGGATTTTGACGTCTTCTTGTGGGATTATTTGGTCATATTTTTCTTCCCTGTCTTTTGCTTATGATTAGATCCCTAGCACCTGTAACATGGCGGCCCTTGGTGACTGATTGAATGGATGAATAGAGGGAAGCATCCTGGGTTATAAGAGCTGGGCAGCCCGTTAGAGATCTTATCTAACCTGCAAGAGTTCCAAATGAGGAAACAGGCCCAGAGAGAAGATCCTAGAAAGACAAAGGCAGACAGGGGTGGCAGAGGAGGGAATACACTCCAGATCCATCAACTTGCCATTAATGGTCTGCCTGTCTGGGTCCATCTGCCCTGGGGGACTCTGTGCCCTGGGCTTTCCACGATGCTTCCAGCTCGGAGTCATCGGTAGAACTGACCAGAAAATGGCCTTTTTCTCTTCCATTCCACCCTCCTCCCCGATTGTACTATCAATCATTGTTACTTATGAAAACACTTAATAGTATTTATAAATCTAGACATTTAAAATGGCTTACTGAGCCTGGGTAAAATAGCAAGACCTCCTCTCTACGAATAATACAAAAAATTAGCCAGGCATGGTGGGGTGTGACTGTATGCCCCACTACTCAGGAGGCTGTGGTGGGAGGATACCCTGAGCCCGAGTGGTTGAGGCTGCAGTGAGCCGTGATCGAGCCATTGCACTCCAGCCTTGGCAACAGAGTGAGACCCTGTTTGAAAAAAAGAAAAAAATATATATTTTGACATAAATAAAATATCTTGTTAAAGTTAATTTAACCTGTTTTTACTTTTTTAAATGTGGTGACTAGACCTTTTTTTTGAGATGGAGTCTTGGTCTGTCACCCAGGCTGGAGTGCAGTAGCATGATCTTGGCTGACTGCTACCTCCCCCTCCTGGGTTCAAACAAATCTCCTGCCTCAGCCTCCCAAGTAGCTGGGATTACAGGCGTGTGCCACCAGGCCCAGCTAATTTTTGTGTTTTTAGTGGAGATGAGGTTTCACCATGTTGGCCAGGCTGGTCTTGAACTCCTGACCTCATGTGATCTGCCCACCCCGTCGGCCTCCCCAAGTGCTGGGATTACAGGTGTGAACTGCCACGCCCAGCCTTAGACATTTTTTAATTACCCACGTGGCTTGAATTATATTTCTATGCACAGCTTTGGGCTGGAGCTCTAGAGAATTATTATCAAATTTGGACATGTGAACAAATCTCCTGGTCTTTTTTTTTTTTTTCTCTCTTTTTTTGAGAAAGGATCTTGCTCTGTCACCCATGCTAGTGTTAGTCATGATCACAGCTCACTGCAGCCTTGAACTCCTGGGCTCAAGCCATCCTCCTGCCTCAGCCTCCTACAGGAGTGTGCCACTATGCCTGGCTAATTTTTTTTTTTTCATTTCTCTTTTGTAGAGATGGGGGTCTCTTTATGTTGCCCAGGCTGGTCTCAAACTCCTGGGCTCAAATGATACCGCTGACCATGGCCTCCCAAAGTACTAGGATTATAGGCATGAGCCACTGTGCCAGGCCCTCCTGGAGACCTTGACAAAATGCAGATTCTGACTCAGTGGATCTGGGCTGGAGCCAGGATTCTGCATTTCTTGCAAGCTCCCCAGTGATGCTGGTGTTGCTGGCCTGAAGACCACATTTGGCATACTAAGGCTGAACACGTTAACTCACGGCTCTCAAACTTGAGTATGCATCAGAATCATCCTGAAGGTTTGTTAAAAATACATCACTGGTCTCCACCCCGAGAATCTGTGATTCAGGAGGTCTGAGTTGGGGCCTGAGAACCTGCATTTCTACGAGTTCCCAGGTGATACTGATGCTGCGGGCCCTGCCACTGTGCTTTGAGGATAGCTGCTTTGAATGGTAATGAGGTGATCTGTTTCTAGAAGGTTTTAAATATGTCATTATGACATGTTTGGACCTGGTACGTTTTTAGTAGTTCTTTAATAATATTCACAAAATTTTTCAGTACTGTTGCTCTGTTAGTTTTCTCTTTGGAGGAGGAGTAGATTCGCAAATTGCATTTTGCTAGAAAATCATTAGTTTCATGAACTCTTTCAAGTTATTTGAATAGAGTCTACCTATATATTGTATCTATGCATCCCCCATTTTTTAGTATTTGCATTTTCTTTGATTAGGCTACCCAGTGGTTTACCTAGTTTGCTTTTAAGAGAAACAACTTTTTAATACATTGATCAATTTTATAATTTTTCTGATTTCTAATAGTTTAACTTCTGCATTTATCATCTTTTCCTTCCTCTTCATTTGGGTTTATTTTCTTGCTCTTTTCTGTAAAACATGCTTAGTTACATGCTTAGTTCATTTTTTTTTGTTTAGTTCTGTAATGCTAACAGCAATGAAGTTTTCTCTGAGTGTTATATAATTTAAATTTTGATATGTGGTATTTTCATTATTTTTTTCCTAGATATTGTGCTTTTTTTTTTTTTTTTTTTCTGACAAGCTCGAACTCCTGGGCTCAAGCCATCCTCCTGCCTCAGACTCTTGAGTAGCTGGGATTACAGGTGAACACCACCATGCACAACTAATAGTTTATATTTTTTATAGGGACGAGGGTTTCACTATGTTGCCTAGACTAGTCTTGAACTACTAGGCTCAAGGAGTCCTCCCACCTTGGCCTCCCAAAGTGCTGGGTTTATAGGCATGAACCGCTGTCCTCAGTCAATTCTGCAATTTTTAAATTCTTTTATTTTTGTTTTTGTTTTTCATTTCTAATTCTGTTGCTTTGTTAGAAAATGAATTAAGTTGGCCAGGTGTGGTGGCTCATGCCTGTAATTCCAGCACTTTGGGAGGCTGAGGTGGGAGGATCACTTGAGGCCAGGAGTTCGAGACCAGCCTGGCCAACATGGCAAAACCCCATCTCTACTAAAAATACAAAAAAAAAAAAAAAAAAGATTAACCAGGTGTGGTGGTGGGTGCTTATAATCCCAGCTACTAGGGAGGCTGAGGCTGGAGCATGGCTTGAACCCGGGAGGTGCAGTGAGCGGAGATCACGCCACTGTACTCCAGCCTGGGCGAGTGAGACTCTGTCTCAAAAAAAAAAAAAAAGGAAAAAGAAAGAAAATGAATTAGGTGCTATTCTGACCTTTGGGAATTTGAAATTTTCTTTGTGACCTAATATATTGCCTATTTTTCTAAGTGTTTCATGGGTGTCTGAAATGGGTGTGTTCTCTTGTTTTCATTGCGTAGCATTGATAAACGTCTATTGGAGCAACACTATCAATGAATGTCATATTTGCTATTTCATGTTTTTATACTTTAGGCGCTTTGCTGCCCTTACGGGATACAGAAAGGTCTGTGACAGTTTGTTTGTTTGTTTTTGGAGACACAGTCTCACTCTGTCGCCCAGGCTGGAGTGAAGTGGCGCAATCTCTCTCGGCTCACTGCAACCTTTGCCTTCCGGGTTCAAGCGATTCTCCTGCCTCAGCCTCCTGAGTAGCTGGGACTACAGGCACCCACCACCAGGCCCAGCTATTTTTTATATTTTTAGTACAGATGGGGTTTTGCCACATTGGCCAGGTTGGTCTCGAACTCCTGACCTCAAGTGATCCTGCCTTGGCCTCCCAAAATGCCGAAATTACAGGTGTGAGCCCCGGCGCCTGGCCATCTATGACAGTTACAACTCCTCGAAGGCTGCCCCTTTGTTCCTCTCTAGCGCTTCTGTGTGCAGTATATTGTCTTGAATTCCGTGCTGCCTGATGGTTTGTCACATCTCTATTTTGGTAACTGCCATGGATGGATAAATGAGAATATTGTTGTTTGAAGAGTTAAGACATTTGTGTTAGATCATGTAGCTGCCTAGTGTCAGGCCTTCACCTGGTCATCCTGACTGCCTGGTCTGTCCTTGCTCTGTGGTAGGCCCCTCACAGGTGGCAGTAGCTCTCCTTTGCCTCCCCTGCCTTGATTTTCAGTTTAGGCCCAGCTGGGATGGTCTCCAGTATCTGCCAGGCTTCCCCCAGCTCCCAGCAGCTCTTATCAAACCAGAAGTCCAGCCAGCAGGGGAGGAAGGAATGTTGGCTGGCCACTTTAGGTACAACATGCGGGAGTAAGGGTCAGCTCGAGGCAATGTTGTGAAATCCCGAAATCATTCTTTGGAGGTTAAATTTAATGTAAGGCATTTCCATCTTGGACCCTGCCCCGGTCCTTCAGGGACCCACGGCTCCATTGTTCCCCAGGTCTCAGCAAGGCCTTTTTCACTTAACACCGTGTTGGTGCTCATCGCAGCCCCAGTAAATGGCAGCCATTTGGACGTTCCTTATTTTCACGAGCTTCAGGGGCAACCTCCCATGGTCCTTTTTGGATGTTCTTTTTGCATTAGCTTCATGTCCAAAGTTGGTATCATTCTCAACAGCTTCCATTTGTGCAGCCTTCTGCCTAGGGTTCGTTCCCATCTCAGTCAAAGGCTCCAGTGACTTAAGCGCCTGGTGCTCAAGCAGACAGTCTGGGCACCAGCTCCCTGTCCAGCCCTCCACAGGAGACGCCAGTAAGGACGGAGTCCTGTGGGCTCCACCTCCAAAATCTGTCCCGTATCCACCCACTTCTCAGCACGTCCATCGAAGCCACCTTCATTGCGTTCCTGTGTTTTTGCAACAGACTCAGTTGTCTCCCGTTTCCCTTTCATTCATTTGCCCCACAGCAGCCAGAGTGATCTTTTTAAAAGCACCCTATCACAGATCACCTGGGGTCGGAAGTTGGAGACCAGCCTGACCAACATGGAGAAACCCCATCTCTACTAAAAATAGAAAAAATTAGCTGGGCATTGTGGCGCATGCCTGCAATCCCAGCTACTCGGGAGGCTGAGGCAGGAGAATCGCTTGAACCCGGGAGACGGAGGTTGCGGTGAGCCGAGATCTCGCCATGGCACTCCAGCCTGGGCAATAAGAGCAAAACTCCGTCTCAAAAATAAATAAATAAATAAATAAAAGCACTGTATCACATGGCTCTCCTGCATGAAACCCTCCATGGCTTTTCTGTGCCCTCGATGTAAAATTCTTACTTGCGACCCTCACTTCCAGACCCCTAGCTTCCTGACTAGCTAGACTTCCTGACCCCTAGCTAGACTTCCTGACTAGCTGGTCAGGCCCCAGGGTACTCCTCTCCAGCCACCCTGGCTCCATCCTGCCTTGGTCCTATGCCTGGAAGACCCCCCACCCACCACCCCAGCCTAGCAGGGCAGGCTGCTTCTTATCGACCCGATCCCAGAAGACTGCTCACCCAGAAGACTTCTCCAGACTACCAGCCAGCCCGGTCCCTCTAGGTGACCCCGTTTTAATTATCTGCATTCCACAGCCCACTATTAAAGCCCACTGTATAAGTTATCTTTGCCTTTTTGGGGGTATTAATTTTGTAATTAATATCCTTGCATAACTCATTGTGTAAATTTTTGATTATTTTAAAGTTGCATGGAGATGTTTAAATAAAACTTTACCAATGGTCGGGCACAGTGGCTCATGCCTGTAATCCCAGCAGTTTAGGAGGCCGAGGCGGGCGGATCACTTGAGGTTAGGAGTTCAAGACCAGCCTGGCCAACATGGTGAAACCTCGTCTCTACTAAAAATACAAAAAAATTCGCTGGGCTTGGTGGTGGGCAAGCTTGGGAGGCTGAGGCAGGAGAATCACTTAAACCCAGGAGGCAGAGGTTGCAGTGAGCTGAGATCACGCCTCTGCACTCCAGCCTGAGTGACAGAGTGAGACTCCATCTCAAAAAAAAAAAAAAAAGAAAAGAAAGTTGCATGCCCAGAAGTGGAATTACTGGTAAAATGGATATAGACATATTGAAAGCTGTTTGTATATACTACTAACTTGTTTTCCAATGAAGTTAGAAGAAGTTAAAAGAACCAAGTGCTTTTAAGAAGCTTGGTTCGTGTACCTGGCAGGATGATGTGTGATTGTTTTAATGTGCATTTCTTGGATTTCCAGTGAGAGTAAACATATTTTCAAGAGCTTATCAGCCATTGTACTCCTATTTGTGTGACTGCGCTGTTCCTGGCCTTGCTCCTGCATCCCCTGGGCTGGGCTGCAGGTTGCACAACTCCAGGGGAAGCCCTTCACTTTGTATGTGCTGGAACTCTGCTCCGAGAGCATGAAGGACCTGCAATTGTTCTCAGTGGCTAAGCTGCTTGGTGGATTGACTTTTTGGCATAGTCTCCAGAACTTCAATGTGTGATGTTTCTTTCTATCCCAAATGCTTGGGGGATTGCCCAGTGATTCCTAAAAGACTGTAGGCCCCAGGGGATTTCAGCAACACTTCTCTGGGAGCTGAGTTCAGGTCCTCCTTACCTGTTCCTTCCAAGGGGAAAACTTTCTTTTTCATTTTTTGAGACCAAATCTCACTCTTGTCGCCCAGGCTGGAGTGCAGTGGCGCTGTGTCAGCTCACTGCAACCTCTGCCTCCCAGGTTCAAGTGATTCTGCTGCCTCAGCCTCCCAAGTAGCTGGGATTATAGATGTGTGCCACCAGGCCCGGCTAATTTTTGCATTTTTAGTAGAGACGGGGTTTCACCATGTTGGCCAGGCTGGTCTCAAACTCCCGACCTCAGGTGATCCGCCCGCCTTGGCCTCCCAAAGTGCTGGGATTACAGGCGTGAGCCACCACACCCAGCTGAAATTGGCTTTTTGAAGAGGGTAGAGCATTACTGTCTGGACCGCATGTGGGTGACTCTATAATGCCAGCTTGGCCAATGAGAATTCCGTTCTTAGTGACAAGAGTAACTTTGCTGGGTGGCTCTACACAACTGTATGCAGAGGGGAGCCCCTCTAAAGAGCTAAAGATCAGCTCGTTATTTAAACTTCCAGTTTCTGTGAAGCCAAGTTGGAATTTAAAGCATGGTGTGTCTGTGTCCAGAGTCCCCAGGGGGAGCCTCCTAGTGAGCCTCACTGGACCTTTGTTTTTGTGAAAAGAAAATCACTTAATTGCTGTGGAGTCACATTTTCCTGGTGACTTTGCTGCAGGGCATGACGATTTCATTGTCCCTTGGTGGAGGAGGAAGTAGAGAGACAAAGGATGGGGTGAGGTGCCCAGGGGCTCCTGAGTCACCAGGGGAGGCAGGGAACACAGGGTCCCCCTGGAAGCTTCTGGGCCTCCCCTCTCAGGTGTGGGGGCCCCTCTTGTGTGGCTGCAGGAGTGAGGCTAGGGCAGGTGGCCCCTCTCATCAAGGTACTCTGACAGTGGCCGGGCACTGGCGGGCCTGGGGTTTTGGGTTATCCAGAGCGGGCATGCTAGCACCTGCTTTCACGGATGGAGACTGGCTTTAGGGGAAGGCTGGGGGTCAGGACCAGCTGACATGTGGCCACCAGTGAAGTGACCTGGGGCAAGCTTCTGGGCCTCTGTGCACTCCATTTCCTCAGCTCTAAGGGCCTTGGCTTTGTGTGTGGAGCATTCAGATATAAATCCTTAGTGGTTTTCTGGGGGCAAAGAGAAGCTCCCAGATGCCCTCCCTCCGATCCTGCCGTGTAACCTGGTTGCGCTCTTCCCAGGCATCTGGGTTCCTCCCTCCCTCCCTCCTTCCCTCCTTCCTTCCTTCCTTCCTTCCTTCCTTCCTTCCTTCCATGGAGTCTCGCCCTGTGGCTTAGGCTGGAGTGCAATGGCATGATCTTGGCTCGCTGCAATCTCGCTTCCCGGGCTCAAGTGGTTCTCCTGCCTCAGCCTCCCGAGTAGCTGGGATTACAGGCACGCACCACCACACCCAGCTAATTTTTATATTTTTAGTAGAGACAGGGTTTGGCCATGTTGTCCAGTCTGGTCTCCAACTCCTGACCTCAGGCGATCTGCCCACCTCGGCCTCCCAAAGTGCTGGGATTATAGGCGTGAGTCACCACGCTGGCCTTTCTGGGTAATTTCTGACAACCAAACAACTCTATCCTGCGTTTGCTAGAATTTTCCAGAAAATCCAGGGAGGGAGAAAGCCTTCTCTTTGGTGTTGCATAGACTTGCCCTCAGGATCCTCAGAACCTGTATCCACTACTCCTCAGCGGGAGAGCTGGAGGTGGGAGACCCAACCCTTCCTTCTACAAAGAAGGGAGCGGCCTGTGCAGTTTGCAGGGCAGAAACCCTGGAGACACTGTGTCTTAAGGCTACATAAGAATCTCCTCTGCTCGGGCCCTGCGATCTGCAGCCTCAAGTATTCACCTCCAATTCCAGCCCTCCTGCTGGGGTGCAAGGCTTCTAGGCACCCGCCGGCTGCTCCTCTCCCCATACCCCTGGACTGGAAGAGTCCTGGGGGCCCTGCATGGCAGGAATGTCCTGGCTGTGGGTGCGGAAGAAGAGGAGACAGATCTCAGGAGCCCCCCTCACCGTTGGGATAGAAGCCCTTCAGCCATCCTCTACCCCAGGGCCATTCTACCACCCCTGAACGCCTTGGGGTCCAGGGTTTAGAAATCAGCAGGGCTAAGAGGTGCCCCCGTAGTGTTTGTGGAAAGGAAGGAAAGGGCACGTTCGGTACAGACCTGCCACAGGCAGATTTGTGAAGCTCCTGGGCGGCCCCTTCTCGCCTGATCCCCCACCGCAGCTTGCCCGTGTCTGGAGGCTGCCTGCCCAGCACCCAAAGGCCTCCAGTCCCTACCTGCCCTGCCTCACACCTGGGCAATGCCCCCCACTCCTCCCACTCCATCTTACCCAATTTCTTCCCTTGGGGATTCCCCAGATGACTATCGAGGTAAGGGGCTGGGCCTGAGTAGCACGCCTCTGTCTTACTCCTTTATTTACTCACTGCTTTGTCTATTTGAATTACCATGATTGACTTTTTGTTTTTTGAAACAGGGTCTCACTCTGTTGCCCAGGCTGGACTGCAGTGATTCAATCACTCCTCACTGCAACCAGCCTCACCCTCCTGAGTTGCTGGGACTACAGGCACACCCCACTACCCATGGCTAATATTTATTTATATATATATTTATTTATTTGGTAGATACAGGGTCTCGCTATGTTGCTCAAGCTGATCTCGAACTCCTGGGCTCAAGTGATCCTCCTGTCTTGGCCTCCCAAAGTGCTGGGATTACAGGTGTGAGCCACCACACCTGATCTCATTCTGTTTTAGAGACTTCTTGGTGGTCCATTATATCAGATGGGTCCCTAGTTGACAAACATTGAAATGGCTTCCTGTCTTTTGTAATTACAAACCATTCTGCCACAAAATATGGTGTTTGTAGCACATGAGCCAGTATAGCAGAAGAATACATTTCTGGAAGTTCAATGGCTCACACCTGTAATCCCAGCACTAGGGAGGCCAAGGCAGAAGGATGGCTTGAGCCCAGGAGTTGGAAACTAGCTTAGGCACCATAGGGACGCCCTGTCTGTACAAATAATAATAATAATAAATTAGACCGGGCGAGGTGGCTCACGCCTGTAATCCCAGCACTTTGGGAGGCCGAGGTGGGTGGATCACTTGAGGTCAGGAGCTCAAGACCAGCCTGGCTAACATGGTGAAACCCCATCTTTACTAAAAATACAAAAATTAGCCAGGCATGATGGCGGGCACCTATAATCCCAGCTACTCGAGAGGCTGAGGCAGGAGAATAGCTGGAACCCGGAGG
This sequence comes from Homo sapiens, assembly GCF_000001405.40. Lineage (NCBI taxonomy): Eukaryota > Metazoa > Chordata > Mammalia > Primates > Hominidae > Homo > Homo sapiens. Next base: position 10,743,915 of record NC_000002.12, read on the forward strand.
CGGAGGTTGCAGTGAGCCAAGATTGTACCACTGCACCCTAGCCTGGGCAACAGCGAGATTCAGTCTCAAAAAAAAAAAAAAAATAATAATAATAAATAAATAAATAAATAAATAAAATTTAACCAGGCATGGTGGTGTGTGCCTGCAGTCCCAGCTACCTGGGAGGCTAAGGTAGGAAGGTCCCTTGAGCACAGGAGTTTGAGGCTGCAGCGGGCCATGTAACGCCATTGCACTGCAGCCTGGGTGACAGAGTGCGACCCTGTCTCGAAGGAAACAATACAGCTTTTTTAGAATTTGTCTAGGAGGTTTTCTGGTTTTCACCAGAACCAACCCTTGCCTGCAAATGTTTGATAGATACTCTAAAATTACTCTCTAGTGAGGCTGTACCAATCAACACCTCATCTCAGCAGTGCGTTGATGCTCCTGTTTCCCCAAGGACTGCCAATGCTGTATTAGGAGTTTTCTTTATACACTGAACTAATTGGTGTAAAAGATATTCCTGTGCAAGTGAGGTTGAGCTTTCTTCCTCACGCTTATGAGCTATTTGTTGATGCTCTTCTGTGAACCTATAGACGAGCATTTGACCAGGCCTCCTCACCTTTAATGCTGCAGATGTTTAACTTGGGGAAATTCTAGTATCTGACACTTGAACTACGTAAGGGGAAATTCTAGTATCTGACACTTGAACTACATAAACAGGTCTCACTGTTACAATAATTGTCCCCATGCTTGATGGGTTTTTTTTTCTCTTTTTCTTTTTTTTTTTTTTTTTTGAGACAGAGTCTCACTCTGTTGCCAGGCTGGAGTGCAGTGGCGTGATCTCGGCTCACTGCAACCTCTGCCTCCTGGGTTCAAGCAATTCTCCTGCCTCTGCCTCCCGAGTAGCTGGGACTACAGGCGTGCGCCACCACGCCCAGCTGATTTTTTTGTATTTTTTGTAGAGATGGGGTTTCACCATGTTGGCCAGGATGGCCTCAATCTCTTGACCTCGTGATCTGCCCGCCTCAGCCTCCCAAAGTGCTGGGATTACAAGCATGAGCCATCGCACCCGGCCTATTTTTAAGAATATGGGTTTATTACTTTAAAATGTATTTTTATCATTTATTACCATTTGTTTATTTATTTTCTTTTTTTTTTTTTTTTTTCTGAGACGGAATTTCATTCCTGTTGCCCAGGCTGGAGTGCAATGGCACAATCTCGGTTCATTGCAACCTTGCCTCCCGGGTTCAAGCAATTCTCCTGCCTCAGCCTCCCGAGTATCTGGATGCCTGCCACCACACCCAGCTAATTTTTTTGTATTTTTAGGAGAGATGGGGTTTCACCATGTTGGCCAGGCTCGTCTCAAACTCTTGACCTCAGGTGATCCACCCACCTCAACCTCCCAAAGTGCAGGGATTATAGGCATGAGCCACTGTGCCCAGCCTATTTGTTACCTTTTTAACCGTTTTTTTTTTTCTTTAGACAGAGTCTCACTCTGTCGCCCAGGCTGGAGTGCAGTGGCACCATCTCAACTCACTGCAACCTCCACCTCCCTGATTCAAGTGATTCTCCTGCCTCAGCCTCCCAAGTAGCTGGGACTACACACCCTGGTAATTTTTGTATTTTAAGTAGAGACGGGTTTTCACCATGTTGGCCAGGCTGGTCTCAAATTCCTGATCTCAAGTGATCCACCTACCTCTGCCTCCTAAAGTGCTGGGTTTACAGGCATGAGCCACCACGCCCGGCCAACCATTTTTAAGTGTACAGTTCAGTGGCGTTAAGTACGTTCACACTGCTGTTACAACCGTCACCACCCTCCACCCACAGGACTTTTTCCATTTTGAAGAACTGAAACTGTATTCATTAAACAGTGACTCCTCCTTTCCTCCTCCCCCAGGCCCTGGCAACTACCTTTCTACTTTCTCTCTGTATGAATTAGGCTATTTTACGTACCTCCTATGAATGAAATCATATAGTGTTTGACCTTTTCTGCCTGGCTTATTTTACTCAGCATGATGTCTTCAATGTCTTACAGCATGTCAGAATTCCCTTCCTTTTAAGGCTGACTAGTGCCGCATCGTATGGACACACCACATTCTATGTATCCACTCAGCTATTGATGGATGCTTGGGTCGCTCCCACCTTTTGGTTATTTTTGTTTGTTTGTTTTTGAGATGGAGTTTGTGACCTCCACCTCCTGGGTTTAAGCAATTCTCCTGCCTCAGCCTCCCGAGTAGCTGGAACTACAGGTGTGTGCCACCACACCCGGCTAATTTTTGTATTTTTAGTAGAGATGAGGTTTCACCATGTGGGCCAGGCTGTTCTCAAACTCCTGACCTCAAGTGATCTGCCCACCTTGGCCTCCCAACATGCTGGGATTACAGGTGTGAGCCACTGAGCCCAGCCTTGGCTATTGTTAATAATGCCGCTATGTTTATTTTTATTAGTTATTTATTATTTATTTTGTTATGATTTACTATTTTATTTTCAGTTTCTCTTATTTCCTTTTTTTTTTCTTCTTCTTTTTTCTTTTTTTTGAGACAGAGTCTCCCTCTGTCACCCATGCTGGAATGCAGGGGCCCAATCTCAGTCCACTGCAACCTCCACCTCCCAGGTTCAAGCAATTCTCGTGCCTCAGCCTCCGAAGTAGCTGGGATTACAGGCGCCCACCAGCACGCCAGGCTAGTTTCTGTATTTTTAGTGAGATGTGGTTTCACCATGTCGACCAGGATGATCTTGATCTCTTGACCTCATGATCCACCCGCCTCGGCCTTCCAAAGTGCTGGGGTTACAGACATGAGCCACCCCGCCCAACCGTAGTTTCTTTTATTTTCTATTTGCAAAAGTAATATGTTTTTAACAAATTAAAACATAGCATTACATAAATTCATGGAAATTGCAGGTCTCCATTCTTGTATCCATGAAGATAATAGCCAGTGTCAACAGTTTGGTTTCTTTTCTTTTAGGATTCTTATTTAGGTATATACTGACATAATTTTTTAAGTGGGGTTATATGCTTTACATGCCTAAATGCTTTATTTTGAACCAATTTCAAGTTTCCAGAAAATATGAAAGACAATGAAAAGAATTCTCAGCCAGGTGCGGTGGCTTGCGCCTGCAATCCCAGCGCTTTGGGAGGCCAGGGCAGGTGGATCACTTGAGGTTGTGAGTTCCAGACCAGCCTGACCAACATGAAGAAACCCCGCCTCTACTAAAAATACAAAATTAGCCAGTCATGGTGGTGCATGCCTGTAATCCCAGCTACTCGGGAGGCTGAGGCAGGAGAATTGCTTGAACCCGGGAGGTGGAGGTTGCAGTGAGCCGAGATCACACCATTGCACTCAAGCTTGGGCAACAAGAGTGAAACTCAGTCTCAAAAAAAGAAAGAAAAAAAAGAAAAGAATTCTCATACTTTTCATATACTTTTACCACATCTGCTTTCTCTCTGTTTTTGTCTCTGCTTCTGTCTTTTCTGTCTCTCTTTCTGAACTCTGAACTTCTTCAACAGTAAGTTACAGACATGATATTCCTTTACCTCTAAAAACTTTAGGGTGTATTTCTTAAAAATAAGGACATCCTCTTATATAACTTTAGTATGATGATCAAAATCAGGAATGCAATACTGGTACTCGGTCTACAGATTTCACTTGGATATCACCGCTTGTCTCAATAGTGTGCTTTCTAAGCTGGGGACAGTGGCACATTTCTGTAGTCTCAGCTACTCAGAAGGCTGAGGTGGGAGGATCACTTAAGGCCAGGAGTTTGAGACCAGTCTGGACCACACAGCAAGACACCATCTCTTTGAAACAAAAAAAAAAAGCACACTTTCTACCAAAATAAAATGTCATATTTTCTCAGATAATAATAAAAACTGAGATGGCTTCCTGTCTTCTGTCATAAATTGTCATGTCTCTTTAGCCTTATTTAAACTGGAACACTTATACAGACTTTTTGACTTTTTTTTTCTTTTTCTTTTTCTTTTTTTGAGATGGTGTCTCGCTTTGTTACCCAGGCTGGAGTGCAGTGGCACAATCTTGGCTCACTGCAACCTCTGCCTCCCAGGCTCAAGCAATTTTCCTGCCTCAGCCTCAAAGCTTTCCAGCCTAAACCTGGAAGAGTTTAGGGTTTAGAGTAGCTGGTATTACAGGCATGCACCACTACGCCCGGCTAATTTTTGTATTTTTAGTAGAGATGGGGTTTAGCCATGTTGGCCTGGGTGGTCTCGAACTCCTGACCTCGTGGTCCACTTGCCTTGGCCTCCCAAAGTGCTGGGATTACAGGTGTGAGCCACTGCACCCAGTCTTTTTGACCTTGATGGCTCTGAGTTTTTTAAGTGTTTAGGTCAGTTATTTTGTAATATGCTCCTTAATTTGAACTCGTGCTGCTTCCTCATGGCTAGACGGAGGTTATGCAGTTTTGGCAAAACACTGCACAAGTGATGTTGTTTTCCTCAGTGCGTTGCAGGAGGCACACAGCATTGGTCTTTTCCATGTGTATGATGTTAACTTTGGTCACTTGACTAAGGCAGTATCTGCTTAAATTTTTTTTTTTAAACAAGGTAAAAGATACAGTGAAATGTACTCATCTTAAGTGAACAGGCTGGAGAGTTTAGACAAATAAGTATCATCCATCAGTGTAACCAACATCCCAATCAAGGTCTTTATATATTGTTTACAGTGCTTTTTTAATTAAAAATATGGTTTGTCCATCTTTTATGGGTTAATATAAATTTTTTTCCTGGCATTTTACATAAAGCTGCCAGAGTTTACTTTAGACAAACATGGAAGAGCTAATTTCCATGGGCCTTGGAGAAGTGTAGATTTATGATCAATTTCTGCTTCTACCCTAGTTTACTGTGTAGGGTGACCTTTAGCTCTCTGAGTCTTAATTTTTTTCATCTCTAAAATGGGAATGTCACTTAGCTCAAAACTTTTTCTCAAGAATGGAGTCTTCTGGCTGGACACGGTGGCACATGCCTGTAATCCCAGCACTTTGGGCGGCCGAGTGGGTGGATTGCCTGAGGTCAGGAGTTCAAGACCAGCCTGGCCAACATGGTGACACCCTGTCTCTACTAAAAATACAAAAACTTAGCTGAGCATGGTGGCAGACACCTGTAATCCCAGCTACCAGGGAAGCTGAGGCAGGAGAATCACTTGAACCCGGGAGATGGAGGTTGCAGTGAGCCGAGATCACACCATTGTATTCCCGCCTGGACAACAAGAGCAAAACTCCGTCTCAAAAAAAAAAAAAAAAAAAAGAATGGAGTCTTCAAAACACCTAAAAAATTATATATATCAACAAATAAAATTTTTTAAAAGAGGCTGGGTATGGTGGCTCATGCCTGTAATCTTAGCACTTTGGGAAGCCGAGGCAGGAGGATCACTTGAGGCCAGGAGTTCAAGACCGGTCTGGGCAACATAGCAAGACCCTGGCCCTACCAAAAAAAAGTTTTTTTTAAATGAACAAGCCAGTAAAAAGCCGGCAAAATATATGAACATGCTATCCACAGAAGAAGAAAATAGCCTTTTATAGAGTCAAACATGAGAAAAGATGTCCAGCCTCACTGATGATCAAAGAAATGCAAATCAAAGCAACAACGAGATATAATTTTTCAGACATCAGATTGGCAGAGATTAAAAAGATTCATAATACCTGTGTTGGCAAGGGTTTAGGGAAGCAGACAGTCTCATACACTGAGGTGTGAGTGTATACTGACTTTGTACATGTGTAGGGTAGTTTAGTCTTGCTTGTTAAAACTGTAAATGTTCATATTCTTAATTCCAGAAGTTGCTTCCTTAGCAACTTATTTTTTCTTTTTAAATGCACTTTTCTTTTTAAAAATGTATTTATTTGTTTTTTAACAAAGTTCAGTTTTCTGATCCAGGCAACTTATTTTTTATCTATACCTGCACAAGTGAGCAAAATGTGTGTATTATTGTGACGCCATATCAAAGTGACAATAACTCAAATGTCCAATAGTAGAGAATTTGTTATGATACAGCTATGAAATGAAATACAGTACAGTAAATGAAAGGAATGAGGAACCAGTCTTCTCCCGTGAAAAGGTGTTCACAACAAACTGTGGAGTGAAAAAAGTACATTTAACACAGTATCTAGACTCTTAGTTCCCTTTCAATGAGAAAAATTTTCTGATTAAGTAATACTGCAATTCACTGATGACCATCGTTAATGATCACAGCTAAGTCAGGGCTGTTTGCGTTATGTGGAACCAGGGCTTTTTCTAGCAGTAGAACTTCATAGACCATGTTATTCTGAGACGTTTCTGGTGTCATGTATATGCCTAAGGGCCACAATTCTATGTAGTTAAAGACTTCACAGAAGGGCACGTGTGATGGCTCATGCCTGTAATCTCAGCACTTTGGGAGGCCGAGGCAGGTGGATTGCTTGAGCTCAGGGGTTTGAGACCAGGCTGGGCAGCATGGTGCAATCCTGTCTCTACCAAAAATACAAAAATTAGCAGGGCATGGTGACGGGTGCCTGTAGTCCAGCTACTCAGGAGGCTGAGGCAGAAGGATCACTTGAACCTGGAAGGTGGAAGTTGCAGTAAGCCGAGATAGCACCACTGCACTCCAGCCTGGGCGACAGGGTGAGACCCTGTCTCAAAAACGAAAAGCAAAAAAAAAAAACAAAACAAAACCTTCACAGAGGCTAGGACAAGGAGCACTAAACAGTCATTAGCAAAATGATGAGTGAGTTCTCTTTTTAGGTCTGTTAGGACAGAAACAAGTAGGGGTGCCAGAATTCATTGATTCATTCGGCAGACATTGCTGAGCAGCTGCTGTGAGTCAGGCACTGTGGTAGGTGCTGGATTTATGTAAACAAATAACTACTCAAAATATTATAGGGGATGTGGTGATAGGAGACAGCAACTCCCACAGGTCGCTGTGAGGATAAAAGAGGAACCGTTGGTAGCATTAAAATAGGAGCTCCGAAAGAGCAGGGACTTTGTTTTGTCCATGACATTTTAGAACAGTGCTTGGCGCATAGTAGTTGTTAGTGCTTGGCGCATAGTAGTTGTTAGTGCTTGGTACATAGTAGTTGTTAGTGCTTGGTGCATAGTAGTTGTTTGATATATGAAATTTGCTAAACAAATGAACCAATGAATTTATGGAGTCAGGGTCCCAACAGATAACAGAAGATGCACTTGCAAATTATGCCAGAGATAATTTGAGGAGAGGCTCATTATAGGGAGACAGAGTTATGTGTGGGCTATAGGAGAATCACAGGAACCCAGGCTGGTGGAGAGACATTGTCACAACCCCTAGGCTGGCAGGGACAAGAGGATTGAGGTCACTGGAACTGGGAGGGAACCAGACTCTCCCTCCTTCTGATCTCCTGCCAAATCTACCCAGGAGTCATGGGGCAGAGAACCCAAAACAGTCCACCCAGGTTGCCTAGAGCATATCTCAAGGTGTCTCTTGCAGACTCTGATACCTCACAATGGTATCAGGCACCAAACTCCATGAAGAATCCTGTGAGATAAGGAGTATCATCCCCATTTTACAGCTGAAAACTGTAAAAATGTAAAAACATTTTACAGACAAAACTGAGATTAGTTAGGTAACTTACCTGAGGTTATAATCAGTAAGACGCTATTAACTACTGTTCTAAGAAATGCCATCGCACGGATGGAGATTTAATCCCAGGATGGGCTACAGTGACGGTAAAGATAGCAGTGTGGCCTGGTGGCCGAGAGCCTCACTTTTGGAGTCCACATAACGACTGGATGGTTGGAAGGGATGGGGCACATTACTTCTCTGGGCCTCAGTTTCTCCATCTGTAAAATGAGATGATACCCAACTTTTGGGAATTTTTACGAGGATTAAATGAGGCAATGATTATAGAATGTTTGATACTTGCTCGACTCCACTAAATAATAGGTGATATCAAAAGAAGACCTTAACTCTGTCTGGCTGGGCGCAGTGACTCATGCCTGTAATCTCAGCACTTTGGGAGGCTGAGGCCTGAGGATCGCTTTAGCCCCGGAGTTCGAGACCAGCTTAGGCAATATAGTAAGACCTTGTCTCTACAAAAAAATTTAGAAATGAGGTGGAGGATCACCTGAGTCTGGGAGGTCAAGGCTGCAATGAGCTGTGATCATACCACTGTATTCCCATCCTACCTGGGTGACAGAGTGACATCCTGCCTCAAAAAAAAAACAACAACAACAAAAAAACCTTAACTCACATAAACCATGCAAGTGTTAAGCCTTTGGAAATATGCCAGAATATGAAATGTGTTCCCTCTTGGGTGGGGGAGTATGGTTGTTCAATTTTTGTTAACTACTTTATACTTGTATTTTTCCATTCTTGACCATAAACACATGACTCTGGGAGTCAGGAAAGCAAGTTGCTACCTCTGCCTCCTTCCTTTGCTTTTATCAGGGTGTCCCGTGTCCCTGCCTCTGTTTTCTGTGTTGGGCCCTAGGCCTCTGGGCTCCGGTCTGAGTGGCTGGGGTGGCCAGCGTCTGCAGCAGTGGAAGACCTTGTACTCCATGTAGGATTCAGTGACTTGAGTCCGCTCCTCCTGCAAACACCACCTCCCTCCTGAGGGCGGGGAGAATGTGGAGAGAGAGCCTGAGGCAATGATTTGGATCATCATAACTTTCAGACTTTGATCCTAGTTTGACTTGTTTTCCAACTGGAGTTCTAATGGCTTAGCCTTCTGGAGCAGACTCTCCTTGCTACCAGATGATTGGTTATGTCAATATTCATAATAATCCTGTAAAATGAGTATCATCCACATTTTATAGGTAATAGAACGGAGGCTCAAAATAATTACATCAATTTAGCTAAAATCGGCAGGGTGCGATGGCTCACACCTGTAATCCCAGCACTTTGGGAGGCCAAGGCAGGTGGATCACTTGAGGTCAGGAGTTTGAGACTAGCCTGGCCAACATGGCAAAACCCCGTCTCTACTAAAAATACAAAAATTAGCTGGGTGTCGTGGTGGGCCTCTGTAATCCCCGCTACTTGGGAGGCTGAGGAGGGAGAATCACTTGAACCCGGGAGGCGGAGGTTGCAGTGAGTCGAGATTGCACCACTACACTCCAGCCTGGGTGACAGAGCAAGACTCTGTCTCCAAAAAAAGAACAAAAGAAAAAAAGAAAAATTGGCTAAAATCCTACATTTGGTAATTGGCAGAGTTGTGGCCAATTTGAGCCCTTTTGCCTTCAAATGCTGTACTTTCTGAAGCCTTCAGTGTGTTTTTCAGAGACAAAAAGTTTTAATGTTCTAATTGTAAAAGCAATATCTGATTATAATTGGAAAATATGTAAAGTAGGAAAAACACTTTCACGTCGTCATAGCCAGTGCCCATACTGCCTGTAGGAGTTTGTATCTTGGTATTTTTCCAACATTATAATACACGCCTTGTTCCACAGTATTAGGAATTCTTTGAAGCTTTATATTCAATGGCTCTCTAATAATCCCTCAGCTGGATATACCATCATTTACTTAAACAATTCCTTATTGTCGGACCTTCCAGCTGTCTCCAGTTCTTTACTGTCAGCAGCGTGCTGTGAAGAACATCGTTTTATTCAGAAAGCTTTTTCTGTTTGTCCCATTTCCTTAAGATAGCTTCCCAGAAGTGGAATTACTGGTTCAAAGGCTATTAGCATTTTTTTTTTTTTTTTTGAGACGGGGTCTTACACTGTCACCCACGCTGGAGTGCAGTGGTGCAATCTCGGCTCACTGCAACCTCCACCTCCCGGGTTCAAGCGATTCTCCTGCCTCGGCCTCCCAAGTAGCTGGGACTACGGCGCCCACCACCATGCCTGGCTAATTTTTGTATTTTTAGTAGAGACGGGGTTTCACCATGTTGGCCAGGATGGTCTCGATCTCTTGACCTAGTGATCCGCCTGCCTTGGCCTCCCAAAGTGCTGGGATGGGATTACAGGTGTGACCCACTGTGCCCGGCCGCTATTGGCATTTTAACCCTCTTCATACATCTTGCCAAATTATTCCCCCAAAGGGTGTCACCAGCTACTTTTCCTGCCAGCAGCATGTGACAGTATTTTGAGGACAGCTTCCTACTCTAACCGGCTCTTTTTCTTCTCTCTCCAAAGCCTCATAAGGAGAATGGCTCAGAGCGTGGTGGAAGTCATGGAGGACTCAAAGGGGAAGGTCCAGGAGCACCTCCTGGCAAACGGAGGTAGGTAGGGCGGCCCTCTGATGTGGAGCACAATCTCCCCGCTCCCTCTAGACCAGAGTCGTCCTTGCTGTGGCCACACAGCAATCACCGAGATGGCCCAGGTCTCAGTGGATGCTCTGGATTGACACATTGGGCAGAGGCTCTGCACTTGCTTTTATTTATTTATATTATTATTATTTTGAGACAGAGTCTCCCTCTGTTGCCCACGCTGGAGTGTGGTGCAATCTTGGCTCACTGCAACCTCCGCCGCCCGGGTTCAAGCGATTCTCCTGTCTCAGCCTCCTGAGTAGCTGGGACTACAGGCACCCACCGCCACGCCTGGCTAATTTTTGTATTTTTAGTAGAGATGGAGTTTCACCATGTTGGCCAGGCTGGCCTCAAGCTCCCAACCTCAAGTGATCTGCCCACCTCAGCCTCCCAAAGTACTGTGATTACAGGCGTGAGCTACCATGCCCGGCCAATTTTTATTATGATAATTTTCTTTTCTTTTCTTTTCTTTTCTTTTCTTTTCTTTTCTTTTTTTTTGAGATGGAGTCTCGCTTGTCACCCAGGATGGAATGCAGTGGCGCAATCTCGGCTCACTGCAAGCTCCGCCTTCTGGGTTCACGCCATTCTCCAGCCTCAGCCTCCCAAGTAGCTGGGACAACAGGCGCCCGCCACCACACCTAGCTAATTTTGTGTGTGTGTGTTTTTAATAGAGATGGGGTTTCACCATATTAGCCAGGATGGTCTTGATCTCCTGACCTTGTGTCCGCCCGCCTCGGCCTCCCAAAGTGCTGGGATTACAGGCGTGAGCCACCGCGCCCGGCCTATTATGATTATTTTCTGAGACGTGGTCTTGCCCAGGCTGGAGTGCAGTGGTGTGATCATAGCTCACTGCAGCCTTAACCTCTCAGGCTCAAGGGGTCCTCCCACCTCAGCCTCTCGCTCACCAACACACCTGGCTAATATATATAGATATATTTTTTGAGACGGAGTTTTTCTCGTGTTGCCCAGGCTGGAGTGCAATGGCACAATCTCGGCTCACCGCAACCTCCCCCTCCCAGATTCAAGCGATTCTCCCGCGCTTAAGTGATTCTCCCACTTCAGCCTCCCGAGTAGCTGGGATTACAGGCATATGCCGCCATGTCCAGCTAGTTTTGTATTTTTAGTAGAGACGGGGTTTCTCCATGTTGGTCAGGCTGGTCTCGAACTCCTGACCTCAGGTGATCCGCCCGCCCTGGTCTCCCAAAGTGCTGGGATGACAGGCGTGAGCCACCGTGCCTGGCCACACCTGGCTAATATTTTTTATTTTTTGTAGAGATGGGGTCTCGCAATGTCGCCCAGGCTGGTCTTAAACTCCTGGGCTCAAGCGATCCTCCTGCCTTGGCCTCCCAAAGTGCTGGGATTCCAGGTGTGAGCCACTGTTCCTGGCTGGTGCACTGCTTTTAGCTCATCAGCACTGCTAGGTTTGGAAGTTGTTCCCCTTCATAAATTCATGGCTCTGCAGTTCCGCCTCTACTCTAACCAGCTGGTGAACTCCTCAGAGTGCTGCAGATAAACACAGGGTCCAGGGAGCTCAGCCCGGCTCCTACTGTTTGCCCCTCCACCCTCTCCAGAGCCACCACTCTCCCCACCTGGGCAATTCTGCCTCCTCACCTCACCCTCACCGATTTATCCCTTTGCCCAAATCAGGTATGAGAAATGCCTTCCTGTGCTGAGGAAGGCCTCCAGCCAGGCTTCAATTGCCGTCCAGTAAAAAGAACAGAGGCTGCACCCTGAAGGCTTCCTGCAGTGCAGTCACGTTGGGAATGTCTGCCTCGTTCGTGCTGATGGGACGAACCTTTAGATTCCAGTGATGTTTTGGCCCATTAACTGTGTGCATACTATTTCAGTGCCTTTAAAGTGTGCAAGGCAAAACCTTTGAGACTTTGGAAACTTTAGAATTAAATGTTTAAATATCTGTAGAGATAATTAAACTTACATGATTCTATGCGTATATATTGAAAATGAGAGTAGAGATTATACTGGGCCAGTGTGGTGGCTCACGCCTGTAATCCCATCACTTTAGGAGGCCGAGGCAGGCAGATCACCTGAGGTCAGGAGTTCAAAACCAGCCCAGCCAACATGGTGAAACCCCATCTCTACTAAAAATACAGAAAAAATTAGCTGGGCGTAGTGGTGCACACCTGTAATCCCAGCTACTTGGGAGGCTGGGGGAGGAGAATTGCTTGAACCCGGGAGGCAGAGGTTGCTGTGAGCCGAGATCGCACCATTGCATTCCAGCCTGGGTGACAGAGTGAGACTCTGTCTCAAAACAAACAAAAAACAACAATAGATAATACTGTATTTTTACTGTACCTTTTCCATGTTTAGAAATATTTAGATATATTGCCGGGCGCAGTGGCTCACACCTGTAATCCCAGCACTTTGGGAGGCTGAGGCAGATGGATCACGAAGTCAGGAGTTCAAGACCAGCCTGGCCAACATGGTGAAATACTGTCTCTACTAAAAATACAAAAATTAGCTGGGTGTGGTGGCTGGCGCTTGTAATCCCAGCTTCTTGGGAGGCTGAGGCAGAAGAATTGCTTGAACCTGGGAGGCGGAGGTTGCAGTGAGCCGAGATCGCACATTGTACTCCAGCCTAGGAGACAAGAGTGAAACTCTGTCTCAAAAAAAGAAAGAAAGAAAGAAATATTTAGATATACAAATACTTACCATGTGCTACAGTTGCGATAGCCTAGGTGTGTAGTAGGCGATACCACCTAGGTTTTTGTAAGTGCCCTCTGTGATGTTCACACAGTGACAAAAATCTCCTAATGACACATTTCTCAGAATGTATCCCTGTCATGAAGCAACGCATGACTGTTTACACTATATGTTTATAATAAGATTTATATCATTTGTTATAAATATAACATATATTTATAGTTTTCCCTCTTGAAAACATGAGGAGACTTTTTTTTTTTTTTTTTTTTTTTTTTTTTGAGACAGTCTCACTCTGTTACCCAGGCTGGAGTGCAGTGGCGCGATCTCAGCTCACCGCAACCTCTGCCTATCAGGTTCAAGCAAGTCTCCTGCCTCGCCCTCCAGAGTAGCTGGGATTACAGGCACCCGCCACCACACATGGCTAATTTTTGTATTTTTAGTACAGACTGGGTTTCTCCACGCTGGCCGGGCTGGTCTTGAACTCCTGACCTCAGGTGATCCGCCAGCCTCGGCCTCCCAAAGTGCTAGGATTACAGGCGTGAGCCACCGCGCCCGGCCAGAGGAGACTTTATTTGGCTGTTTAAATTGACATATGGAAATGTTCCTACCCCACCTGTGATCTTGGCTTTGTATGTCTATATGGCTTAATAACTCCACCTTATTATATTGCAGGCTTGAAAGGAAAAATGAAATGTTTAAAGAGTAGGTTATGCATTGTTTGCTGTGTCTGTGCTTGGCGTGATGCCCGCATGTCCCGGGAAGGTGGAATCTCGGTCTGGTTGTATTGGTACAGTGATCAAGTTACCACGATTTCTCAAGTAACAACCTTGTAACTTGGTCACAATATCCATATGACACAGATAACCACCATCTCATCCCCTCCCCTCTTTGTCCTGTCATCCCTGCCTCTCCTGGGCAGCACTGCATGCCGCCTGGAAGCTGGGAACGCTTTGACCTTGTGGAGTTCAAGGTGAACTCCTGTCTCTTTCTGCATGTGGTCTGCTTCTTGTTTTGATCCTGACACGATGTCCCGACTGCCTGCTCTTTGAGCCCGTCTGTTTTATGGACACTGGAACCTTAAACTCCAGGCTTCACTTTGTGTGGCCTTGATGGGGTTCAGACATACAAGGAGCCTCCAGGGCAGTCCCGGTGCCCAAACAGGTCTTTCCTTGTGTGAATGTTAGAGGGAGCCATTTGCTTTGGATTTTCCCCAACCCGCTCAAACTGGTAGAATTAAAAATAGCAAATCATTTTAGGTTGCATAAGAATCTTTAGAGATTGGCAGTTATCAAATGCCTTCCCAAATGCAGTTTGTTTGTCACACTGAGATTTTTTGCTGATGCTAAGAAAAAATTACCTTGTCAAGTTGACCAAGCGGGTCTGATTTCTCAGAAGGTCACTCCTCGGGCCCGGGACTGCAAGGCTGACTTCAGGTAGAGAACTACTTTTCTACATAAACAACAGAGGAACTTTAGCTTATATTAAAATAGTGATCAAAGTGCTTATGTTTTACGCAAAATTAATGTAACCTTAAGTTAGATGTTAGTATTATGCAGTATCCATCCCCAGTCCCGATGGTAGCAGCAGTGGCCTCTCTTCTCAGGAGAAGAAAATTCAGCTTCATTTGTTGAACGGGCTTTATGACCTCTGTGCCTCCCGTGAGTCGGGTCTCAACTTCCCAAGACTAGAGCTGGTAAAGCACATTCTGAAGCCTGGAGGCTGTAGGGAGGCTGAGGTGGGAGGATTGCCTGGGGCCGGGAGTTCGAGGCTATAGTGCCCTGTGGTTGTGCCTGTCCATAGCCACCACACGCCAGCCTGGACAACATAGCAAGACCTTGTCTCTTAAAACAAAACAAAACAAAACAAAACACAGCATGTGCTATAAACCAGGCCAGAGAGACCTTTTTTTTTTTTTCTTTTTCTTTTTGAGACGGAGTCTTGCTCTGTCGCCAGGCTGGAATGCAGTGGTGGGATCTCGGCACACTGCAACCTCTGCCTCCTGGGTTCAAGCAATTCTCCTGCCTCAGCCTCCCAAATAGCTGGGACTGTAGTCCCAGGCGTGTGCCACCATACCTGGCTAATTTTTGTATTTTCAGTAGAGACGGGGTTTCACCTTGTTGTCCAGGATGGTCTTGATCTCTTGACCTTGTGATCCGCCCGTCTCAGTCTCCCAAAGTGCTGGGATTACAAGTGTGAGCCACCGCGCCGGCCGAGAGGCCTTTAAACTTAGTTTGACTTGGGCTTTCCTAATATTACCTGAATGAGGAAATCTTTCTCTTCTGCAGGGCACCCATGAACTAGTGATTGACAGGATGAACCAGAGGCACACATTGTTGCATTTTAATCCTATCTCCTCCGGGGGCATTTAGGGCACCACTGCCTGCAGCCGGTCAGACCTGGTCCAAAAGTCACTTCTGGAGTTTCCTTTTCTCAACTGTAGATGGACTGAATGGCTTCAAAGGCTCTTGGCTTCGTCAGGACCGGTTGTTTCTGCTTGTTCCTTGCCTCCAGCAGAGCTGGGAGCAGGAAGGACACAGACAGCTTTGATTGCAGCCACAGCTGGCAAACACACCTTGCCCGGCCTGGGCCCTGGAATGCCCACAGAAGACAGAAACCCTCGAGGCTTGTCTGGCTTGCTGGGCGATGGGCCGCAGTCTGGTTGGTCACAGTCCCTCATGCTGCTGCCTGCCGGGCAGGCCTCCTTTTTGTTCTCGGACAAGACCATCATTGCTCAAGAGTTGCCAGCCTGTGCACAGCATATTTTGATGAGGGGTGAGCCTGCCTGGGTCATGGCCTGACCTCATGAGCCCTCAGCCAAGGTCTGCGTTGCCCCCTCTGAGGCCCAGGCTTTAGTGACTGCACCCCAGGCAGGGGAGGCAAGGCCTGTGTGTTCCAAGCAGCAGAGGGCAAGCTGTGGTGCTGTGAGTACAGAAGGCCGGAGGGGCTGGGCACGGTGGCTCACGCCTGTAATCCCAGCACTTTGGGTGTCTCAGCCTCATTCTGACAACAAGAGGTCTCAATCTGTCAACTAGAGACATTTAGTCAAAGGAGACTCCTCTATTATCTCACAATATCACTTTGCTCAGAGAGGTCAAGGAGCTTATATCAGGTCGCACAGCCAGTAGAAGTTGGAACTGGCATTTAAATGTGAGCCTTACTGGTTCAAAAGCCCTAGTTCCTACCACTGCTTTACTGGCTCCCAGATACCTCTCGCCAATTTTTCATTGGCTTGTGGTGAAATCAGAAAAATAAAGACAAGCAGTTTTTTGTTTTTTGTTTTTTTTTTTTTTGCTTTTTGAAAAAAAATATATAAATCTTATTTTAAAAAGCAAGATCTGGCTGGTCACGGTGGCTCATGCCTGTAATCCAGCACTCTGGGAGGCCGAGGCGGGCGGATCACCTGAGGTCAGGAGTTCGAGACCAGCCTGGCCAACATGGTGAAACCTCGCCTCTAAAAATACAAAAAATGGCTGGGTGTGATGGCGTGTGCCTGTAATCCCAGCTACTTGGGAGGCCAAGGCAGGGGAATTGCTTGAACCCTGGAGGCCAGAGGTTGCAGTGAGCCAAGATGGTGCCACTGCACTCCAGCCTGGGCGACAGAACGAGATCCATTTCAAAAAAAAAAATAGAAGGCCAGAGGGGTGGCAGAGGGCCGTCCTCAGACAACATTCTTTCCAAAGGCAGGGTGCGTGGACAGGGAAGGGCTTGGATGCCTGACCCAGGGCAAGGCTCAGTGTACACAGTTGGAGCTGGTGTTCAGGACATGTGAGAGATGAGGAAGAAGGCACAGTCACACACCCAGAGGCTTCTGGAGGCCCCTGCAGGGAGACATAATCTCAGACTTCCCTGAGCATCTGTCAGTAACCAAGCACATGCTGGACATGCAGAGGTGATACACAGTCTTTGCCTTCTGGAAGCCACAGCCTTGCTGGGGCTCATAGTGCCACATGCACCCCATGGTCTTTGGAAACAAAGACCAAGCTGCAGGAAGTGGGTTCAGTCTTGGAGGAGTTACAGGGCAGGGGTGCTTCAGATGGAAAGGGAGACCTCAGCCCTTTGGTCTGAATGCCATGAAGACCTTGGACTTGGTGCAAATGGCCAGAGACAAGAGCTTGATCTGAAATGTATCTCTTCCAAGCCACGTAGACAGTGCGAGCTGATACCACAGTCATGGTTGCCGGCGGGGGTCTGTCAGTGTTTGAGCATGTTTATGGAGCACTTGCTCTGTGCAGGGTACTGCGACAGGCTCTGGGAACACAGAGACCAGTGAGTCACAGTCTCTGTCCTCGAGGAGCCTGAGACAGCACAAGGAGTGGAGTTCAGGCCAGCAGGGGCAGGGACAGTTGGGCCACCCCTGGAAGGAGTTGGTCTTTGCCTGTCCTACGTGTTGAAGGACAGAGGTACTGTGAGAGGAGAGTAGGGAGTTGTGGGGACTTGCCTGGGGTGTCAGAGGGGACGGGGTAGGAGGTGGAGGGAAGAGATGGATGGGACAGCACACACCGCCCTGTCATCTCCCATCCTGGGCTGCCGCTTGGTGCCTTGAGACTGGTTCCCAGCTTGTGGGATGGCTCTGGGCCCATGGTGGGAGGTGAGCTTGCCTGTGCCTGTGCAATGGGGTCCTGGAGGTGAGTTTCACTGTCGTTCCTGCCACAGGAGGAGTCCCCGCCATCCTCCTGGTTACCCTCTGACCACTCCCTGCTCTTACTTCCACCCCGGGCCTGTACCCTTGCTACAAGGTCATTCCCATTGTGTGTGGCAATACCAAAGCCTGTATTAATACCCAAACTAATACCAATGTCTGAGTCAGCCTGGACTGCTGTCACAAAATACCACTGACTGGGCAGCTTAAACCACAGACTAAGATCAGACAACCTGGTTTCTCCTGAGGGCTCTCTGCCTGGCTTGTAGACGGCCACCTTCTTGCTGCATCGTCCCATGGCCTTTCCTTGGTGCCTGTATGAGGACAGGGAGAGCACGGATCCAACTCTCTGCTGTCCCTTCTTATATGGCCTCGAATCCTATTGGATCAGGGCCCCACCCTTAGTGCCTCAGAGGTACTCTCGTCAACAGGCCAGGACTCGCCATGTTAATTCCAACACCAGCATCCTAAGTCTGTAAAACAAATTCTCCCAAGGACTTCTTCCGAGTCCCGGTGGCCTAGAAGGTGTCTGAGTTTGGTTGCCGGGCAGGTTCCACCTGCAGCAAGGCTGTGTCCACTTAGTGCATGTGGCAGGGAGGGGAGCCGTGGCCCTGCCTGGGCCCTGCAGGGCGTTAGGTGCTTCACGCCTTATCTCACTTTATCCTGGAATTTCCACAGCTTGCTCTGTGCCAGCGTTTCCTCATCTGTAAGATGGAGATCATCATAGGGTTTTAATGGGGTTGAAGCATAAATTTTTTTTTTTTTTTTTTGAGATGGAGTCTCCCTTCGTTGCCCAGGCTGGAGTGCAGTGGCTCATTCTTGGCTCACTGCAACCTCTGCCCCCTGGGTTCAAGCGATTCTTCTGCCTCAGCCTCCCCAGTAGCTGGAACTACGGGCGTGTGCCACCATGCCCAGCTAATTCTTACATTTTTAGCAGGGACGGGGTTTCACCATGTTGGCCAGGCTGGTCTCAAACTCCTGACCTCGTGATCCACCTGCTTCAGCCTCCCAAAGTGCTGGGATTACAGGTGTGAGCCACCACGCCCGGCAAAGCATAAATTAAATGGAATAATTCATGTGTCTTGGCCCAAGGTCAGCAGCAGTAAGTGCCAGCCGCTTTAATGGTCATTGTCACCGTCGTCGTCCTGTTATCTTCAGGCCTTTCCTTCGTCTCACGTGCTGGCATTTCTTCCCCAGCCCGATTTCCTCCTCTGAGTCCCATTTCATTCCCATCTGCTTCTTGGGGACCTGTCCACCCACATGTCAAACTCAAGCTTGTCCCAGGCAGAACTTGCCTCCTCTCCTCCATCCCCATCCCTCCCACCTCCATGGCTGCCCGGCTTAGAGCACTTCCCTCCCTCCACCCAGCCACCCAGCGAGAAAGCTGGCGTGGCCAGGCCTGCGTCATTGCCTTGCACCCTGTCTAGTCGGTCCTCCCCTGTCCTCCTCTCCCCTCCCAGGGCTCCTCCCACTCCTCTTGGCACCACCCTCTCCCTCCCACGTTCCTGCTGGCTTCTCCCCTGGAGCCTCCTCCACACCAGCCTCAGAGGACTCCCCCAGAGTGTGTGAGTGTCCCCAGCCTGCTGCCCTTGGTCAGCTGGAGTCTTGTTTGGTGACCCCACTGGGCGCTGCTGTTGGGGTTGGAGGAATCTCAGTCCAATTCCCGTGCTAGGGGCTGAGTGGGCGGGATCTAGTGTTGTTTTGGCACGTGGTGAAGTGCAGACATGACCCTTGGTGACCGATCCTACCCCTTTCTGTTCAGCATCCGTCCACACTCCCTCTTCCCTGACTCACAGTGCCCCGAGTACGTAGCGCTGCCAGCCCTCCTCACCTGACACCCGGCGCCCTCCATCACCGGCCACACGGCCACCTCCTCTTCCCCTTAGCCTCCACGTGAATACCATGTCTGTGTCCCAGTGAAGGGACACGATCCTCCCTAGGAGGAGCCGGCGCCAGCTCTTTGTCCTCCCTTAGCACTCTAGGCGGTTATCACTGGGCCCCCAGCTCTCTGCGGTGTGTCTGCCTAGGGGTCTCCCTGTGGACCTTGGGCAGGGGGTGGTGTCTAGTGTGTGTCCCCAGCAGGGTGATGGGTGTGGAGTGAGCGTGACAGTCCCCTTTCATGCACCAGGATAGACCAGGAAGTGTAGGTGCACAGGGAGCCTAGGCTGGGACATCCGCCATGGGAAGGGCCCTCTGCCAGGGGCACAGGAATTCCAGGGGCCACCGTGGCGCTGCAGCTTCCAGGGAATTTCCCGCTCTTCCATAGACCCGGCGTATTAAAAGAGGTCAGGTCCTGGGGCGGCTGGCCCAGGTAGCTCTCTTCAAGAGTGTGGAGAACTAACCTGAAGAGAGCAGGCAAGGTGCCACTCCGCTGTGTCTCAGGTAGGGAAATTGATTCCCTCCTAGCCTAGAGCCCTGGGGGTTGAGTCAGCTGAGGTTTATTCAGTGTTGCTTCTTTCTGACTTCAATTCTGGGGCTCTCTCCACCCCACACCTGGTTAGAATGAGCCAGAGGCATCCTGAAGGCAGTGGGTTTTGGGGAAAGAAAAGAAAAAAAGGAAATGCTTGAAAACACTGGTGTGGTCTGTTCCCCAGAGACTTTTCTCTAAATAGCATATACTGAAAAACGCACCTCCCTGCCGTTTAATATAAACCACAGTCACACAGTCCAGTATTTTGCTAATGTGTAAAATGCCTTCTTTGTAATGGACAGTGAAGATTGAAACTGTCTAGTGCTTGGGCTGACAGCTCCCACTGGCTCACAGCTCCCCGCTCCCGCAGGGAACGTTTGCTTTTCCAGAGCCCTGTGCCTGCCCGCCGGCGTTGCCCATGATGGCTGCCTTCGTGTCCACGCTGATGCTTGGCTTGGGATTCCGAAGTCTCAATCATGGATGCAGAGCGCAGGCTCATGTGTTGAAATGTGTTTGTATTCTTCCAGTTGACTTAACATCCTTTGTGACCCACTTTGAATGGGACATGGCCAAATATCCTGTCAAGCAGCCGCTCGTGAGTGTGGTGGACACAATAGCCAAGGTGAGAAAAGGGACTGCTCTGGGGAACAGCTGACTGGTGGGTCAGGCGGGCAAGAGCCTGGGTAGGGCCCCCCTGCCAACAGCCTCAGCCTGTCCTGACTGGGCCTCTGGGTTTCTGAGGTGTGGCCTCCTTCCATGCACTGGGCAGGTTTGGGGTTTCAGGGCAGCCCTGGACAGGGAAAGAGCCAGTCCCCTGGCCTCCCCTCGAGGGCCCAGCACCCATTCACTTGCTGCTCCACTTCTTTTTTCAAAAGTTACTGATGGTGGCCGGGCACGGTGGCTTACGCCTGTAATCCCAGCACTTTGGGAGGCCAAGGTGGGTGGATCATGAGGTCAGGAGTTCGAGACCAGTCTGTCCAATATGGTGAAACCCTGTCTCTACTAAAAAATACAAAAATTAGCCAGGCGTGGTGGCGCACACCTGTAGTCCTTGCTGCTCGGGAGGTTGAGGCAGGAGAATCACTTGAACCCGGGAGGTGGAGGTTGCAGTGAGCCGAGATCATGCCACTGCTCTCCAGCTTGGGCAACAGAATGAGGTTCCGTCCCCCCACCAAAAAAAAAAAAAGTTACTGATGGTGAAGGCAGCTCCCTCATCATCTACTCCTAGGAACCTGACACCTCTAGCCCCCAGGGGATTGTTCACCTGCAAAGCTATTTGGTTTAAGTGGAGAGTTTGGCCTGGGAGCCCTAACCTCTTCAGACACTGCACCAGCTCGTTGCTCTCCACTTGTGACAATGGAGAGGCAGTGAGTGTCCTGACAGTCCTCTGTCCTGTTCAGCAATGGCCTCCACTCCACTTGATAAAATGAACACCCTGTGACTCGAGTCCCAGGGGATGCTATGGGCACCTGGAGCTGGGTGACTTCTCTGTATCATCACTGAAGGTGAGGGTGACAAGGACTGTGAGACTGAGGCTGATGGTTTCTGATGGCCTGGCCCTCCCTTCTGCCACAAAACACTGAGCCCCTAATGTGTCCCCTCTCCTGCTGGCCCCCATGGCTGTGGGAGAGTCTCGGCCTGGGCCAGGAACAAAGGCACCCGGTTTTCTACTGTGACTGTGGCCAAGGGTCAGAGTGGAGCTGGGCCTCTCACCTGTCCTCTGGCAGCTCCTGCAGGTCTCCTGGAAAGTAGGGTGGGGCCAGAAAGCTCGGGAATCTGGGTGGGGCACCTCGGGTGCTGCTTACATCAGAGAGGCTCAGGCCCCTGCTGGGACGATCAGGCAGTGATTCTGGAAGGCCCTTCAAGGAGGGTGTGCCCAGAGCACCTGTGCCAGGTGTGCCTTTCAGAGGGCGCTGTGCATGTCCACCAAGGAACTGGAAGCACATGATGGCTGGTGGGGCTGGCCCTTCCCTGCCTCACCATGTGCCAATTTGGGATTCTCTCAGTCCCAGGGATGCCAGACTCAGTGGGAAGGGCCCCCTGGAGCACATGGAGGGAGCAGAGGGGCTGTCGGGAGACCTGGCTTCTCCAGTCCAGAGCACCCCTAGAGTGCCTTTGGCAGGAAGGAAGGAGGGCACTGGTTTGGTGGCATTCCAGATGTGCCCGAGACTGTGCTGGGCTCTCTTACTGTCCGCCTCATGCCATGGGGTGGACATCACTTTCCTCTGAGTGCAGAAGAGGAAGCTGAGGGGTTGAGCGAGCGATCCAGGACCTGCAGCGGTTGGAGTATTATGCCGGGATGGGGATGCAGGTCTTGGGGACCAGAGCCTGCGGATTGTGCTGTGTGCATGACACCACTTCCCAAGGAAGCCCTGGACTGGCCCAACCACAGGGAAGCAGCTCCTGGCAGCAGCAGGGGCAGAGGCTCCGGGGTGTTGTCTCCCTCAGTCCTTCCTACACCGGCAACACAGTGTGACACCCCCCGCCTCAGCCTCGCTCTGCCAACGAGAGGTCTCAATCTATCAACTAGAGACATTTAGTCAAAGGAGACTCCTCTATCATCTCACAATAATTCCAGGCCACTTTGCTCAGAGAGGTCAAGGAGCTTATGTCAGGTCACACAGCCAGTAAAAGTCAGAACTGGCATTTAAATGTGGGCCTTACTGGTTCGAAAGCCCTAGTTCCTATCACTGCTTTACTGGCTCCCAAATACCTCTCAGCAATTTTTCATTGGCTTGTGGTGAAATCAGAAAAATAAAGACAAGCAGTATTTTTTTTCGTTTTTTTGTTTTTCAAAAAATATATAAATCTTATTTTAAAAAGCAAGATCTGTGGATTACACCCATGTCAGTTTCCTGGTTATGATACTGCACTATGACGGTATAGTGCAGAATAGTATCGTATAGTTGTATAGGACAGTACAGTGTAGTCACAGAGCTGTATAGTGCAAAATAGTACTCATATAGTTGTATAGTTGCATAATGCCGTATACTATACAGTTGTACAGTATACTTCTATCGTGCAGAAGATTTTAATATAGTTGTATAGTTGTACAATATAGTTGCATAGTACAGTATGGTATGTAGTTGTATAGTGCAGAATAGTATAGTTGTATAGTGAGCTGTGGGAAATCACTGTGGGAAACTGCATGGAGGGGACTTAGGATCTCTGTGTACTATTTTTGCAACGTCCTGTGAATCTATAATCATTTCAAAATTAAAAGTTTTAAAAAAATTATTATAAAAAGATGCATTTTATTAAGAAAAATGGCAAAATGTAAAGAGAAAAACATTTAGTTTTTATCTTTAAAATCATCACTTTATCTTTAAATATTTTTTTAATTATCATTTTTTATCTTTTTTTTTTTTTTTTTTTGAGGCAGAGTCTCACTGTGTTGCCCAGACTGGAGTGCAGTGGTGTGATCTTGGTTCACTGCAGCCTCCACCTCCCTGGTTCAAGCAATTATCCTGCCTCAGCCTCCCGAGTAGTTGGGATTATAGGCACACACTGCCATGCCTGGCTAACTTTTCTGTATTTTGAGTAGAGACAGGGTTTCACCCTGTTGCCCAGGCTGGTCCCAAACTCCTGAGCTCAGGCAATCTGCCCATCTCTGCCTCTCAAAGTGCTAGGATTTCAGACATGTGCCTGGCCCATTTTATTATATATTTTTTTGAGACAGAGTCTCACTCTGTCACCCAAGCTGGAGTACAGTGGTGTGATCTCAGCTCACTGCAACTTCCACCTCCCGGGTTCAAGCAATTCTCCTGCCTCAGCCTCCTGAGTAGCTGGGATTACAGGCATCCACCACCAAGCCCAGCCACTTTTTGTATTTTTAGTAGAGGCAGGGTTTTACCATGTTGGCCAGGCTGGTCTCAAACTCCTGACCTCAGGTGATCTGCCCGCCTCGGCCTCCCAAAGTGCTGGGATTACAGGCGTGAGCTACCTCGCCCAGTCTACCATTTTAATATAATCATTTAATTTAATCATTTTATCATTTTAATTATATTTATTTTATCTTTAAAATTATTTTATGATTTTATCTTTAAAATAATAATATCATCCGAGCTGTGATCATCGCCCCCATTCCCTTTATTCTCCCAAAAGGTAACCAATGTTTAAAAGTTGACAATGGATTCTTCCATGTATAAAAATGTGTATATTTAGACTAAAGCTGTTGGCATTCTATGGAGCACCCATTTTCTTCATCTGTTGACTCTTGAGATTCTCCCGTCAGCAGCCGTGTGCTGGCCTGTAGCATTTGTGGATGACCGTGGTGTAAATGCTCCTGCCGTGGCTGGTTGTCAAAGCTGGTGGGGTGTCACGACGTGGGGCTGCGAGGAGGGAATGTGAAGGAGCCTGGCACAGTCGGCTCTCAGCACTGGCATTATCCCCGCTGTGGAACAAATGGGGAAACCTGAGCCAGTCGGCCAGAAAGCAGGAGGGCGTGGCTTGAGCCCAGGCCTGTCTTGTTTCTGTCCACTGCACCTCCCTGCCCCTGCCAACCCATGAGAGGGAGATCGGCACAGCCGAGCCAGGAGACATGGGCATTTGAGAGGGCCAGGCCATGTCGGGTACCCCTGGAAGCAACGATTGGGGGTCAGCCTGAGCTGCCCTCCAGCAGAGCCTGAGAGGGTAGGTGTGGGCGTGGGATGTCCCGACCGTTCAGGATGGGCTTGAAATCAGGAAAGGTTGGGCTCACTGAGTCATCCTAGAAAATCCATCATGGCTTGGCGCCTGGGTGCCACACAGGGGCTCCCTGGAAGGGCCAAATGCTGGTAAACAGAAGCCATCCCAGCAAATGGGCAGGGCAGTTATTTTTCTTGAAAGCACCATGAGCTGTTGTGGCCATTTCAAAAAGTTCAGCCAACTCCTTCAATGCTCAGGGTCACCTGGAGCTTTTGCTTTCCCAAAACAGCAACTGGCGCAGATCGAGATGGACCTGAAGTCCCGAACGGCCGCCTACAACACTCTGAAGACAAACCTGGAGAACCTGGAAAAGAAATCCATGTGTGTATTTGCCAGCCTCCACATCTGGCGGGGGCAGGTCCTGGCGGGGGCTTAGCGCTTGCCTGTCCTCTCACTGGGCCACCTGGGAGTCTGTGCCCATGCATGAGAGTGAGACAGACAGACAGGTGGAGGCACTCTCACCTCTCCAAGAGCCGCGTGCTGGGAGAGGAGGAAAGGGCCAGGTGAGGGTGATCACACCCCGTGCATGTGCCCAGGGAAGAGGATGTGGCCATGCTGCTCCTCACCGCACGCTTCCATCTCCCAGCTTCTCCAGGGCGCCTGGGTGCTGCCCCCAGTCCTCCCCTGTGGAGGCTGCACGGAGGGCCCCCAGGGGTGACGGGAGGCCAGGATGTCAGCGCACGGCCCGTTGCAAAGCGCAGCAGGGTGGTGGGCTCTGTGGCCCAGAGCAGAGCAGCCTCAGGGACTCAGGTGCCTTCTCCACCCACCTGAAGAACCACTGTGTGGGAGAGGGAGCAGGCTCCACAGACAGAACAGTCACCAGGATGGTGGAGATGCCAGAGAAAAGTGTAAGCTCAGCAACACCGTGGCAGGGACTGTCTTGTGAGGTGTAGTGAGTGTCCTGTTGTTGGAGGTGTGTAAGAGAAGCCAGGTGGCCAGGCTGGTGGCTCATGCCTGTAATCCCAGCACTTTGGGAGGCTGAGGCGGGCGGATTACGTGAGGCCAAAAGTTTGAGACCAGTCTGGCCAACATGGTGAAACCCCGTCCCTACTAAAAATACAAAAATTAGCTGGGCATGGTGGCATGCATCTGTACTTCTAGCTACTTGGGAGGCTGAGGCACGAGGATCACTTGAACCTGGCAGACAGAGGTTGCAGTGAGCTGAGATCGCCACTGCACTCCAGCCTGGGCATACAGTAAGACTCTGCCTCAAAAACAAACAAACAAACAAAAAAAACAGGGAGAGAGAGAAGCCAGGTGAGCTCCTGCTGGAGAGGCTGCTCCTGAACAGGGTGGGGTGGGGTTGGCATGGAGGAGCAGCCCAGTCCCCCCAGACTCTGGATCTGATGCTGTTGGCGGTTCTTTGAGAACCCTGGTCAATTGTAGAGTTTTCAATATAATACCTACACTTGGCCCCTAACTCCAGAGAAGGGAAGTGGCGCAGGGAGCCCCGAACCAGCTGCCCTCCCCCTGATTGGCCCACTACTGTAAGCAAAGAGAATGTTACCTGGGAGGTACCCCCACTTCTGCAATCCACTTCTGAGGGTCACTGGGCCAGCTGTCTTCCTGTGAAAAAAGCAAATGGTACATTAGTGGAAGGAAAATTAAAAACCATAGATGGTTTTTAGGCCAGGCATGGTGGCTCATGCCTGTAGTCCCAGCACTTTGGGAGGCTGAGGCAGGTGGATCACCTGAGGCCAGGAGTTTGAGAACAGCCTGACCAACATAGAGGAACCTTGTCTCTACTAAAAATACAAAATTAGCCGTGCGTCATGGTGCGTGCCTGTAATCCCAGCTACTCGGGAGGCTGAGGCAGGAGAATCGCTTGAACCCGGGAGGAGGAGGTTGCAGTGAGCCGAGATCACGCCACTGCACTCCAGCCTGGGCAACAAGAGTGAAACTCCATCTCAAACAAAAAAGCCCACTTCAACTGGAAACCCTTGCTGTTGGATGCCTGGCTTTATGTCAGAAGTAAGTGGGCATGAGCTATGGAGGATGGGACAGGGGCCGGGCGCCGGGGCAGAGAGCCCTAAGGGGATGGGTCATCTGTCCGTCCTGGCTTAGAGCCCACAGGCCATGGGGCCATCCACTCGCATGGCATCACCCTGAGATGGATTTCTTCAGGATTGGTTGGGACTTGTGCAAACATCTGGTCTAGCCTCTTCGCTCAACTGGTGAGGTTCATTCATCCATTGATCATCATTGATTCGCAGTGACTTTAATTGATTTACTAAGTGCATATACCAAGTATAGGAGGGCGGCGTACAAAGAGGGATGAACGTTTCTAACTCCCTCCTCTGCGCTCTCTTTTCTTCTTTGTACACAAACCAAGTATGCACTGTGCCCTCAGGCCCGATGCTAGACCCTAAAGATATAAAGCAGAATACAATACAATTT
Source organism: Homo sapiens (assembly GCF_000001405.40). Taxonomy (NCBI): domain Eukaryota; kingdom Metazoa; phylum Chordata; class Mammalia; order Primates; family Hominidae; genus Homo; species Homo sapiens. The sequence continues at coordinate 10,770,887 of NC_000002.12, forward strand.
TTGCACTTGCAGAGCTCACAGTTATTCATTCAACAAACGTGTGGAAAGTTGGCTTCGTGTTGGGGATTCAGAGGTGAGCCAGGGAGAGAGGTGGGATAGTGTAAGGGTAACGTGTTCAGTGCTAGGACAGGGAGGCTCATGCATGCGGTGCCCAGGGAGAAGGAACCTAAGGGCTTTATCCATGGCCACGCAGCTGGTCAGTGATGTTCAGGCAGGGGACAGCAAAGAAGCCACGCAGGCTCCCTGAGGAGGGTGTTTCCCATTGCCTTTAAAGCTTTGGCCATGGCTCAACGCTGGAGAGCGATTTCCCGGGGAAGCACTGTGTGCCGACGTCACGGCCCCTGTGCTGATGCCACATACAGCCTGGGTAGTGAGATCTTGGCCCATTTACTGATCCGACAGCCTTGATCCATGTGCCAATAATACCATACCCTACACTCAGACCAGGTCCACTGGGCATGTAGAAAGCATTTCAGGTGAGTGTCCCCTGGGTGCTGGGCTGGGAGGCCTGTAAAGTGACACGGAGCTCTATCGAGGACGGCTCAACGCAGCCCTAAGAGCTGGCCGTTGTGTTGACACTTGAGTAACTTTAGCTGCCTGCCACCCGAGGCCCCCTCCCATAGCAGCCGGAGCTGGCACCAGGGCAGCGCAGGTCACTGAGGTGTTGGATTCGGCAGCCCCTTGGGTGACGGGTGATAGCACCCGAGGCCCTGCCAGCCTCCCTGTCCCTGGAGGGGAGGAGGCAGCAGCTGTGGCCCCAGCACAGAGCCTGGCCCTGGGGTTGTGGGGAGCAATCATTGCTGAGAATTGCTGTGTTCTCCTAGGCTCCAGCATCCCTGGCACCCACCCTTCCTTGAGAACTGCCCCCAGTGCCCGGGTGTGGGTGTGTGTGGGGTCACTGTGTCCCTTTCTGCTCACATCTTTCACACCCTTTGTTCCACCTGCCTTTTAGGGGGAACCTCTTCACCCGGACACTGAGTGATATTGTGAGCAAAGAGGACTTCGTGCTGGATTCTGAATATCTCGTCACACTTCTGGTCATCGTCCCCAAGTGAGTGCTGGGCGATCACGAAGGAAACCGGCCCTGCCCAGTGGAGAGGAAGGTGGACCCGTTGGTGACTTGGGCAGTGTGGACGAGGATGCTCCCTGCCCAGCCCCAGTTCTCGGGAAGCAGTCATTCCTTCATGGGGCCCTGCCTGCGGCTGTCAGTAGGGACAGTGGTTGGGTGATGGTGGTTGTGGCCACGATAGAAGCAGCCATTTATTGAGCACTTGCTATATACCCAATGTGTGGTCGACATTATTTTATTTCATCCTCACCAAAGGCCTGGGAAGTCTGGTGATTCCCATTGTCCTGAGGCTGGAGAGGTCGGTTAGCTTGTCCAAGGTCACACGGGGCCCGGATTAGATGGTTATTAGCGAGCCCCAAGTGTATCCATAGCTCTTCACAAAGGGACTTCTGTGGGTACCCTGTGGAGGCTGGGCAGGGGATTCCCCATGGGAACAGCAGACCTCAGGGGAGGTGAGGGCTCCCTCTGACCCCATCCCTGCTCACCTTCAGGCCTTCAGGAAAAGGGGTGTGCAGCTTCCTAGGCACTCAGGACACCCACGAGCCTTTTCTGCAAAAAATCACGTAACGATTCTATGTTCTTGCAGACCAAACTACTCACAATGGCAAAAAACCTACGAATCTCTCTCAGACATGGTGGTCCCTCGATCAACCAAGTAAGTGAGACCCCAGCTTGGTCCCAGGGCCCCTGGGGTACATGTGTGGGTGCTTCAGGGCACCCAACCACCAAACATGCCCCGAGGGTGTGAGGCTCCCCAGCTTTCCACACCTGGGCCCTCTCCTGTCCCTTGGCCTGGAATTCTGTCAGGGTCGCCCACCTTGTCACATGCCAGAGTGCCTTCCTCTTTCAAAACTTCACTTCCCTGCCCCTGCCCTGGGAAGGCTGCCCTGGCCCCACCTGGCCGAGCAGCCTCTCCACGCCGTTGCCTCTGCTGCATTCTGGCTCTGTGTTCTCGGCTCAGCGTCAATTCTTCCCTGCCAGAGGGGGAAGCCAGCCCTGGCCTAAGTGGCTGCCCAGTGAACGGCCACAGCGGGAGCCGGGAGGGAAAGCGGCCTCAGCGTGTGGCCTGCAGGGGCCAGAGCAGCAGTAGCCAGTGGGTCCTGTCACAGTGACAGGAGGAGAGCGGGTTACAGACTGTCCATCACGGGACACTGCATGGCGGGGGAACCAAGGATGCCAGGCCCTGTGTGTCAGGAGGGATGAAGGGGAAAGGCAGCTGCAGAGGAGCAGAGGGTCTGAAATGGATGTGAAATGGGCGTGACTCGGGCACACACAGGTGCACAAGGAATTGTGGGGATGGGTCACGGGCAGGAAGGCCACACTCAGGATGGTAGTGGCTCAGGATGGAGTGAGTGGCACATAGTGGGGTAGGGGCATGTGGGCTTTCACCTGCTGGAACTTTGGTTTTGGGTGGCTGATCCAAAGCTGCGCGTTTTCCTTTTTTTGAGATGGAGTCTCACTCTGTTGCCCAGGCTGGAGTGCAGTGGCCCGAGCTCAGCTCACTGCAACCTCCGCCTTCCGGGTTTAAGCAACTCTTCTACCTCAGCCTCTCAAGTAGCTGGGATTATAGGCGTGCACCAACACGGCCAGCTAATTTTTGTATTTTTGGTAGAGATGGGGTTTCACTGTGTTGGCCAGGCTGGTCTCGAACTCCTGACCTCAGGTGATCCGCCTGCCTCAGCCTCCCAAAGTGCTAGGATTACACGTGTGAGCCACCACACCCAGCTTGGTACTCATTTTCCTCTGTACCTTTTTGTATGGCCGAGAAGGTTTGTAATTTGAAGAGGTTTTAGAATGCGCGTCAGGCAGCCAGCCTGTTCATCTGACTCCCCACACACAGAACTCCCGGTGCAAGGCCTCTGCCCTGGGGCCCCTGCTGGGGGACGGGGATCTCCCAGGGCTACGAGATGGCAATCGGGATCTAAATTGAAGGGTGCAAGGAACAGGACAATCACAGCCCGAGGTTACAGGGGAGGCAGGGAAGAGGAGCAAGGCTCTGGAGCAGAGGAGCTGGCCCTTGAAGCCAGTGTGCTGGCAGGAGCATTCACTGCTCTTAAAGGCCAAGAGCCGGGGATCCTTGACAGGGCCGGCTGCCTTGGTAGGTGGCCTGGCCTCCCAGACCAGAGCCTCAGGCCCTTCATTGTCACAGGCCACCTGAAAGCCTGCACAGATGACTCTGGAAATACCTGGAGTCTGGCGGCAGCCCCTATGGGCATGGGCTCTGAGAAACAGGAAGGGTGACCCTGCCAGCATGCCAGCATGCTGTGAGATCGTGTCTGGGCCTGAGGGCTCCCACTTCCAGTCTTCTGGCCAATAGGACTCAGAGATGCTTAGACTCCTGGCCCCAAGAATTCCTGAGTTGCTAGAGACAGTGGCCCCAGTGGTCCTGTGTTGAGACTTGCTTGGGAGGCTGTGTCCCATTAGGACTTTGTGATATTGGAAGTGAAATGGACCTTGTAGGATAGTTTCCACCACTCTGCTTTACTATCAGGCAGCACGTCAGAGCCAGGGACACCCTGTGCCAGCTGTGGTGACGGAGGCCCAGGAGGGCTTGGTCTCTCAGGAATTTGATAAGCGGGAGCTAAAGCCCAGGCCCCTACACTCCCTGCACCCCGAGGCCCCCTGAGGCCTTAGCCTGGAGGGGTGTGGAAGGGGCAGGAGGGAAGGGCAGGCAGCCAGGAGTTAGGAAATCTCAGGGAGTGTCCTTGGTTCCCCAGCCCTCAGCTGCTGCCATGGACCCCAGGTGCAGGCCACCAGGCCCGGGGCCTCTGAGCCCCACTCCCGCACAAGGCCTAGCAGTGAGTCCAGCCAACAGATGCTTCTCTCCAACAGACTCATTACTGAGGACAAGGAAGGGGGCCTTTTCACTGTGACTCTGTTTCGAAAAGTGATTGAAGATTTCAAAACCAAGGCCAAAGAAAACAAGTAAGGGTCCTCCAGGTTTGGTTCATCTCCCGCTGCGGGGGGTCTCTGCCCCTCTGGAAAGCTTCTGAGTGAAAACCCATGATTTGCTTGTTTTAAGGTTCACTGTTCGTGAATTTTACTATGATGAGAAGGAAATTGAAAGGGAAAGGGAGGAGATGGCCAGATTGCTGTCTGATAAGAAGCAACAGTATGTGAGTATGTGATTGAGCAGCTCCTCCCGCCCCTACCCGGAGGCCTGGGGATAGAAGAGTCCTCCCAGGTCTCCAGCTCTCCCTCCTCCCTCTCATTGTCCCCAGGCTCCTGGGCTCACACCATGGGGACCGTCTGTTCTCATGGGACGCCTGAGCAGGGTCTGGGGGGAGGGGCGGTGAGCACAAAGGAGCCCAGGCGGTGGAGCTGGGGGCGGGAGCCGGGGGCCCACCCAAGCTGGCGCTTTCCACATGTGTTCTCACTGGTCCTGAGCACCGCCCTGCCAGGAAGGGGTTGCTAGCTCCACAGTATGGAGAAACTGAGGCTCTGAGAGGCAAGCTGGCCAGAGGACCCTGCCAGGCCTTCCTTGGACTGAGCAAGGCACGTGGGCTCCAGGCGGGAGCATCTGTGTGCAGGGTGGGCAGTGCTGGGCCTTGGAGATTGCAGCCGTGAGGTTTCCAGGGCGCCACTAGCCCCTGTATTTACCTCCCGTGTCCTTAGTGCGGAGAGGGTGCTTATCTGGAGACTTCCGACCACAGCCACTCAGAAACCCTTCACGGAGGAGGACAGCGTAGCTCACCAGGGAGCAAAACTAGATGCTCACGTTTGAATTGTGAGCAGGAGAGCTTTGGGAAGGTCCCTCCACCGCTCCGGGAAGTGGGCACCTTCCATACTCAGGTTCTCCTGCTGCGATGCTGGGCTAGGCTGGGCAACTTGGAAGGAGCCTGTCTGGGTGGAATGTTTTTGGGACCCTTCTTCCTCATGCCCACCAGGGAGGGTTCCGTGAGCACCTTCCAGTCCAGCCTCTAGTGACAGGGCAGGAGGAATGAGTAGAAAGTTCTTGAGGCCTTTGGGGGAAAGTCACTGTGTGAACACAGCACTGTGAGGACTCCCATGGGGAGGAGCGCCGTGGCCGCGGGCAGGCTGGGAGTGCTCCCAGTGTCCGTGCTGCCAAGTGTGTGCTCCGGGCTCCTGGGGACCTGGCCTGTCTGTCAGCGACCTTTTTGCAGGGACTGGGGATGAGCAGCCACCCCGTCACAAGCGAGCCCAGCCACGGAGCCCCCGTAGTGGGGTTCTCGGAGCCCCTCTGGTCTGGTCTGTTTCCCTTTAGGGAGGAAACAACAGCTGATAATATACAAGTTTATATAGGGGGTTTTTCACCCTCCTCCTCCGAAATAGCACAGGGCGCTCACACACGTGTGTGTGTGTGTGCGCGCGCACGTGCATGTATGAGTGTGTGTGTGGACCTGTGTGTGCACAGCAAGTGAGACACACCTCAGAGCCAGACGCTGCTGGGCTCCGGCTGAGCCTGCGGGGAGGGTGTCGCCTCCTGAGGACGAGGAGCCGAGCTGGAGCTGGGGACCCCCAGCCCTTTGGATGCTCCAGTCTTCAGAGCAGGGCCCACAGACCCAGACACCAGGCAGGAAAGATTTTCCCCAGTGAAAGCTGAGCTCCAAAGTGTTTTCTTCCTTAGGCTCAGCTCACCTGAAACCCTCGCTACCTGGGCACGCCCTGGCTGTTCTCTTCAGCCAGGCTTTTTCCCAGCTCGATTCAGTCCTGGTCCCAACCCCCTGCGCAGTATCTCTGGACGGGGCTAGACCGTGGCAGCCTCCACACCAGGGAGGCCCTGCTGGGGGACAGGTGGCGAAGCAGGGCCTTTGGCACCCACCTGGGCACTGGCCCAGGCCTGCCAGACCCCCGGGGAACAGGGTGACACACAGGAGCCTGCCGCCTGCCACGTGGGGCTCAGGTTGCCAGCTGGCGTATTTTACATGGCGTAGCCTTCGCCCACACCACCCTGGGGGCCCTGCCAGGGTCTCTCTGTGGGCGGGAGGTGGAGGCACTCTCAGCTTGGGTAGTCCCACTGGCCTCCTGAGAATCTGGCCCCCTCTGGCCTATCTAGAAGTGCATGACCAAACGTCTTGCATCCTTTTTGTCACTCATCAACCAGAGGGACAGACCAGGCCCTGGGGTTTGAGTGTACTTTGAGAGCAGAGTGGGATGTCCCTGTGTTTCCCACCTGTTTGCAGAGACAGAATGGGAAAGGGTGAGTGTCCTAACTGCATGCCCAACTCATCTCCTGCACTCTGCATGCCGAGGTGCCCCCCGAATGCCAGGAAGGCATCTGTGGCTGGGCATGGTGGAGCCACCTTGACAGAGCGCAGAGAGCCGTTTCCACTAACGCCTCCCGGTGCTGTCCTGGTCGGCCTGCGATGGGGGTCCTGGCTGAGCCCAAGCAAGGGGAGGGAGCTCAGGGCTGACCCCTCTGCCAGAGATCGGCTCTGTGCTTGGAATATGGAACCCAAAGACCTTAACACTGCCCTTCTCTCTGCCTTCACCACTCCAGGAGCCCGGTGGGCACCTACCACATCTCTAGTCTAGCCAGCACGCGAGTCCCGAGGGTGGGCCTGAATTCCTGAGCTTGCTCTCGCGTGCCTTTCAGGCGATGAGAATGATTTATTTGTTTGTGATGCATGTTTGCTGAAAGATTAATAAATCATTTCTGTGCCTTTAGCAAACTTCCTGTGTTGCTCTTAAAAAGGGATCATCCACCTTCCCGGACCACAAGGTTAAGGTAACCCCGCTAGGTAACCCTGATAGGCCTGCTGCGGGGCAGACCGACAGAGAGAGAGAGAGTGAGGGCGAGGGTGAGGTAAGCAACGCCCCGGGAACCCCGGGGTCCCTGGCTCACATCTCCTCGCCAGCTCAGGCGCCTTCTGGGAAAATGAATCCTTGCATTTTTCTGTTCTCTAATATGGCTTTTGAGGTCTTAAATTTGAGGAGCCGGAATCATGCCTTCCTCCTAATCTGCAGGGCCTCTTTGGAGCTGCCCCCGCCAGCAGTGAAGGGTGCTTGTCGGCCAGGGCGCCTCTCCCCGGGCGCCTGGCTGGAGGTGGCTGGAGCTGGGACGGGCAGGGCCCTGGCTGGGGTGGTGGTTGGCAGCTCAGCTCTCCTCCCTTGGCTGCCCTTGCTGAACCCACCCCTGACCTTTGTGGGCAGCTGCAGTGTCAGGCGGGAGCTCGGGGCTCTTGCTCCAAGACTCTTGAGCTCCCAGGAAGACCTGCCACACCGGCATCAGTGGCTGCTGCTGTGGCCACGTGAGGTGGGGCTGTGAGGGGAGGCGGCTGCTGTGGATGATGCCAGGACCCTGGGGGCAGAGCCTCTGAGAAGGTGGGCTCCCTGGCTGCACAGTGTCAGGCAGAAGCCCCTGGCTGCCTGCTGAAAGCCCCAAGGTCAGGGGCTGCCCAGCTCCCCGCGCTGCGGTCTGTGGTGGCCCCGTGCATGCACCGGGTGGCTGGCCCGCTGAGCTTCCCCGGCACCAGGTGCCCTGGACCTCGAGGTCCTGAGCCTGACCCAGGGCTGGTCTGACCGACTCTCTGCTTCTGGCTCCTGGGCACTTCTTCTCAGCTCAGGGCGTGCTCTGTCAAAACCCAAGTCCTTTCTTGGCTCTGTGTCAGGCGGGGTGTTCAGCAGGGGTCACCTGGCTCTTCTGTCTTTGCAGGGCCCCCTGCTGCGCTGGCTCAAGGTGAACTTCAGTGAAGCCTTCATTGCCTGGATCCACATCAAGGCCCTGAGAGTGTTTGTGGAGTCCGTGCTCAGGTGCGTGGCAGTGATGCCCCGGCTGGGACTGTCCTGAGGATGGGCAGGGTCTGGGGGAGCTATCGGGGCACCCCAGCTCCTGCCTTCTCTCCATCCTCCACCCGTCTCCTTTCTGAGACTGTGGCTGTTGGCAACACGCTCAATTCCGAGTCAAGTACACCCTCCCCTCAGCCCTGTGTCCCCTGCTGTCTGCTCCCTCCGTTCCTGCTACACTTGGGGCAAGTGTCACCTGGGTTCTCCCCAGCTGCCCTACCTGCATGCCCTTGTGGACCCTCTGGCTGGCTCCTGTCCCCACCCTCGTGAAGCCCGCAGGGCCCGAGTGGCTCCTGGAAGGCGCTCTCGGGCTGCCTCCGTCCTCAGCCTGGAAGCCGCACCCCTCAAGGCAGTCCAGAGAGAAAACCAAAACCACACCAACAACAACAAAGCTTATTTTGCCTTTTTTTTTTTTATTTGAGATGGAGTTTCACTCTTGTCGCCCAGGCTAGAGTGCAATGGCATGTTCCTGGCTCACTGAAACCTCCACCTCTCAGGTTCAAGAGATTCTCCTGTCTCAGCCTCCCTAGTAGCTGGGATGACAGGTGCCCGCCACCACGCCCGGCTAATTTTTTTATATTTTTAGTAGAGGCGGGGTTTCACCATGTTGGTCAGGATGGTCTTGAGCTCCTCCTAACCTCAGATGATCCGCCCACCTTGGCCTCCCAAATGTTGGGATTACAGGCGCGAGCCACCATGCCCGGCCTTTGCCTAATAAAAAAAAAAATATATATATATATGTATGTATATATATATATATATGCCCTTGTCATGGACTGTCGAGACCAGCCTGGCCAACATGGTGAAACCCCACCTCTACTAAAAATACAAAAATTAGCCGGGTGTGGTGGCATGGGCCTGTAGTACTGGCTACTTGGGAGGCTGAGGTGGGAGGATCACTTGAGCCTCGGAGCCGGAGGTTGCAGTGAGCCGAGATCGCGTCACTGCACTCGAGCCTGGGCAACAAGAGAAACTCCGGCTATAGAAAAAAAAAAAAAAAAAAAACTTCACTGTGGGAAACCTGGCAACTCTAGGTAAGCAGAGTGAGTAAAAATCTCCTGTAATTTTAATTTTAACACCAGGAGAGAACACTGCCAGCGTCCCAGTGGGTGCCCTTTTAGGTGTAGGTTTTGTTGTTTTTTTATGAATAGATACGTAATTCTTACAGATTTTTATGAAAGTGGAATCAGAGGAAACGCCTTCGAAGGCCGCTTTTCTGCCCTGTGTGGCTGCGTCCCGCGTCACGGAGCACTGCGCACCGCCTGCCGCTCTGACTCGCGGCCTCCTGGGCTCCTCCAGCCCCTGAGACCCTCTGTGTGACCTTCCGGACCCCTTCCCCGCCTGCACTGAGGAGCTCCTCATCCCTCCCTGCCGTCCCCCTGGCTGATGTCCCCTACTTTCCCTCGTTTTCCTGCCCATGTTCCCTGGTTTCCAGGTCCTGCCATCTGCCTGCCGTAGGCTTTACCTGGGTATCTGTCTCATCTCCCCTCCCGCACCCCTTCCTCTGCTTCCCTGTTTCTGCCAGTGGCCTCCTCATCCTTCCCCTTATCAGACCCCAAACTTCAGGGTCAGTTTAGACACCCCTGACAGGCCCGGTCCACTCCGCCTTTGCACTCTCTCTTTCACGGGTCTGGCCCCACCGGCCTGGCTGTTGCCATAAGCCTCCTCTCTGTTCTTGGCCTCCAATTCCCCTTCCATGTGGCTGTCAGTGTGTGGTCTGCCCAGATACAGATCTGACCTTGGTTCCTGGTTCTTCTGCCCTGCACATGCACCGCACCCACACCTGTACCCATGCGCACCTGTGCACGCCCATCTCAAAAGCCTGTACCGACACGGATGGCAGCATTGGGTTGGAGGGTGTACCCAGCTCCTGGGAGTGTTCTAGCCATCTCTAATATACATGGCCCCAGATCAACCCTGCCCGGCTCAGAAGTCGGTTGCTCTCAGGCCTAACGGCCTAACACAGTGAAGCCTGTCCATGCCTTCCAGGATGCGCATCTGCCCAAGAAAGAGGTTGAGACCGATGGGCCAGCCGCTCCTGGGGTCCTTTTTTTTTTTTTTGAGATGGACTCTTGCTGTCGCCTAGGCTGGAGTGCAGTGGCACAATCTCAGCTCACTGCGACCTCCACCTCCCAGGTTCAAGCAATTCTCCTGCCTCAGCCTCCCCTAGTAGCTGGGATTACAGGCGTGCACCACCACGCCCAGCTAATTTTTGTAATTTTAGTAGCGACGGGGTTTCACCACGTTGGCCAGGCTGGTCTTGAACTCCTGACCTCAGGTGATCCAGCCTGCCTTGGCCCCCCAAAGTGCTGGGATTACAGGTGTGAGCCACTGCACCCGGCATGGTGTCTTGTTCTGGGCAGAATGGAGAAGGCATTATTAGCAGGACGGGTGCCACAGAGACAGGACAGGGCCGGAAGAACTCAGAGGCTGAGGAAAGGTTAAGGGCTGGAGCGTATGTCCCTTAAGGACCTAGGGTGCCTACCACCCACCACAGCGAGCACAACAGAGGCAGGCCTCTCCCTCAAGCCAGGCTGCTGGGGGAGGAGCGCCTTAAGCTTTAAGGACGTGTCCTAGATGAATAAACAACCTCCAGTGCAAGTTGGTAATGACTGTGGTGGAATTAGCCTGGCGTGGTGGTGGCGGGCGCCTGTAATCCCAGCTACTTGGGAGGCTGAGGCAGGAGAATCGGTTGAACCCAGGAAGTGGAGGCTGCAGTGAGCCGAGATCGCACCATTGCACTCCAGCCTGCGTGACAGAGCGAGATTCTGTCTCAAAAAAAAAAATAGATAAATAAAACCTTAGTAATATTAATAGGTCCTGCTCCCAGGACTTATCTTTATGGCAGCCCCGTCTGCACAGAGTACTAGGTGAGTGGAAGGGCGTGTAAAAACAGACTTCACATCAAGGCCTGGGGATCCCGAGGGAACATAGGTGCTAACTACTGAACATCCGATCCTTTGCTCCCTCAGAGTATAAAAATACATCAACAATCACAAAATGTTTTCCATTTACAGCACTTGCTATATTTTGTGTGGGCTAACACCCCAGGAATAGCTCATCCCAACAACTGGTTTTAAACATGCTCAGGCATACAACTAGGTATGTTAAAAATGTTTTCTATCTACCCAAAAACTCAGCGAAAATAGTAACAATCTTGATAAACCAGATTTTTGCCTCTCCTTTAGTGGAGAAAAACGGCCGAGCTGGGTTTTAGACAAACGCCTTGGAGTCCGAATGTTCAGTCCAACTACCTGCATTCAACTTGAGCATGCACCGTGGAATGGCCATTCATGGCCAGAGGGATGACCTCTTTTGCTCTATAGTTGAAAACTAGCTATCAGAAGGGGGTTAGCAAATTCTAGAGCTTTTTCTATCCAGAGATCACCGCTGACCCTAGGCATTTTGCTCGAGTTTGACTTTATGAAGCTGTGTTGGTTGAAGCTTTTCACCCTCGGAATGTACTGTTTCTGGTCAGGTTCCTTCTATCCGTGTTTGCATTTGGAGCAGTGAACTGACACATTTTGTCTATCTGAAAAGGTATGGACTACCAGTGAACTTCCAGGCAGTGCTCCTGCAGCCGCATAAGAAGTCATCCACCAAGCGTTTAAGAGAGGTTCTAAACTCTGTCTTCCGACATCTGGATGAAGTAGCCGCTACAAGTATACTGGATGTAGGTATCCAGAAACAGCAGTATTTCTACAGTAAGCTCAGCATCTTACTTTCAAAAAACTGGTATCTGCCTGTAATCCCAACACTTTGGGAGGTAGGTGGATCACTTGAGGTCAAGGGTTTGAGACCAGCCTAGCCAACATGGTAAGACCCTGTCTCTACTAAAAAAAAAATTGGGCTGGGCATAGTGGCTCACGCCTGTAATCCCAGCACTTCAGGAGGCCAAGGCGGGTGGATCACGAAGTCAAGAGATGGAGACCAACCTGGCCAACATGGTGAAACCCTGTCTCTACTAAAAATACAAAAATTAGCTGGGTATGGTGGTGTGTGCCTGTAGTCTCAGCTACTTGGGAGGTTGAGGCAGGAGAATCGCTTGAACCTGGGAGGCGGAGGTTGCAGTGAGCTGAGATCACGCCACTACACTCCAGCCTGGCGACAGAACAAGACTCTGTCTCAAAAAAAAAAAAAAAAAAAAAAAAAAAAAAAAAATTTGCCAGGAGTGGTGGTGCATGCCTGTAATCCCAGCTACTTGGGAGTCTGAGGCAGGCAGTGAGCTGAGTCCAGCCTGGGTGACAGAAACTGTCTCAAAAACAAAACAAAGCAAAACTATCTGTCAGCCTGTTATGAAAATCTACATGTCATACACATTAAAGCACAGCAAGGAGAGGGTTGGAGGGGTGGACCACAGCTACGCAGAGCAGAACGTACGCTCAGTGCCTGGCGAGCTTCCTCAAAACTAAAAGGATAAGACAGGAAACTAGTTTATGCACTTAGAGCATTACCATGTCTTCTTTTGTAGGCATCTGTGGAGATCCCGGGACTGCAACTCAATAACCAAGACTATTTTCCTTATGTCTACTTCCATATTGACCTTAGTCTTCTTGACTAGAAAGGCCAGCTGGCACCTCTGTCTCATGTTCGTGCAGATTATTACAGACACCTCTTTCCTTTAGCCAGAGAATGGTTCAAATGTCTTACAGAACTAAGATCTTTTTCAGAGAAATTGCTCACAAAAGTTAGTGACAGTTGTATTTATTTTTTTAAGTTACAATAAAATGCTCTCAAGTCCTTTGAATGTTCCAACAAATTCAAAACTTCATTTTCTGAATGTTTTACATAAATGCGAACTACCTGTTCGCATTGGTAACCTGCTGCTGTATTTCATGTCTTAACGGCTATTTTGAGGTTCATTAACAACATAGAAAGCCTTGAACTGTATAACCAGCTAGATTCCTTAATAATTAGTCACTAGAGACAGCCCAAAGACAAATATTGGGCAGGAAATCAGTTCTCACTGAGCCCGGTTTCCATGTAAAATCTCTGTTGTGGTGGGCATAGGTGGCACCATCTAAAGAAAAGAGGTCTTGTTTTTTGTTTAAAAAAGTTTGTGGGGAGGAAAGACATCTGTGTATCACTTCAAAATATTGATTTACTGCTAAACATCACTCTGAATTTATGATGTGGATACTAACTTCATACATTTATCGGCATTGTCCAAAATATTTTATTCTTTAATGGAAAAAGCCATTAATATTCAAATGAAGGGATCACATTAAAAAAAACCCATACATAAGAAACAGCCTCCAAGAACATTCAAGCAGCAGTCAGAGAGAAAAATGTTTCGACAGCCAAGTTTTCTTCAAAATATTATGTGACAGAATACGACTCAATTCACCGGCTACAACAATTCATAGAATTTTTCAATGTTTTCTTGAGATGCAAAAGTTCACTGTTGCAGTGTTTTCAAATGACCAATCAAGTACTACTTCTTGGTTAAAAGGCCACTGGTAGAGTCATCTGAGTGTAGAGAATGTCCCTTCACTGCTGGAAAAATCCACTGGCTCCCAAGAAAAGAAAATGGTCTGAAGCCTCTGTTGTGGCTCTCACAACTCATCTTTCCCTAAGTCATCAAGCTCCACATCACTGAGGTCAATGTCATCCTCCACGGGAAGCTGGGAGACGACAGAAAGCCACTGTTAGATCTGCAGAAGGGGACACCCTGGAAGGTCAACATCTCATTTTATGGAAGAGCGACTCTCTGGAGCTACTCCTGCTACAATCCAGGTTCTCCTCAGTCTGACTCCTACCCTGACCTTCGTACCTATGATTATACGGATGGAAAAGCTCAGAACTCAGGTGAAACATTTCAACATCACATCACTCACCATTTTAACACTGGAAGCCACTTGAACGTGTCCTTTTGAGGAGGGTGGGACACAACAGTACAGAAATAAGTGCTAATTTCAAAGCTATCATTTTCTATTTTTCTAAGATAAAGTAAATGAATTCCAGGTTAAATGTTCACTTTAAGGTAATAATCAGGAAAGCAACCTTACTACTGAAATGTATCTTGGCTGTCAAGAGTATCAAATGCCATGCAGCACTTAAACTTGTGATAAGGAAGATGAAGGGTCTTCAGAGAAGAACCTCTTAAAAGGCCCACGGGTGCACCAGGGCTGAGGTCTGATGGGAAGGACTTGACTCCAGGTGCAGAGATGCACAGGCTCAAGAGAGTAAACCAGGACTGCTGCCCGCACAGCTTCCCTCCCGGGCACTCACCTCGCCATCCCTGCCGTCCCAAGGCTCTCTCTCAACGATGGTAGGGAAAGCCCCGCCTCCTACAGGTGCCGTGGAGCCACGCCCAAAAGAGAGCTCCCTTAGGGAAAAATGACCAAAACACACACACACATTTACAATGGACTGCTGGTGCAGAAGAATAAACAACTTTAAAAATAACAGTCTGCCTACTTTGTTTATGCAGAGGCATTTCTTCTCTCTTGCTGCACTACATTCCTCAGAAACACCTTGAGGACATTATCTTTTTAATCACGGACAACATTACAACCAGATTCAACATTCCCAACTAAGCCCCCTGCATCAGATAAAGTCAGTTGCTATCAGTAAGCTTTTAAAAATAGCAGAGCATTTGCTGAAATACAAATTAAATACATAAATAATTATCAAAGTTGATCTAGAACATGGGCTGCCTGCGAGCTTTCTAAGACTGCTGTGAACCTGTACAGAGGGAGCATATCAGAAGTGAGGCGACTGGTTCCAGTGCGCTGGCAGAGAGCGGGGTGCGTATGTGCATAAACATCAGTACTTGAAACATACCAGACCTGGTGTAATCTGGCTGTTGGGAAACCAGAGCCAGAAATACTGTGGGCACAAATATTTAGAGTTCACCAAACAACTCATAGAATAATAGAGCTAGACTAACAATCTATGGCACCAATGGGCTAGAATAAGCAAACCTATTATTAGAAAAAAAAATTACAGGAGATATATTCACATTCTGACTTCATGATTTAATAAATACTACTCTATGACAATCACAAACTTAAGCAGTCCACAAACTTCTTTTTCTTTGAGACCAAGTCACACTCTTTTGCCCAGGCTGGAGTGCAGTGGTGTGATCTCAGCTCACTGCAACGTCCACCTCCTGGGTGTGCCTCAGCCTCCCTAGTAGCTAGGACTGCAGGCCTACAACACCACACCTGGCCTATTTTTTGTATTTTTAGTAGACATAAGGTCTCACCGTGGTGGCCAGCCTGGTCTCGAACTCCTGGCCTCAAGTGATCCGCCTGCCTCAGACTCCCAAAGTGTTGGAATTACAGGCGTGAGCCACCGCACCCAGCCCCACAAACTTAATGAAAACACCCCCTTGGCCAGGCGTGGTGGCTCACACCTGTAATCCCAGCATTTTGGGAGGCTGAGGTGGGTGGATCACTTGAGGTCAGGGGTTTGAGACCCGCCTGGCCAACCTGGTGAAAACCCATCTCTACTAAAAATACAAAAATTAGCTGGGCGTGGTGGCAGGCGCCTGTAATCCCAGCTACTCAGGAGGCTGAGGCAGGAGAATCACTTGAACCCGGGAGGTGGAGGTTGCAGTGAGCCGAGATCGTGCCAGCCCGGACGACACAGCAAGACTCTGTCTCGGGGGTGGGGGGGAAAGAAAACACCCATTAACCATATTAACCAACTACAATGAGAGAGAGCTGGGAGGGAAGGAGCCACAGTCTGCCCCCCGCCGGCAGAGGCTGAAGCAGCTGATCTCACAGGGCTTCCTCCATGCCTCCCACTTCACTACTCAAGGCAGAGCTGTGACTGAGGCACCTGACTTTGGAGCCCCTACTCTCCACACAGCACACACACACGTCTCCACACAGCACACAAACTTCTGTGTCAAGTAGGAAGACTGGCAGCAAGAGCACTGCAGGCTTTCATGTACTGTTCTTCCTATTCATTATTCAACACAAGCCTCTCAACTACCTTTTGTGTGCTGAACATCTCTTATACAGCAGCTAAGAAATGAACGCGGAAGAAAGCAAGAATGGGAAATAAAACCTCTTTAGGTCAATGCCCTGTATTGCCTAAAAGATGATTAGGTGAGCTGAATAGCAGAGCAGAGTAGACAGCTCTGTATATTGGTTTTAGAACCTATCATGTTGTTTGCACATTGTTGGAGTAACTTAAGTACGCCCATTTTCAAATAAATAACTACATTCCAAAGCCAAGTGCCCAGAAATGGAAACCACATTTCCCCAAGGTCAAGATTACAATGCATATGAGGGTGAGGATGGACAGACAGGGCTGCCTCTAGCCCATATGAGACCTTTATGAGAATGAGAAAGAGCCCAGGGCCAGATGCACAGAATGGCACACAGGGCGGCCCGAGGGTAGCAATGCTTTCTCCTCATCCCGCAAGCAGAGTATTCCATGGAAAAAAGAACGAACAGGGAGACAATTTAAAAACTCTAATGTATAAACATTCAATTCTCTGGAATTAGTTTGCATTTTAAATTCCATTTATTACCTGGCTTATATATACCTAGTTCCAAATATAAACCTACAACAGAACCAAACAAACAGACAAAACAACAAACAACCTAAGAAAACAAATTACCTGAGAAACTCGTTGATGCCTTGCTCACTGAAGGAGCCTTTTAGCAGAGCAAATTTCATCTTGCGTGCATTGATGGCGGCCATGGCGGGGTACCCAAACCCTCCAATCCCCAACGCGGTCTCAAGTTCAGACTGGGCTCCAGCTTCTGTCCACAGCCACCTAGAAAACCAGACTGGTTTTTAGGGCAAATATGTCTTTTAAATTGCTTACGATCTAACTAGAAGATCTTAGAGAACAAAAGATCACGCTTCAGATATTTCGTAGAATGACAAATAAAAACAAAAGATGAGTTTCTATATGGATTTTCCCTTTTTACCTGAAATCCCACCAATATCATTTGGGTTATTAAGCATGTTCTCGCGTTCTGTAGGCATCTAATAAACATTTGCTGGACTAATGGAGGAGGAGCAAGGTCATCGAGAGAGGGACAACAGGGGGCGCTAGGTACCTGGGGAAAGCAATGGATACTGAGGACAAGAAGCAAAAAGATAAATAGGAAGGAGGCTGGGCACGGTGGCTCACGCCTGTGATCCCAGCACTTTGGGAGGCCAAGATAGGTGGATCACCTGAGGTCAGGAGTTCGAGACCAGCCTGACCAATATGGTGCAAACCCCATCTCTACTAAAATCACAAAAATTAGCCGGGCATGGTGGCGTGCGCCTGTAGTCCCAGCTACGCAGGAGGCTAAGGCAGGAGGATCTTTTGAACCCGGGAGGCGGAGGTTGCAGTAAGCCGAGATTGTGCCACTGCACTCCACCCTGGGCAAGAGAGTGAGACTCTGTCTCAAAAAAAAAAAAAAAGGATAAAATAGGAAAGAGATACACTGTTTTGAAAATGTGCCTAGATCCAGTCCTTAACTCAGAAGAGGAGAAGGAAACAATTCTATTTCCCCTTTCTCACCCAGCCTTCAAGTTCACAGTAGAATTCAGGTGCACTACTCCTTATGTGTCTGCCTGCTAACCTGGCACTCCAATCACCATGTAAAACATGATTCCTATGAGAAAAATGCATGCTGTGCTGACAGCCCTTCATTCCTTCTTTTCCTCCCATGATAAAGTTTTCACATCCTGAATAAAAACATATAGCAGAGCAGGCCGGGTGCGGTGGCTTACACCTGTAATCCCAGGACTTTGGGAGGTGGAGGCAGGTGGATCACTTGAGGTCAGGAGTTTTGAGACCAGCCTAGACAACATGGTGAAACCCTGACCCTACTAAAAATACAAAAATTAGCTGGGTGTGGTGGCGGGCGCCTATAATCCCAGCTACTTGGGAGGCTGAGGCAGGAGGGAAAAAAAAAAAAAACATATAGCAGAGCAAACATAGAACACAGCTTACAAAAACACGGGGGAACCACTCTCAAGAAAGCCTATAATCAGCTGTTCAGATGACACTCAGACAGTAAGCTCAGTAACTTACCCCCACATTTTCTTTTTGTATTTGTCTGCCAACTTCAGAAGAACTTCCAGATAAGAATTTCTGCCTGCAGCTCCTGATTTAAATAGACAAAGTTTTTTAAAGGTAAAGATAAAGGAGTCCATAAAATTAATCCATTTAGAAAGTATTCTCAGAGCATCTAGCATAGAACAGCTAAGGGAAATCATTTCCGTCTGTCTTACCAGTATCAAGGATATGGGGCAGCACAGCCACAACACAGAGCTGGTGCTCCTCACACGTCCTCTTGGCAATGTCCTCGTTGATAATCTGTGGGACCCAAAAGACAAGGGACAATCAGGAGGCTGCATGATACAACACCTAAAGGTAAGCTGGCAAACAAGACCTTCGCACCGTCACTTTCATTGAAAACATTTCTCCCACGACTACTTCCTCGTATGGAAACACCTGGAGGCATGTTCTCTAAGAGGAGATTTTTCTGCTACTGATTCTTAAGCCTGTGGAAGCTGTGGTGGTGGAGGTGGGGTGATTAGCACACATACAAACATCTCTGAAATCGCAATGCCTGGACACAGCCTGGCTCTGCCACTTACTTGTTTAAATAGATTATACTTACATGTATTATATGTCTTATATGTTTATACACACTTGAGGCTCTGTGCCTCAATTTCCCCATATATAAAATGGAGATTAAAAACAGTATCTACCTCTCAGTGTTCATGTGAGAATTAAATGAAAACAAAACAAAACAAAACAAAACTATACAAAGACACCAGAACGGTGCCTGTTACATGATTAGTACTTGATAAATGTTCTATTACTTTGAGAATGATAAGCAAGAGTGATTGAATACACTCTATCTTTAAGAAGCTCGTATTTCTGTTCAGTGTAATTATTCTAATGCTAAAAGTTATGAAAAGCAATTTATCAGACTTTTTTTCCATTTCAAAGTATAGAAACCACTTTAAAGAGAGTATCTTTAAGGGCATAAAATGAACAGTGTGTCACACTGCTTTAACATTCCTCACCATCAGCTAAAAAAGCTTTCTGGACTACAAGCAGTTGAAGTGGTTTACCTCAAGCAGCTCAGGAGGTGGGGCGTTATCAGAAAACAAATCAAGGGCCCGGGACACGATGTCGGATCTTGTCCGCCCACCGTCATAATCCACAGGAGACTCGCCTTTCTGAAATATCTTGATTGTAGGAAATCCTCTAATCTATTAAAAAAAGGTCAGAGGATAAAATCCAATTAACACTTAATGCAAAATAACACAATCTTTACAGTTTCTAAAACCACCTTATAGGTAATTTTTTTTTTTTTTTTTTGAAGCAGTCTCACTCTGTTGCCCAGGCTGGAGAGCACAGGTGCAATCTCAGCTCACTGCAACCTCTGCCTCCTGGGTTCAAGCAATTCTCCTACTTCAGCCTCCTGAGTAGCTGGGACTGCAGGCACACACCACCACACCCGGCTAATATTTGTATTTTTAATAGAGACGGGGTTTCACCATGTTGGCCAGGCTGGTTTTGAAATCCTGGCCTCAAGTGATCCTTGGCCTCCCAAAGTGTTGGGATTACAGGTGTGAGCCACCACTCTGGCCTTATAGGTAATTTAATGTAACAAAACTGTTCTCCAGACTGCACAGATTTCAAAGGAATGACTCACAGAGGTCAATTATCAATCAGGGAGTTTTAACAGTCTGTGAAGTTTAGCCAATCATATTCAAGCCCTGGTATATAATTAACACAAAGTACCTGCCCTAGAACAAATGGACCAACTCACAACAGCCATATGAGCAACTTGAATAAGTCTGGGCAAGCTGAAACCTCACATTAAGTATATACCAGAAGCAGTGTGACATTAGGGGGAAAAGTTGACAGTCCTGAGTTTCAGACTTGTTAGTTATGACAATAAAGTGACTTTATCTCTTCACTTACAAAATGGTTTAAACATCTCCTTTACTACCTCATAGGGAGGCCTGGAGTATTGGAAGAAGTAACGAAACACCATGTATTTCACAATGAAATGAGCCTTATAAGTATACTCACCCCGTATCGGGAGGCCAGAACCTGATTGACTGTAGCATCCACAGCTGCCAGTTTCACTTTTCCTTTCGTCTGCTCTTTTACTTCTGAAGCTGCGGCAGCCCACTCTGGCTCTAGGCTATAGAAAAATATTCGTTTTGTTTTGTTTCTTTGAGACACAGTCTCTCTCTGTTGCCCAGGCTGGAGTGCAGTGGTGCAATCATGGCTCCCTGCAGCCTCAATCTCCTGGGCTCAGGTGATCTCATTTCAGCCTCCAACATAGCTGGGACTACAGGTGTGTGCCACCACCCACTGTTAATTTCTACATTTTTAGTAGAGATAGGGTTTCCCCATGTTGCCCAGGCTGGTCTCAAACTCCTGGCCTCAAGTGATCCACCTCACCAGGCCAAATACTTGCATTTTAACTTGCAGCCCAAACACCTTTCTTTTCTTTTCTTTTTTTTTTTAAGACAGAGTCTCCTTCTATTATCCAGGATGGAGCGCAGTGGTGTGAGCTTGGCTCACTGTAGCCTCTGCCTCCCACAATCAAGAGATTCTTGCACCTCAACCTCCCAAGTAGCTGGGACTACAGGCACACGCCACCACACCCAGCCAATTTTTTTGTATTTTTAGTAGACATGGGGTTTTGCTATGTTGCCCAGGCTGGTCTCAAAGTCCTGACCTCAAGTGATCCGCCTGCCTCGGCCTCCCAAAGAGCTAGGATTACAGGTGTGAGCCACCATGCCTAGCCTATACTTTTTAACTGATCTGTGCATTTCTGCCCAATCCCCAATTATGTCACACCTAGAAAACATTTTGTGTGTGGCTTTACTAAAGATACAATGCTACCCTTCACATGAGCTTCCCATTCCACCACTGCCCCTAAATCCAGACATGAGCCAGTCCCTTGTTAATCTTTGGCAATAGGAGAGTGGAAGCTCTTGGCGCTAATGTCAATGTTTAATATTCACTTAGAGTCAGAGTTTTGCTGGAAGAGATCTTAGTGGTGATCTATTATCTACTTCAGCTCTTTCAAAATAAGCTAATGAATGTACTGAAAACACTGTGAATGAACAGACTACTTAGTAGAAGGCACTTACTTTTTGCAGTGTCCACACCAAGGAGCATAGAACTCAACCATCCAAACATCTTCACTGTCCAGAACATTCTTATCAAAGCTGTCGTCTGTCAGCTCAATCACATCCTTCTTACTTGAACTATCACTTCTGCCCTGTCATTTATGACATTAAACATCAAACAATTGGGCCAAGAAGAACACTTTTCCTGTTTTAAATAATAACACTACTGCTACATCTTAACAAAGTTTTAGGGTTTTTCTTTAGTGAATAAAATAGTGAAAACGGTTGTATTCAAATTGGGTACATTCCTCAGCACTGTAATTTTTGCTTGGCAAATAGTCTTTTACTTTCAAGTAATTATCAATACATTCAGTACAACACATAACCTGTACCTGAATGCTGTCACCAGCTATTTTTAGAGAGAAACCTCAACATGGCTCAAAAAACCACCTGAACAACACTGTTCTAATTCAGACTCAAGTACAGCTGCTGCTTCATCCTAGGATGTTATGTTACATCTTTCATAGACAAAGTCCCTACCAGTCAACAGAGCTAAAAATAACACTTAATCCTTTTCTTTTTTCGAAGAATGTTCTTCAGTACTAAATCTAAGAAGCAGTCAGCATTGCTTTCTGTTGCCAGGCAGGGTGCAGGGGGCCAGGCAACTATGCTCATTAAATGTCTAAGTTTAAAATAAAAGGCAAGAGCATGAAATCTCTGGGTAAGCTCTGAGCCTGTATAAAGAAGCTAGTGTAACTGGTCTCCTAAAAGTAAAAGCCCATTTAATATTGATAGATCTTCAAGTTTGTCTTTTCACAAGAACATCAGTGTAAGCTTCACATTTCACATAAGGGCATCTAAAACACCAATCTGCTCCTCTCTCTCTCTCTTCTTCCCTATCCATTTGTGTAGAATTTTCCATGGATTTGGGGCTGACTGCCACAGATACAGGCCAAGAGGTAATCCAATCTCATCACGGTTTGCCAAAGCCTACCTAGAGGAAAACCCGTCCATCCCATCCCCACTCTGGACCTACAAGTGCCATGGGATGCCAGCACGTGGCTCCTGGGCCTGGTACTTGGACTGCAGGTGTGGCAAGAGGCCCTGGGACTGACTGGCTTTGGCAACAGCAATTCTGAGGAGGCCAAATGAGCAGGCTGGAGGGCTGGTTCCCTCTGGGATCGGTGGATCCAATCCTCTATTATTCTTTAATTGAGAGTTCACCACTTTAACATACTGTTAAAAAACAACTATCTTATACAAGGTATCCACTCTGGCTTCAAAATTATGACACATTAAAAACTGACATTTTATGGTCTTACTTGTTTTCCAGAACTGTATCCTCCGCTCCGTCCCCCGAGGCGATCCTTCACGAGCTGGCGCAGAGCACTCAGCGCAGCATCTACAATGGCTTCACCAGTTCTGCCACCTACAGGAGACGGAAGGTAGGCGGTCCTCAGCCCGGCCTTCAGCAAGTGCCTCATCTGGCCCGGCCCAAGACTGTGTCTTTACCTCACTGTCGGCTTCACCAGGTGTGACACAGTTCTGACACGTGTATCTCTGACAGAACACACTTTCTCCCCACAATGCATTTTGCACTAAACTTAACACTTGGAAAACCAATTCCTTTTCCTTTTTTATTTATTATTATTATTTTTTGAGATGGAGTCTCACCCTGTTGCCCAGGCTGGAGTACAGTGGCACCATCTCAGGTCACTGCAACCTCCGCCTCCCGGGTTCGAGTGATTTCTGGCTAATTTTTGTATTTTTAGTAGAGACAGGATTTCACCATGTCGGCCAGGCTGGTCACAAACTCCTGACCTCAAGTGATCCGCCCACCTCAGCCTCTCAAAGTGCTGGGATCACAAGTGTGAGCCACCGTGTCCAGCCCGATTTCTCTTCTTAAGTTTTACGTAGTGTGAACGAAAACTCCCTGCTCAAACACCATCTCCTAATGAGAATAACTCACAAATGTTTACCGAACATGAACATGGATGAATAAGAAGCTTAATATCTAGCTGAGAAAGCAGGGGAATTTCCCAAATAAAAAAGGAACAATTTCTGTGAGATACCAGATAGAAAAGATGGAAAAAGTAGGTATGAGGTGTCTTTAAAGCCAAGTAACTGGAAACCATTCCAGGCTTCTTTTTTTCTATCTTGCTTGAAACAGTTAAGCTGAACTTAATCCTAATATAAGTAACAAATCTGCATTAAAACTCAAAGAGGCAAGATGATAATAGTCTTTGGAAGTTCACCAAAAACTTATTTGCTCAAGACAGTCAGGGGCTATTAACTAACACAGAAGTACTGGAATAACATATGCCATCTGCTTTCTTCAGTTTAAAGGCAAAACTAGATCTAATAGAATCTCTTTAGAAAGTTCATTTTCTGGCCAGCTGTGGTGGCTCACGCCTGGGATCTCAGCACTTTGGGAGGCAGAGGCACGTGGAACACCTGAGGTCAGGAGTTCAAGACCATCCTGCCCAACATGGTGAAACCCTGTCTCTACTAAAAACACAAAAATTAGCTGGGCGTGGTGGTGGACATCTATAATCCCAGCTACTCAGGAGGCTGAGGCAGGAGAATCACCTGAACCCAGGAGACGGAGGCTGCAGTGAGCTGACATCGCGCCACTGCACTCCAGCCTGGGTGACAGAACGAGACTCTGTGTCAAGAAAAAAAAAAAAAATCTTTCTTTTTTTTTTTTTTTTTTTTTAGAGTTTTCTCAAACTCCTGTACTCAAGTGATCCTCCCACCTCAGCCTCCCAAAGTGCTGGGATTAGAGATCTAAGGTGTGGCAGCCGGCCTTTTTTTCTGCCCAGGAAGAGAAACTTTTGAGAACACACCAGACCTGACACAAGAAACAAAATATAGGCCGGGTGCGGTGGCTCACGCCTGTAATCCCAGCACTTTGGGAGGCCGAGGCAGGCGGATCATGAGGTCAAGAGTTCGAGAGCAGCCTGACCAACATGGTGAAACCCCATCTCTACTAAAAATACAACAATTAGCCGGGTGTAGTGGTGCATGTCTGTAATCCCAGCTACTCAGGAGGCTGAGGCAGGAGAATTGCTTGAACCCAGGAGGCGGAGGTTGCAGTGAGCCGAGATAGCACCACTGCACTCCAGCCTGGGCAACAGAGTGAGACTCCATCTCGAACAAAACAAAACAAAAATACCCACAAAATATATTACAGCAACTCTCAGCATCTATTCAGATAATCTTGCACTGTATCGCTGGCTGAGCCTACCAAGTATGTCACTTGATAACACAGAAGGGCAAGGCCTCAACATGAAACAGCCTCTGCTCCTTATCTATGTCAGGTATTTCCGTCATCTGAACCACTGCCCCTTCCCCGAGTCTTTATCTGGACATATGCCAAATCATGAAGTATACTAGGAAAAAAACTTTTCAGCGTTTTGGGCCATACTGTCTATTGCAACTACTCAATTCTGTTGTTCCAGTGCAAAAGGAGCCAGAGACAATATGTTGACAAACAGGCAGGGCTGTGTTCCAATAAACTAAATTTATAAAAACAGCAGCAGACTGACTGCACTAAAAACATGTGCATTTTCATAAGTGAGGAAAACTAAAACAAATTATTATTCAAAGGCAGAAAAGCAGGTGTTTACTCAGGGGAAAAAAAAGTCTCTCCCTAGAACTTTGGAGCTGGGGAGCCTAGCAGAGACAACGTGTCCAAGGCCACATCTTCATCTTCAGACGAAGACGAAGACGAAGATGAGCCCTCCAGCCTCGAGATTTGCCAACGACACATATTTGCCAAGTATTTGTCTCATATGCTTTATGTGTACTATTTCAATTAAGCTTCTGGTACCTTAAAATAGGTTTGCACATCCCCATTATACAGAGAAGCAAGACACTAAGTACTGTTTAGTTACGACGCTGGAGTATGGAGAGGCTAGCAGCCAGGCAGCCAGGATGGGCTGCCTTCCCAGCTCACACACGACAGATTCTGTACCCCTCACCCCTACCTTCCCTGCCTTCTATTAGCTGGACTCAGGCAAGTCACCGATGACAGACAACTCTTTTACTACGATGTTGATGCTGCCACCCAACCCATGAGCTGATACTGCTCACATAAAGCAAAACCTAAGATGACAAAGTTCAGTCACTCATATGTTCCATATAAATCTTCAACAAAAACCTTTACCAAATTAGTCATAATTTCAGCTTCAAACAAATTATGCCCAATACTTTTACTAGCACTATGGATCTGGCCCAACCCAGCAACTCTGATTATCTTAAATAGAATAATCTGTTTGTGATATCTTTTTTTTTTTTTTTTTTTGAGACGGAGTCTCGCTCTGTCGCCTAGGCTGGAGTACAATCTCGGCTCACTGCAAGCTCCGCCTTCCGGGTTCACGCCATTCTCCTGCCTCAGCCTCCAGAGTAGCTGGGACTACAGTCACCCACCACCGTGCCCGGCTAATTTTTTGTATTTTTAGTAGAGACAGGGTTTCACCGTGTTAGCCAGGATGGTCTCGATCTCCTGACCTCGTGATCCGCCCGTCTTGGCCTCCCAAAGTGCTGGGATTACAGGCATGAGCCATCATGCCCAGCCCGTTTGTGATATCTTAATTAAATAACAAGACAATTCTCTAAGAGTGTGGTGCCTGTAATCCCAGCTACTTGGGAGGCTGAAGTAGGAGGACTGCCTGAGCCTAGGAATTTGAGTCCAGGCTGGGCAACACAGCAAGACTCTGTCTCTTAAAAAAAAAAAAAAAAGAAAAGAAAAAAAGAATAGTGTGGCTGAAATAACATTTAGTCTTGGGAGGGTGAAACCTGAATTCTTTCTTTAGTTGCCTCAGTGGCTCACAGCAGACACTAACAATTTACTTATCTACAAAACAGAATTTGTGGTATCCATTTATTATTGACAGTTTAGGAGACTAAGACTCTCAAATTACAGTCTCCTTTTCCATAGTGTTATGTTAGACCCTTTTCCTACAGTAAAGGGAAGAGAGATTAGAGCAAGAAAATACATGTAGATCTTTATTAAATACAAGTGACTGTAATGAGAAAGACAACAGGGTAGCACAGAACACTATTTTCTATCATTGCCAATGTAGCATAGACCTAAGCAAGCGTTAAGTGATGAGACAAACCTGTGTGACACATATTTCATCTTCAGAATGACTCGGAGGGTATAGGAATCACTGTGTACCATTTATAGATAATTCAGGTACAATGAGGTTGAGAACCTTGCAGGTAGAGCAGGTTCTCAAGCTTGTTAAAGAACAGTAGGTTCTTGTCTACCAGGGGAATGAAGTAGCTAGGAAAAGTCCTTACCTTGGTAATCTTCTGGTCTGTTTTTGTTGGATCCAAAAATCTTAATGGTAGGAAATCCCTGAACACCATACTGACCTCCTAGGGAATGATGCTTATCTGCATCAACTGCACCAACTTTGACAACATCCTGTGGAAATGTAAAAGAAATAACAATTTTTCCTTCCGCTAAAGCAGACTCCACAAGAACTCATTATCTGCTTCACATAGACTCAGAAAAAGGTAATAAAGCACAGGGTGCAGTTTGCAATCAGTCAATAAGGGCTTTAGCCTTGAACACCAGAAGAGAATCTAAATGGAATGATGGGGGAAATCAAAGCCCATGGAGGGAACTCTGCAGCTCACAGAATTGGCAGGGCTGAGAGTAACTGTCATTTATCTGGGAAAAACAATAAACAAAAACAGGCAATGTAAACATTTAAATGTGTATTATCCCCTTGTTCTCAGTATGATTTTGACAACAGAACCAGTATTTTCAACTCTGATATGCAAACTAGCTTCCCATTGAACATTAAACCATCTGCATACTTATTACTTAAACATACACAGGTGAATATGGACATCTTAGAAACTTACTGTAAAAAAAAGTTTTGTAAGCCTTTTGCATTCCTAAGAAACTTACTTTTAATGCAGTTGCTGCTTTCTTCCATTCTGGTGTTAATCTTTGACAGTGACCACACCTTTTGGGGGAAGACAACACAAAGCAACCATTAAAGCCTTTGATTCTCAATTCAAAAAATTCAAAAATTCAATTAAAAAACCCCATCAATGGTCTATTGAATGAGATGCCTGCAAAGAGGACAAGCACAAATAAAACAGGATCAAGGCCGGGCACGGTGTCTCACGCCTGTAATCTCCAGTACTTTGGGAGGCCGAGGAGGGAGGATCACTTGAGGTCAGGAGTTTGAGACCAGCCTGGCTAACATGGTGAAACCCCGTCTCTAATAAAAATACAAAAATTAGCCAGGCGTGGTGGTGCACGCTTGTAATCCTAGCTACTGGGGAGGCTGAGGCACAAGAATCACGTGAACCCAGGAGGCAGAGGTTGCAAGAGCTGAGATCATGCCGCTACACTCCAGCCTGGGCAACAGAGTGAGATTCTGTCTCAAAAAATAAAAATAAAAATAAATAAGTAAAATAGGATCAGCAACCTGGATGAACTCACCATTTTATTACTTACAACAATCACTTTTCATATCATCCTAATAAAAAAGCTTCCAGCCAGGTGCAGTGGCTCACGCCTGACTTTGGGAGGCCAAGGCAGGCAGATCACTTGAACTCAGGAGTTAAGACCAGCCTGGCCAACATGGTGACACCCTGTCTCTACTAAAAATACAAAAATTAGCTGGGCATGGTGGCACACACCTGTAATCTTAGCTATTGGGGAGGCTGAGGGAGGGGAATCGCTTGAACTCGGGAAACGGAGGTTGCAGTGAGCTGAGATCGTGCCACTGCACTCCAGCCCGGGCAACACAGCAAGACTCTGTCCCCCACCCAAAAAAAAAAAAAAAAGCTTCCGAATTACTGCTCAATTAAATCACATTTAAACTCTATAATTTACAACTCTACACCCTCAACAAGCCCTTTAGAATCTATCTGGTCCAATGTGCTTCACTGTGTGGAGCTGAAAGCCTAGGCACGATGCAGATTCTTGGGGTCCACAAACCCAAACTTCCTAGTGGAAGAAGTGCATTTTATTAAGTTCTGCTAGTGATTCTTAAACCTACTGGGGTTTGATAGTCTCTAGTCCAACTTTTTAATTTTATATATGAAGTATCTGGCCCAGATCAACTATGCCTATATCTCAATACTTTCTGGGTCCCGCAAATTGCTTCTGGACTTAGAAACACATGCATAAACCCACGTTAGTGAGCCTAACAAGCCGAAAAGCATGACGTGACACCACAAGATGGCGATGTGAGTGAATGACTGAGGTGGGGGGAGGCAGGGAAAGCGGAAGAGAGTGGGGAGAGGAGGAGAGAAGAGAACACAAGGAAAAACAACCTTAACCTTGCAGGTACTATTATTGGGAAATACAACACAGAAAAGCGCTTTTAAAAAATTACATGTGCGTAAACCTATTAGCCCTTACCACTCATTGAGGTTGTAGGTAGCTATACTGTTTATTTTTATTGCTGTGTAACATTCACTGTATGCAGACACCATAGTTTATCCATTGGTGATTTAATGCATTTTTAAAAACAAAGTAAATTCTCTTCTAATTAGGTCTCTAAGAACCAAATGCACAAATGCTAGGTGCCAGCACCATGATGAAAACACTTATAGATGACTTCATTTAATCAGCATGAAGCTGAGGGCAGGTCCTCTTGTTATTTCATTTTACAGATGATGGAATTGATGTTGAGAAGAAATTTACCCAATATCACAGCCATCCAGTGTCAGAGCTGCCTGACAAGTTT
Organism: Homo sapiens; assembly: GCF_000001405.40. NCBI lineage: Eukaryota > Metazoa > Chordata > Mammalia > Primates > Hominidae > Homo > Homo sapiens. The sequence goes on from NC_000002.12 coordinate 10,799,498, forward strand.
TTGATTCCAAACACTACAATCATACAGGTAGAAGTCGTAATTATTATGTAACTGAGTATTGGGGCCTAAACTCAATCCCAGTATCTGAAGTTAGGGTCTATCGGGGGAATGTCCTGAAATGCTACTTCTACATATTTACATACAGTATGTTTTGTTGTTTAGGTGAGATACTAAAAAATTCAGAAGTCAGATTTTTACAGGGTTTTGTGCCTCTTTAATTTCAGTTTAAGAAAGGAGGACTAAATTCAGAGACTGTCAGAGTTCATCCTCTCTTCTATTTGATCTGCACATACATCATAATGCCACATACATATAAATATGGCATACAGTCTACCCAGGGGTTCTGCAACTGGGGTCCAGACTCCCAAAGGGCTGGTGGATAAAAATTTTGGGAATCCCTTTTAGGAAAAAAAAGAAAAAAAAAAAAAAAGAATAAATCTGAAGCCAAGGTGGCCTTTTAGGAAAAATTTAGGGGAGGGAGTCTATGAATTTGGATGAAAAAAAAGTCTTTATTTTCACTAATCTGTAATCGAAATTTAGAATTTCCTTACGAATGTAAACAACACTCCACAGTCAATTATTGTGACTTTATCATGAATGAAAATCACAGCTGTTTTCATGATCGCCACTATAGTTGCTGCAGGTATCTTCAAACATCATTTATGCCCATCACTATTCAGAATTATTGCAGCTGTCAAGCCTGCTGCTGGATCTTGGTACCGGTTTAGCATCTCTATTCTAAAAACCCACAACCTGAAATGTTCCAAAATCCAAAACTTTCTGAGCGACAACATGACACTCACAGGAAACAGTCACTGGAGCATTTCAGATTTTGTATTCTCAGATTACGGATGCTCTACAGCTAAGTATTATGCAAATCTTCCAAAATCTGACAAAATCCAAAATCAGAAACACTTCTGGTCCCAAGCATTTCAGATAAGAGATGTTCAACCTGTACTTACTGTTCTTGTAAAGTACTACATTAACATCAAAATTTTAATATTTCAATAATCATATTTCCATACTTTAGGTTTTTTTTTGCGATTCTATAAGCTTTATTTAAACGTGAAGGTTTGATTTTGATTTTTTTTTTTAAAGGAGATCTTTTTTTTTTTCTTTTTTTGAGACAGGCTCTCACTGTTGCCCAGGCTGGAGTGCAGTGGCACAATCACAGCTCACTGCAGCTTCTACCTCACAGGCTCAGGTGATCTTCCCACCTCAGCCTCCTGAGTAGCTGGGACCACAAGTACACGGCACCACGTCTGGGTAATTTGTTTCTTTTCTTTTTATTTTCGTAGCGATAGGGTCTTGCCACATTGCCCAAGCTGGCCTCGAACTCTGGTGCTCAAGCAATTTACCCACCGTGGTCTCCCAAATTGCTGAAATTATAATCGTGAGCCATCATGCCTGACCGTAAAAGTTTTATTATAAGAATCCAAGGCCTTCACCAAGATGCTAAAGGAATCCAAGCACAAAAGGAAGTTAAAAAGCACCTGCCTGACCCAGTGCAGTGGCTCACAGCTGTAATCCCAGCACTTTGCGAGGCCGAGACAGGCGAATTGCTTGAGCCCTGGAGTTAGAGACCAGCTTGGACAACATGGTGAAATTCCGTCTCTATAAAAAATACAAAAATTAGCAGGGCGTGGTGGTACATGCCTGTAGTACCAGTGCTGGGGAGGCTGAGGTGGGAGGATTACCTGAGCCTGAGAAATCAAGGCTGTAGTGAGCCGTGATCATGCTGCTGCACTCTAGCCTGGGAGAAAGTGAGACCCTGTCTCTCAAAAAAAGCGCTTGCTCTAATCAGACATTCAGTCACCCAAACACCACAAAGTAAAACTCTGCCAGTGTAATAATGATTAACTAGTGGATCTAGATCCTGCCTTCTCAATTATGCTGTCTTGCAGAGTTTTCTCTTGTATGGTCGCTCTCAGAAACAAGGTAAATTACCTATGCCATATATGATAAGCTTGTAAAAACCACATACAGAGACGTTTAACAATACAACAGTTTGTACAATTACTATTTATGTATTTGCTAGTATAATTGAGCTAATCCACACAGAATTAGCATTTGGACTGAACACATATATACCAGAGCCTTTAAAACAGTAAAGGCATTAGATGGACAGGACGCACAATGTGGCAACATCCACTTTGAAAATAGAGCGTTTTTACCTCCATTTGCTACACTGAGCATGAAGTAAAATGGTCCATGAGGACTGGTGGTTAGTTTCTAAAACTTAGTTTCAAAGAAAAAAGTTAAAGTGAGAAAGGAAAAAGTTTCATCAGGCATACCCTAAAATGTACCCATCAGGTTCTAATATCCCTCACTTAAGCTTACAAAGCCTTGTTCACATGTCAAAGGACTCCTTGGGATTTCAGATAACCACACAGTTCTTCACAGACACACAGCTGGCTAGGGTTTGGTTCTCCTCTCAGGATACTTGTGGCCTGCTGGTTTACAGCAGAGACAGCCTCATATACATCTTGCACAGTTTCCACTCTTCTATTTGGTGTTTTTTTGCATTAAATGCTTTAATCACACAAATAACTAGTGCAATGTTGTACTTTTGACTGTATATAATTTTGTGCTGTTAGTTTCAATGGTGATTACATTTTTACCCCACAAGGGTTCTTCCAGCATTGAATGTAAGGTAAGAAAAGAATTTTTAAATTAAACCAGATTTTCTAACTACATTTTTTCAGGAAATAATTCTCTTCAAGAAACAGAGTGAAGTTAATCACTGGCCCCTCCATTTTCTTTGCTCAAGATTCCTTCCTCATAAAAGCAGTTTTCCTTCCACACGCATCACCTCATCAAAAGACAGATCTTCCTTAACAACAGACTAGATACTTTGCATTTCCCATTTCCCTCTTCTCTACTTCTTTTAAACAAACACTAAGCTAAACTAGATGTCTTAATAAAATCAGATTTTTATACAGCGTTTTCTCCAATTTCAGAAAGTACTATAAATAATCTACAACTATTTTATAATACTTACCATGGAGCATAGAATTCTACAAGCCACAAACTATCACTCTGAATAACTTCTCGGTTGAAATTCGATGGAGTTAATTCGATCACATCATCACTAGAGGAATACAGACCATTCACTGCCAGAAAGAAGGTACAGCTCACCAGACCTGAAGATAAAAACAAAAGTGCACCATTAACAGCACTGTTCATGCTTTGACTGGAAACCCTGGGGAACCAGAGTCCTCTTTAACTGACCAGGGCCCTTCACACAGGAGGACGGCCTAGCTCTGGCCCCTCTGCCCTTCCTGCTGCAGTTGGAGCCCCTGGAATTTCACTCCCATTGCTGCAACGCTGAGCAAGAAAGGAACGGACGGTCCCCACTCCCACTCCTTGGGCTGCACTGGAAAAAGGCTGAAGCATTATTCTTAGTGGCTTTCATGTATCAACGTCTTTGTTCTTTACAACCGCTCCATGAGGCAGTACTACTGTCATTTTATGGCATGGACGCTGAAAAATTGGGAGGTCACTTCTGCCTGTGTAACCCTGGGCAATCACGTAGTAATCATTCCTCATGTTATTCAGTTGCAATTATTAGCACATTATCTTTATTCAAATATATTTTTGAAGGGAAAATAATTATTGTCTCTTCCACTAGATTGTGACTCTTTCAAGGGCAATGGTAATTTATTTATTTATATTTTGAGACGGAGTTTCGCTCTTGTTGCCCAGGCTGGAGTGCAATGGCATGATCTTGGCTCACCACAACCTCCGCCTCCCAGGTTCAAGCAATTCTCCTGCTTCAGCCTCCCAAGTAGCTGGGATTACAGGCATGTGCCATCACGCCCGGCTAATTTTGTATTTTTAATAGAGACAGGGTTTCTCCATGTTGGTCAGGCTGGTCTCGAACTCCTGACCTCAGGTGATCCGCCTGCCTCGGCCTCCCAAAGTGCTGGGATTACAGGCATGAGCCATGGCGCCCAGCCAATGTTTATTTTTATAAATAGTTTTATTTCTCTTAATACTATCCATAACACATTATCAGAAACACTGTTCGTGTGAACAACCTTATAAAGACAGGATACAGTGTCGACTGTATTGCTGACCACACAGTTCTGCCACATTGTGGATCAAGAGCATTTTCATTAGCAACTCTGGAAACTTACATGCAATTTACAACAATAATTTAGGAAAACAAATTCTGAACTTACTAGTATCTTAAGAACCCAAAAGTTCTCTGAAATGGCATTACTATCAAAATTTCACCTTTTAAATTTACATATACAGTCACATCCACAGGGTCAAGGAGAGAACACATATATGAGGGTGGTCCTGTGGATTATAATGGAGCTTAAAAAATCCTATCACCTTGTGATGCCTTGATAACTCTGACCCTGAGTAGACCTAGGCTAATGTGCGTGTTTGTGTCCTAGTTTTTGTGTTTTTTTTTTTTTTTGAGACAGAGTCTTGCTCTGTCACCCAGGCTGGAGTGCATTGGCGCTATCTCGGCTCACTGCAAGCTCTGCCACCCGGGTTCACGCCATTCTCCTGCCTCAACCTCCTGAGTAACCGGGACTACAGGCGCCTGCCACCACGCCTGGCTAATTTTTTGTATTTTTAGTAGAGATGGGGTTTCACTGTGTTAGCCAGGATGGTCTCGATCTCCTGACCTTGTGATCCGCCCGCCTCGGCCTCCCAAAGTGCTGGGATTACAGGCGTGAGCCACCGTGCCCGGCCCTGTGTCCTAGTTTTTGACAAAAAAGTTTAAAAAACTAAAACAAACTTTAAAAACGAAAAAAACCTACGTTTTCTTCTAGGGTTTTTATGGTTTTAGGTCTAACGTTTAAGTCTTTAATCCATCTTGAATTGATTTTTGTATAAGGTGTAAGGAAGGGATCCAGTTTCAGCTTTCTACATATGGCTAGGCAGTTTTCCCAGCACCATTTATTAAATAGGGATTCCTTTCCCCATTGCTTGTTTTTCTCAGGTTTGTCAAAGATCAGATAGTTGTAGACAGGCAGCGTTATTTCTGAGGGCTCTGTTCTGTTCCATTGATCTATATCTCTGTTTTGGTACCAGTACCATGCTGTTTTGGTTACTGTAGCCTTGTAGTATAGTTTGAAGTCAGGTAGTGTGATGCCTCCAGCTTTGTTCTTTTGGCTTAGGATTGCTTTGGCGATGCGGGCTCTTTTTTGGTTCCATATGAACTTTAAAGTAGTTTTTTCCAATTCTGTGAAGAAAGTCATTGGTAGCTTTATGGGGATGGCATTGAATCTGTAAATTACCTTGGGCAGTATGGCCATTTTCACGATATTGATTCTTCCTACCCATGAGCATGGAATGTTCTTCCATTTGTTTGTATCCTCTTTTATTTCCTTGAGCAGTGGTTTGTAGTTCTCCTTGAAGAGGTCCTTCACATCCCTTGTAAGTTGGATTCCTAGGTATTTTATTCTCTTTGAAGCAATTGTGAATGGGAGTTCACTCATGATTTGGCTCTCTGTCTGTTGTTGGTGTATAAGAATGCTTGTGATTTTTGTACATTGATTTTGTATCCAAAAGCAATGGCAACAAAAGACAAAATTGACAAATGGATCTAATTAAACTAAAGAGCTTCTGCACAGCAAAAGAAACTACCATCAGAGTGAACAGGCAACCTACAAAATGGGAGAAAATTTTCGCAACCTACTCATCTGACAAAGGGCTAATATCCAGAATCTACAATGAACTCAGACAAATTTACAAGAAAAAAACAAACAACCCCATCAAAAAGTGGGCGAAGGACATGAACAGACACTTCTCAAAAGAAGACATTTATGCAGCCAAAAAACACATGAAAAAATGCTCATCATCACTGGCCATCAGAGAAATGCAAATCAAAACCACAATGAGATACCATCTCACACCAGTTAGAATGGCAATCATTAAAAAGTCAGGAAACAACAGGTGCTGGAGAGGATGTGGAGAAATAGGAACACTTTTACACTGTTGGTGGGACTGTAAACTAGTTCAACCATTGTGGAAGTCAGTGTGGCGATTCCTCAGGGATCTAGAACTGGAAATACCATTTGACCCAACCATCCCATTACTGGGTATATACCCAAAGGACTATAAATCATGCTGCTATAAAGACACATGCACATGTATGTTTATTGCGGCATTATTCACAATAGCAAAGACTTGGAACCAACCCAAATGTCCAACAATGATAGACTGGATTAAGAAAATGTGGCACATATACAGCATGGAATACTATGCAGCCATAAAAAATGATGAGTTCATGTCCTTTGTAGGGACATGGATGAAATTGGAAATCATCATTCTCAGTAAACTATTGCAAGAACAAAAAACCAAACACCGCATATTCTCACTCATAGGTGGGAATTGAACAATGAGATCACATGGACACAGGAAGGGGAATATCACACTCTGGGGACTGTTGTGGGGTGGGGGGAGGGGGGAGGGATAGCATCGGGAGATATACCTAATGCTAGATGAGGAGTTAGTGGGTGCAGTGCACCAGCATGGCACATGTACCCTAAAACTTAAAGTATAATTAAAAAAAAAAAAAAAAAAACGAAAAAAACCTTACAGAATACGGATATAAAAGAAAATACTGGCCAGGTGCTATGGGTCATGCTTGTAATCCCAGCACTTTGGGAGGCCAAGGCAGGCAGATCGCTTGAGCTCAGGAATTCAAGACCAGCCTGGGCAACATAGTGAGACCCCCTCTCTAAAAAAAGTACAAAAATTAGCCAGGCATGGTGGTGCATGCCTATAGTCCTAGCTACTCGAGAGGCTGAGGTGGGAGGATCACTGAGCCCAGGGAGGTCGAGGCTACGGGTGCAGTGGGCTGTGATGCACCACTCACTCCAGCCTGATAGGGCAAGACCTTGTCTCAAAAAAAAAAAAAAAAGAGAGAAAATATTTTTGTACTGCTGTTTTGTATAATGCGTTTTAAGGTAAGTGTTTTTACAAGAGCCAAAAAGTTAAAAAAAAAAAATTAAGTTTAGAAAGTAAAATGTTGACCAGATGCCATGGCTCACACCTATAATCCCAACACTTTGGAGGCCAAAGTGGGAGGACTGCTTGAGGCCAGCAGTTCAAAACCAGGCTGGCCAACACAGAATAGCAAAACCACATCTCCTAAAAAATAAAGACAGAAAGAAAGAAAGAAAGAAAAACGTTACAGTAAATTAAGGTTAATCTATTATCCAAGAAATAAAATTTTTAGAGCAACCCCCAGTCATGCAAGCTGCATTCACGGTAAATGTCCTGTACAGGTGTACTATTTTAATCTTTTATATCATATTTTTACTGCACCCTTTCTATGTTTAGATACACAAATGCTTGCCATTGTGTTACAACTGCATACAATATTCAGTACAGTAACATGCCGAACAGATTTATAACCTAAGAGAAATAAGCTATACCATGTAGCCTAGGTTTTTAGTAAGTTATGCCATCTAGGTTTGTATTAAGTACACACTGATGTTATTCACAATGAAGAAATCGTCTGATACAATAGCAATTAAAGAAATTTCTATTCCTGTCTTTTCAGCATCTCTGAAGTTGATCATAATTCAGATCACGTCTCTAATGTTAAGCAACACATGACAATATACAAAAATTTGCTGATTACCTCTAGAACAAGGTAAATAATGGAATATCCTCAGACTATTCTTGACTTCAACAAGGTTTTCCTATTTGCATCATGCTGGCTTTTGGATTGAAATAAATACACTTTTTAATTTTTTTTGAGAGAGGGTCTTGATCTGTCACCCAGACTGGAGTGCAATGGTGCAAACACAGCTCCCTGCAGCAGCCCTGACCTCCTGGGCTCAAGTGATCCTCCCACCTCAGCACCCCCAGTAGCTGGGACTACAGGTGCATCCCTGGCTAACTTTTAAATTTTTTGTAGAGACAGGGTCTCCCTGTGTTGCCCAGGCTGGTCTCAAGTGATCCTCCTGCCTCTGCCTCCCAAAGTGCTGGGATTACAGGTATGAGTGACCACGCCAGGCCAAAATGTACTTACAATGTTAACGAAATTTCTATCTATTCCTGTCTTTTCAGCATCTCTGAAGTTGATCATATCATTTCTTCCTTTTAATTTGTTGATATAGCAAATTATAAGTGAGACTGGCCTGTGTTCTCAAGTAGTGTGTGTACATGCCATCTTAGTTACATTTTCACATGCTTGCTTCACAATTAGAATTTGGAAGATTTCAAATGGACCTTTTTGGAATAACTAAATGGTACACTTTTTCTGGAAGGAGTGTACACCATTGTTCATTGTTTTACTGCTAAATCCTCCATCATACAACACGTTCAATTTTTCAAATCACTATCAAATGTTAGATCACTTAATTTTTGACAGCATTACTAACTAGAAAGTAGGACTTATCCCCATTTTGTAAATAAAGGTCTAGACCAAATGGCCCATCTATGGTCATACATATAAGGGGCAGGGCAGCTCTCCATTTCCAAGCTTTTCCTATTACACCATGCTGTCTTTTTAGTGCTCAAGATAAAGTGGTTCTGTACGCTATAGGTATGAATGAACAATTATGGTATTCAAGATTTACACTGCATTTGAATCACAGATATAGCCAATACTGTAAGAACTTATAAAACTGTTAATTTTACTAATAGTGAAGCCACTAAAGGGTTATCATTCAGAGGAAAGAATAGATTTATGCTTTCTAGAAGGAGTATTCCAGTTGCCATGTGGAAGGTGGATTGGGAGAATTATCCAGAGTGGTGTCACATAAACCAAGATACATGTGGAAGGGGCCACACTAACAAATGCTACTGGGAGATAAAGTAGCAAAGACTTAAAACCATCTACTGATTGGATTTAGTGACAAAGAAGTCACTGGGAGCCCTGGCAGTTGTGGTGGAGTGAAAATAACAGGCATGCAGTCTGCAGAAGGTTGGAGAGAATATAGGTAACTCTTTAAGCAGGTTTCATTATAGAGACCAGAGGCAGGCAAATGTAGAAAACAAGGAAGGTTTTCTTTGAAGATGGGAGTGATCTAGGAGAGGAAGACATATGCAGTGGGAGAGGCCAAAGATAAAATACAGGGAGTATCTGAATAAAATGCCCAGAGTCAGAAGAGGAGCGGGAACCCAGTCAGTGATGGAGTAGCCTTTGATAGGATGATCTCCTTTTCCATTTCAAGAGGTGGGAAAGGATGCCTGTGAATGGATGCCAGGCTAACCAAAGCGGGGCTGCTCTCTCAGTAACAGGTTATCCAGCATGATAGCCACTAGCTACATGTGGCTACCCCAAACTAAGATATGCTGGTAAAAACACACTGAATTCTGAAGACTTAATGGAGGGAAAAATGTAATCTCATTATTTTTCTTTTTTTTTGAGACGGCGTCTCACTCAGCTGCCCAGGCTGGAGTGCAGTGGTGCAATCTTGGCTCACTGCAACCACTGTCTCCTGGGTTCAAGCGATTCTCCCGTCTCAGGATTACAGGCATCAGCCATCATGCCCGGCTAATTTTTGTATTTTAGTAGAGATGGGGTTTCACCATGTTGGCCAGGCTGGTCTTGAACTCCTGACCTCAGGTGATCCGCCCACCTTGGCCTCCCAAAGTGCGAGGATTACAGGCGTGAGCCACCGTGCCCGGCCTCAATATTATTTTTCATTTTGAAAACACATGTTTAAATGATCTTAGATATACTCAGTAAATATATTAATTTCACCTGTTTCTTTTGGCCATTTTAAATGTAGCTACTAGAAAATTTAAAATTACATATATGTTTGCATTATATTTCTATTGGATGGCACTGCTCATTAATCTTTTCACTGCTGCAGAAAAGGTGAAGTAGAGTTTGACACGTTTAACAAAGCCAAGTAAATCAAGAACATAAGCACTGACAGTCCTAACTCTGAATAAGCTTGAAAGTAAGACTAAGGCTGGGTGTGGTGGCTTAGGCCTGTAATCCCAGAACTTTGGGAGGATGAGGCGGGTGGATAACCTGAGCCAGGAGTTTGAGACCAGCCTGGGCAACATGGCAAAACTCCATCTCTTGTAGAGAAAAAATATGAAATACAAAAATGCAAAAATTAGCTCGGTATGGTAGGGTGCATCTGTAGCCGCAGCTACTCCAGAGGCTGATGTGGGAGGATTGCTTGAGCCTGGGAGGCAGAGCAAGACCCGGTCTCAAAAAAAAAAAAAAAAAAAAAAAAAAACCCAAAAAATAGGATAATCTTCTACAGAGATGTACTACTTTTAAAGAACTTTATCTTTTTTGTAAAATCGATATGAATTTGGTACTTGCTCAGTACACTGAGCCTATTGTGAAATTTTCAAAAATGGAAAAGCAAAAGAGTAAGTTACAGATATTTTCTACTTAAGAATTTTAAAATTACTCCAATGTAACCATTTTTAATGGCTGAACCATTTAGTCAATCCACTACTGACTGAATTTTGATTGTTTCCAGTTTTTCACTAACAGCCCAGCAGGGAAAATTCTTATATTTTCCTCCTCCCCTCAAACTAGTATGACTGTTTCAAGAGAAATTCTTATAAGAGAGATCTGGGAGTATGGCTAACATTCTGAGATACCTGTCACACTATGCTCCAGAAACTGGGGTCTTTATTTCTGGCGAGACAAAACAGTAACACTTGCGTGACTCTGTATCAGGCATTTTTCTAAACATTTTGCATATATTAAGTCATTTAAGAACCCTATGTGGTATGTGTCATGGTGCCCATTATTTCACAGACCAGGAAACTTTAACACAGAAAGGATAACTTACCTAAGATCATATAATTAGATAGACCCAAATTTCTAACCGAAGGGCTGGAGAATGCAGGGGTATAATCCACAGAGCATCATTAGGTAGACTGTGGCAGAATTAGGTACTTTCACTTCTCTTTGCCAATCAAGGACAGCAATAACGTCAGTCCTCTCCTCTTCATGCTGTTACAAGCAGGCTGCAGTCACCAGAACAGACCAGGGTTTTTCACCTTAGGAATGTCCTTCCCTTTCCGTATAAAGACGCTCTTTACTGACAGTATTAAGATAGACTTGGGTTATTCTTTTTTCTAGTAATGGTGAGGGACCTTTGTTTGTCTTTAAATTTTGCCTAGTTCTCACAAGAGCCTCCTCTGCTTGTACACGGCTACCCAATGAAAATGCTGTGTTGATTAAGGTTTGAGACTAAAATTCCTAAAAAGGCAATGTGACCTAGCAGGGTTACAAGGAAACCTAACATACTACTGAGAAAGAACAGACAAAAGATGTGGACATTCTGAATGCATAAAAGTAGCCAACAACTACCTCCAACCCCCAAGAACACAAAAAACCCTGGGCTCACTTAAGATGACAAAGTAGGTCAATGCTGACCAATGACGTTCTGTTTCTAAAATTCACATCACCATTCCACTCAGTGATAATGAACACCAATGGGAAATTGGACCATCCGAGTGAGTGTCTAGAATCTCTGTGAGCAGATGGCTCTGCCATCTGTGGTTTTCCATTCCTCCATGGCAGTTAAGGATGCTATAAATTCACATCAGTAACATCTCTGTCCCACATCTGCTAGGAGGAGTCTACAGTCCCAGAGCAGTCATCTAGAAACCATGAGGTTTCCCAGAAAGGCTGCCATTTATTAAAATGAGTTAATTAATAGACTCACGGACTCTTTCAGGGTCTAGTCTGAATTCACTCACAGGAAACTAAACAGACTAAACTCTTTTCCCCTCATCTACTCTCTCCACAGTAATATGGCAAATATTTACATCTCTTTAAAACATGTACTAGCTGGGCCAGGTGACTGACACTTGTAATCCCAGGATTTTGGGAGGTTGAGGAAGGAGGATCACTCGAGGCCAGGAGTTTGAGACCAACCTGAGCAATACAATGAGACCCTGACTCTACAAAAAATTTAAAAATTAGCCAGGTGTGGTGGCATGTGCCTGGATCCCTTGAGACCAGGAGTTCCAGGCTGCAGTGAACTATGATGGAAACCCTGCACTCCAGCCTAGGAGACAGAGCAAGACCGTGTCTCAAAAAACAGAAAGACATGTACTAACTCATTAATCCTCAGGACAACCCTAAGGGAGTACTATTATCAGTCCCTAAAATGGTGAACACCGTTGAAAAGGCACTGGCACAGAGTGGTTAAGTAACTTGCTCCAAGTCACAGAGCCAGTAAATAGGGGGAAGGTGGTCTGAGGCCAGAGCCGAGGTTAAGGACTGTCAGAGCCAAGGCTGTGACCAAGGCGAGCCCGGCAAGGACAGGACCCTCGGCCTCGCCCACTAAGAAGCAGACATTTACAGAATTCCTAAGACGCCGCGTTCCATTTCGTTTTTAAGGAGTCCGATCACATGCGAAGCGCCCCTGCGTCTTAAGCCCAGCTTTTGGAAGGCACTGTCCCTTTCTAAGGGAACTATGGGTCCTTATTTCAGGACTGAGATTTAACATTTCAGTTTTTCGTTTCTGAGACAGAGTTTCACTCTTGTTGCCCAGGCTGGAGTGGCGCGATCTCGGCTCACTGCAACCTCCGCCTCCTGGGGGTTCAGGAGATTCTCCTGCCTCAGCCTTCTGAGTAGCTGGGATCACTGGCGCGCGACACCACGCCCGACTAATTTTGTATTTTTAGTAGAGACGGGGTTTCGCCATGTTGGTCAGGCTGGTCTCGAACTCCTGACCTCAGATGATCCACCCGCTTCGGCCTTCCAAAGTGCTGGGATTACAGGTGTGAGCCACCGCGCCCGGCTTAACATTTCAGTTTTTAAAAGTAGGAGCTGCATAAAGCAGGTGGCAGAAACAAGCAGCAGTGCAGGACGCCCGCCAACCTCCGTCCCCACGCACGAGTTCGAGAAGAGCCCGGAACAAGCTCCCCTGCGACTCTCCGGGAATACAGACCCCCTCCCCGGGATCCGGCCGGGGCTGGGCTCCGCGGCTCTCCCGCCCGGCCCTGGACCCCGCGCCCGGCTCCAGCGCACGAGGCTCCCGCCCCCCGCGGCTGCGGAAGCCCCTCCCCACGGGCGCCCGAGTCTCCCGCGCACCCGCACCTCCGCCGGGGCAACCTAGCAGCTCCTCCGGACGCCGAGGCCCGCGCCTCCCGCCCGCCAGGCCCACTTCCGGCCGCCTGCGGCCGCGGCCCGCCGGGGAACGGCCTAGAGATTCGAAACCTTTCAGGCCGACCCCAGCTCGCCCGCCTCCCTCCGCTGGCCCGCACCTACCGAGCACCAGGAGAGCCATGCCGAGCGCCGGGCTACGTGCAGTCCCCACCGCCGCCGCCGCTTCAGCCCTGCAGCGTGCCGCACGCCGCGCCCCCGCGCCCACGTCCCGCCCCAGGCCAGTCCGGTGGTCCGAGGGGCGGCCGCGCGGGGGCGGGCCGGAAGGCGCTCGCCAAGCCGTGGCTGCGGCTCATTGGTCCGGGCGGACATCGCTCACTCACATATCCAATGGGAGGCGGCCGGGTAGAGGTTACCGGTTTGGTTTTTTTTCACGGGGGCGGTGGCGAGCAGCGGAAGGCGGGGCCTGCTGGGGGCGGGGCTGGCAGTCTCGGCTCGCACCGCCTCAGCTCCTCCGGGCCCTCTCGGGGTGCTGCTCGGAGGGGAGTCCAGTACTGGGCGTTTTTACCTTAGTTCCTTATTCTGCACCCCCCCACCCCGCCTCCTCCTTGCCTGTGTGCGCCCCCACCCTCTTTATCCCGGGGGAGCGTGACTCGGCCTCAGGGCACCCACGGTCCTGGGAGCTGACAGGGAATTCCTCTTGTGCCCGACGAATATTCCGTGGACACACATTTGCTCCGCACGCGCTGTCTGCAATGTAATTCGACAAGTTTCTATTTTGTTGAATTACTTTTGAAAGTTCTTCCGTCCAGGGCGCATGGCTCTGCAGAGCCTTCTCCTCCTTCTCTGGAGAACCCCAGGGACTTAAGCGGTAGCCTCCTCGCTGACAGGGTCTCCACTTTGTCCTGGGGGGCGAGGGGGCTGGCAATGCGCTCACGTGGGTGTGTGCTTTGTAAAATATGCAAAAGTGAAAAAAAATATGTTTGTGGGGCAGGCTGGCGAGCAGTGGCATGATACAGTTCACTGCAGCCTTGAACTCCTGGGCTGCAGTGAGCCTCCTGCCTCGGCCTCCCAAAGTGCTGGGATCACAGGCATGGGCCACCACGCCCGGCAAAAGTAAAAATTTTTTTGCTTTTTTTTGAGATGGAGTTTTGCCCTTGTTGCCCAGGCTGGAGTGCAAAGGCGGGGTCTTGGCTCACTGCAACCTCTGCCTCCCGGGTTCAAGCGATTCTCTTGCCTCAGCTTCCCGAGAAGCTGGGATGACAGGTGCATGTCACCACGCCCGGCTAATTTTTGTATTTTTAGCAGAGACAGGGTTTCTCTTGCCTCAGCTTCCCGAGAAGCTGGGATGACAGGTGCATGTCACCACGCCCGGCTAATTTTTGTATTTTTAGCAGAGACAGGGTTTCTCCATATTGGCCAGGCTGGTCTCGAACTCCCGACCTCAGGTGATCCGCCTGCTTCGGCCTCCCAAAATGCTAGGATTACAGTTGTGAGCCACCACGCCCGACCTAAAAGTAAAATCTTTCAAGCACAAGTTAAGACCACTGTATCTTTCCGCCTTGATTCTCCCTCCTATGTTTGGAGTGGACTCGGACATTTTGTTTTTGTATTAGTAATTTCTCCATATTGTAGTGTGTAAGGCATAAGTATTCTTAGGCAGGGGTCCAGGAGTGGTGGGGGCCGGCTGGTGGGCTTCCTGGAGGAAGTGGCACTAGAGCTGCGTTTGGAAGATTTTTCAGGCAAACTGAACTCAGAGGCACAGCAGCCCTCTGAAGTCACGGGGGCCTCTCCTGGAAGCCACATGCCAGCATTGATTTTCCCCAGGGAGGCTGCTTGTCCCGGGACAGAAATCCTCAGCTTGGTACCCCGGGCAGCTCCTCCTGAATGTGAAGGTGCGTGGGAAGCCCAACCGGTGATCGCAGGGCTGTTTGGGATTCACAGCAAAGGGCAGTGGACTGCGAGCCTGTTCCTCCAGGCCTGTCTGCTTTCCCTGAAGGGCGCCTGAGGGGCAATGAATGCTGTTTGTTTTTCTGACCCCTTTCCTGCATTTGACACATTTCCCCCCTTAAATTTGCTGCTGTTGCTGACTGGATTACAGCGAAGTCCTTCCTTTTCCTCTCAGCCTGGAAAGTCATGCTTTTCCTCCCTGGATGGAGGAATTTAATTCTCTTACCAGAAGAGGGCCCCTTCATTTGTCTTTACATTAAGACAGTTAACTTTGTCCCCATGGGCCACAGACATCACAGCTTCCACAACGCACTCACGATCGAGTTTGTTTTCTCAGGGTTGTGAGTTGATCGCAGCCTCTCCAGGCCTGCTGTGTTTGGGTAGCAATCCTGCTTGGAACAGAACCCTCGAACTGCGGTGGCCCACACTGCCAGTGCCCTTTGTGTGCTGTGTGGTCTCTGTCCCAGTTGGCCTCAGGGCTGATCCTCGTGGAGAAAACAGAGGCCAGATCATAACTCCCTGCTAAATATCCCAGGTCACTGGCTGCTCTGGACCGTGGGCTGAATGCGCAGCTGCACGAGGCACACACCCCTGTGAAGCCCACTGTACAGGCACAGGCTTCGGGAAATGCACAGGCTTCTGGAAATGCACAGGCTTCTGGAAATGCACAGGCTTCTGGAAATGCACAGGCCTCCGGAAATGCACAGGCTTCTGGAAATGCACAGCCTTCTGGAAATGCACAGGCTTCCGGAAATGCACCAGGGCGTGTTGCTCATTTCTTTTTTCATTAAAACCAAATGCACATTAACAACCTAATTATACGAGCAACTGTCTCAGGCACAGTCACTGGCCCCAGGGAGCACACAGCCAACAGAGAGGCACGTTACACTGCGGTATTCCTCATGCTCTGACAAAGAGAAGCCCCTGGTACAGTGGAGCCCAGAGGAATAACTTCTTTTTTTTGTTTCTTCACTGTGGTAAAATATACATGCAGTTTTCCATTTCACACATTTTTGGGGGTGAGGGGGCTTCCAGTAAAAGCTGGAAAATCTGCTAGACAAATTCTAAATAAGCTGTAACACCCCCTTTTACTTTTTTTTTTGAGACAGTCTTGCTCTGTTGCCCAGGCTGGAGTGCAGTGGCGCAATCTCGGCTCACTGCAACCTCCACCTCTTGGGCTCAAGCGATTCTCCTGCTTCAGCCTCCCGAGTAGCTGGGACTACAGGTGCACATCACCATTGCCCAGCTAATTTTGTATTTTTAGTAGAGACGGGGTTTCACCACATTGGCCAGGCTGGTCTCGAACTCCTGACCTCATGTGATCCGCCTGCCTCGGCCTCCCAAGGTGCCGAGATTACAGGCATGAGCTACTGCGCCTGGTCAGCATCCATTTTTAAGTGTACAATTGAGTGGCATTAAATACATTCACAATGTTGTAGAACCATCCCCACTAATCATCTCTAGACCTTTTTTGTCACCTTAAACAGAACCTCTGTACCCATTAAGCAGTAACTCCCCCTTCCCTGCTGTCCCCAGCCCTGGTCACCTCTATTCAACTTTCTTTCTTTATGAATTTGGCTAATATAGGTACTTCATATAAGAGAAATCATTTGTCTTTTTTTTTTTTTTTTTTTTTTGAGATGGAGTTTCACTCTTGTTGCCCAGGCTGGAGTGCAGTGGTGCAATCTGGGCTCACTGCAACCTTTGCCTCCCGGGTTCAAGCTATTCTCCTGCCTCAGCCTCCCAAGTAGCTGGGATTACAGGCACCCACCACCATGTCCGGCTAATTTTTAAAATTTTTTTAGTAGAGAGGGTTTTCATCATGTTGGAGAGGCTGGTCTCGAACTCCCAGCCTCAGGGTGATCCACCCGTCTCGACCTCCCAAAGTGCTGGGATTATAGGCGTGGGCCACCATGCCCGGCCTGTATCATTTTTTTTTTTTTCAAAACACCATTTTCCTCTCTTTTTTACAGGCTCCAGCCTAGAGTCAGGTGTTGGGTTAAATTATCTTGTCTCTTCAGCCTCTATTCATTTGCAACATTTTCATGCCCTTTTTGTGCTTTCTTTTTTTTTTTTTTGGCATTGACACTTTGGAAGCACACAATTCCACCTCCCCACTTTTAAAAATACAGCATTTTTCATTTAGGTTTATCTGAAATTTTCTTGCGATTGGACTCAAGTCATGCCCTCTTGCCAGGAAGACCACATATGTGACTGGGATTTTTTTCTTTGTACAGCCTTCCTTTTTTCCGCAGTTATTTTGCTTCCCAAGATCAGAAGGTGAGCTTCTACTTCCTAGAATCATGTTGTAGCAGAGCTGAAGAAAGTCTCAGAGGACATGAATTCAACATTCTGTTTTGTTGGGGGCGGAGGGTGGAGGCGATGGGCAAGGGAGAGATGTCATGTGGCCTGCCCAAGACCCACACTGGGCATGTGCTTGGCACACTATAGGCTTTCAAGGAATGTCCTCATTCAACTTAGTTAATGACATATCAAAAGCCAGAACCCAAGTTCCTTGATGCCCACATTCAAGCTCTTTCCCCTAAAACCTACTGCCTCCTGTGAGATTTCTTTGACTACTGCAATCCTTCACCTTTGCCGTTCTTTGCCGACGCACACACACACACCCGTGGCTGCTCCAGCCCGCTAGGATCACTCTCCCTTTTTATTCCACTCAGGAAGCTTGTATGGTTTTTCATAAGTGAAAGTGATGTTATTAAAAGGCTAACCTTGATTACTCTCTAATTTAGTTAAAAGAGTAAGTGGTTTGCAGACATGAGTACTTTATGTTATTAGCAGCAAGTCACTTGCCCTGCCTCAGCAGCTGATGGTGACGCTGTTACAACACGGCAGGTAGAACTATGGCTGCAAACCCCCTGTGTCTAATTAAGGGACTCCCAGGTGCCTATTCTGAGTTCTAGTCACTCAGGTCATCTTTCTGGGTTAGAATAAAGAACTGTCCCCAAGCACCAGAGTTGAGAGTGACTCTTGTTTTAGGGCTTGTGGAAGAGACTGCAAGCAATGAAAATCAAAGTTGCAGATTCTGGAAATTCCTCCACAGTCGCAGAACTGCAGCCAGGTATATACTGCCTGCCACACTTCACCACACAGCTCCCCCGGTGGGCGCCCAAGGCCTTGCCAATGGAATGGGAGAGGAGGTGATAATCCCAACTGCTTAGCCAGGTCCTGTTCCTCTTCCACCAGGCGGAATTGTTGGACTTGGGGCACCCCAGCTTCTACCATGCAGACCCCCACAGGGACCTTGGGGCCACTGGAGCAGTGACAGGGAAGGAACCCAAGTCTAGAATGACCGGGAAGATCAGTGCCACCCTCCAACCTGGATGGCTCACCATGTAGCTGTTACTTTAGAGAGAAGATTCTATAGTTTTAGCCATTGTATTTTGGAATAACTTGCCACAGGAGTTTAGCTTGACTTTGACTAATACAGGGCTTAATGTTCTCAGGGTGAAGAATCTGGGCTAACGTACCCACAGAATGAACAGGGTAGATCCGACAGGGGACATGTACCTCTTCCTAGGGGTGCTCAGGAGACACACAGTGCTCCTCTCTGGACTTTCTCATTCATTCTGAGGTTCAGATCATAGGTAGAGTCGAGTCTTATTTTCAGTGGGGATAGGCAGATGAAGCCTTTTAAAAATACTGATAAAACGCACATAACATAAAATAAAATTTACCACTTTAACTTTTTTTTTTTTTTGAGACAGGGTCTCACTCTGTCACCCAGGCTGGAGTACAGTGGTGTGATCATAGCTCACTGCAGCCTCAACCTCCTAGTGTCAAGCAATCTTACCACCTCAGCCTCCCAAACAGCTGGACTACAGATGAAAGCCACAACACACCTGACTAATTTCTGTATTTTTTTTTTGTAGAGATGGGGTTTTACTATTTTGCCCAGGCTGGTCTCAACTCCTGGCCTCAAGTGATCTGCCCACCTCAGCCTCCCAAAGTGTTGGGATTACAGGCGTGAGCCACTGTGCCCAGCTCACTTTAACCATTTAATTTATTTATTTATTTATTTATTTATTTATTTATTTATTTATTTATTTATTTATTTTGAGATGGAGTTTTGCTCTTGTTGCCCAGGCTGGAGTGCAATTGCACTATCTCGACTCACTACAACCTCTGCCTCTGGGTTCAAGCGATTCTCCTTCCTCAGCCTCTTGAGTAGCTGGGATTACAGTCTTATGCCACCATGCCTAGCTAATTTTGTATTTTTTTTAGTAGAGATAGGGGTTTGCCATGTTGGTCAGGCTGGTCTCAAACTCCTGACCTCAGGTGATCCACCCACCTCAGCCTCCCAAAGTGCTGGGATTATAGGCGTGAGCCACCATACCTGGCCTTTAACCATTTTTAAGTGTACAGTTCCATGGCATTAAATGCGCTCACATCGTTGTACAACCTTCATCTCCAGAGCTTTTTATCACCCCAAACTGAAACTCTATCCCCATTAAATGCCAAATCCTCATTCCCCCTCCCCCTGACCCCTGGCAACTGTCATCCTACTTTCTGTCTTTATAAATTTAACTACTCTAGACATCTCATGTAAGTAGAATCCTATAGTACTGTCCTTTTGTGAGTGATTGATTTTACTTAGCCTAACGTCTTCAAGGTCCATTCATGCTGTGGCATGTGTCAATTTCCTTCCTTCTTAAAGCAGAGTCACATTCCATCATATGACTAGACCTCATTTTGTTTATCCATCCGTCTGTTAGTGGACACTTGGGTTGTTTTCACCTTTTGGCTGTTGTGAACAGATGGAGGCTCCTACTCTGGGAGTTTCCTCTACTTACCGGGTGCATTAGCCATGGTGGTTGATGGATACATTATGGGACTTTTCCTTGATAGGGAGTGGGCAGGAGAAGTTGGTGAGCCTGAAAGTGAGAGAGAAGAGGAGATGAGTGAGGTGGGGATGGGGAAACTATTACCGAATGTTCACCATATGCCAGGCTCCACGTATTTACATCTGTGAACCTGCTAAAACTGCTTTTGTTAATCAACGAAAAGTTATAGTGCTGAAAAATCTTATTCCTGAAAAAGCACAGACTGTTATAAACTGTGCTATTTGAGATAAATAGAGTAAGAATGGAACATCCTTCTTTTGTCTGAAGGACCTGGGTCATCTTAACACTGAGAAGCTGCCTTGATTTCCAACCCAGGGCCTTCTGGACACAACATTGCACATTTGTCTTAACTTCATCATTTCCAAGGAAAGAGGAACCTCCATCCACTTCGTAGCCCAGGTCTGACCGTAATTCCTTTATACACAGTTGTGTTTTGCTTTGAGCCTATTAAACACTGCTTTATTTAAATCTTACCTACAACTTTCCCTTCTCCAACACCCTATGGTAATCCTGTTGGCTTGCTTGGTTAGAGTTGCCCCATGGGTCCTCTGAGGTGCCCTCTCTTGTTGCAGTGATCCGAGAAGCCCGCCTCTGCTGGTCTGCAGGTTTGTCCTGCTGGTCTCTATTAGATGGGGCCACCATGTGTTGTGTTTCGTTTAATCCTCACAGCAGCCCTGCAGTTAGATATGACTAGTCTCACTTTACCGAGGGAGACACTGAAGTCCAGAGGTGTTCTTGGCATAGTGAAGTGGCCTCATTGTCTGGGGTAATACCTGTGGTTCGTTGTCTCATGGTCATGGAGATTAAAGACGTGGACCCACGAAGAGTTAGGTTAAGAGCGGAAGTTTAATAGATGAAAGAGAGAGAATAGCTCTCTGTTATAGAAGGGGGTCCCGGAAAAATGGGTTGTTGATCTGTGGTTAAATGTGGGGTGTTTTATAGATGAGTCGCTGGGGAGGTGGTGTCTGATCTACAGAGGGCATGAAAAATTGATTAGGACCAGGTGTGTCATTTGTATAAGGTGTACATTTCTGGCAACCCCCACCCCAGTATTTTATTACAGGTGTGTTTTCAGTCTAAATTGTCATGTTGCCCATTTCTTTTTTACTGTACACGTGTTAACAAAGAAGGGGAAGATGGAGCTTCCATGGTGGACATGTCCAGCCCCCAGGTAGCCTCGTTTCTATAGATGTCATCGTTGGCATTCCCCTGTGTAAGTTTCTAGTTTTTCTAGTTGTCTTTGTTTATCTGTGTCTGTAGTTTGATTTTTCAGGCTATTCTTCGTTAGGAAAAAAATAATTTCTTGAGCTGTTTTTTGTTAGAAGGGAAGTTCTGTCGAGGACTCTTTTGTCCTCACTATCTGTCTAAATAATTTCTTTCTACCTCCTGTATCAGCGGCACCAGCTGGGGTGGCCCGAAGCCAGGGAGCTGGGCCAGTTCACTCACATGGCTGGAAGTCGGAGCTGATGTTGGCTGGGACCTCAACTGGGGCCAGTGGTCGGCACACCCACACAAGCTTCTCCCGGAGGTCTCTTCTCATGGATGCTGGGGGTATCTTCTCTCCTCTGGAAGCTGTGCTCTGAGAGTGAGCGTCCTAAGAGTCAGGAAGAGGAAGCTGCCACTTCAGGACCTGGGTTTGGAAACTGACCCTGGTTAAGCAGGTCGTTGGGCCCAGGACGAAGGGGAGGGGGGTGGATTCTACCTCCCAGTGAGGAGATGGCCACAGAATTTTCAGGTCGTGTTTTAAAACAGCCTTCGGAGATTTGGAATGCCCTCTTCTCACTTTTCTGTTGTTGAAATATTGCCCATCCTTTATGGCCCAGCTGAAATCCACCTCCTTCCTTCCCCCTCTCTTACCTCTCAGTTGAAATTAATCATGGCCTCATCAGCTCTTCCAAAGCTCACCCTCGTCTGTTGCTTCCAGTCTCTACCGTTGCACAGTAAGCCAGTGGAGGGCAAGATTCGGTTAATCAATTTTACCTGTGTGTAGGGAGTAACAGCGTGCCCCGACATAGGCAACAGGTACCCAGCATTTGAGTGTTAAAAAATGAATAATTGCTGTGAAGCCAAGGGGTAGAGGCAGGAGAAAGAGGGGTCAGAGGAGAGCAGTCCCCGATTTACCCAGGAGGCCTCTGGCTGTGTGGTTGGGTGTTGCCTTCTATTCAGCGGTATCTGAATTGATGCTGAGCAAACATCTAGAAAGAGGAAGCATTGTTGGAGAATTCGACAATTCAGCACTTCTCCTTCTATAGGGTTGTAAGTGTTTCTGTGAATTTAAAGATTCTATCCAAGGGCAATAATAAATGATTTTTTTTTTTGAGACAGGGTCTCATTCTGTCACCCAGACTGGAGTGCAGTGACGCAGTTATGGCTTGCTGCAGCCTTGACCCCCTAGGCTCAAGTGATCCCCCTGCCTCAGGCTCCCAAGTAATTGTGACCACAGGCACATGCTGCTATGCCCGGCTAATGTTTTATTTTTTGTAGAGACAGGACCTCACTATGTTACCCAGGCTGGTCTTGAACTCCTGGGCTCAAGTGATCCTCCCGCCTCAGCCTCTCAAAGTTTTGGGATTACAGGCTTGAGCCACCACACCCAGCCTTATATAAACGATTTTTAAAATTAAAAAAAAAATTTTTTTGAGACAGAGTCTGTTGCCCAGGCTGGAGTGCAGTGGTATGATCACGGCTTACTACAGCCTCAACCTCCTGGGCTCAAGTGATCCTCACACCTCAGCCTCCCGAGTAGCTGGGACTGCAAGCATGCACCACCATGCCTGGCTAATTTTTGTATTTTTGTAGAGATGGGGTTTCACCATGTTGTCCAGGCTTGTCTTGAACTCTTGGGCTCAAGTGATCAGCCTACCTCGGCCTGCTAGAGTGTTGAGATTACAGGCATGAGCTACTGCACCCAGCCATAAATGATTTTTATTTATTTATTTATTTATTTTGTTTTTTTGAGACAGAGTCTCGCTGTGTTGCCCAGGCTGGAGTGCAGTGGCGCGATCTAGGCTCACTGCAAGCTCCGCCTCCCGGGTTCATGCCATTCTCCTTCCTCAGCCTCCCGAGTAGCTGAGACTACAGGCGCCCGCCACGATGCCTGGCTAATTTTTTGTATTTTTAGTAGAGATGGAGTTTCACCCTGTTAGCCAGGATGGTCTCGATCTCCTGACCTCGTGATCCACCCGCCTCAGCCTCCCAAAGTGCTAGGATTACAGGCGTGAGCCACCGTGCCTGGCCTCATAAATGATTTTTAATGTAGCACTGCAAACAGGGATAAGTGGGCTCGTGCTCCTTAGTGGGACTCATTGATAAGGAGGCACTTAGTAGAGTGATAATATCTTCACCCTCTATACCATCTAATAAGTCAAACAGGTAGCTTGGGATCGGTGCAGTAGCATTTGGGTATATGTTCTGGCCTGGCTTTACTAAACAATTTGCAAGGCAAAGCTAAAACCAAAACATATGGTGGCCACTCCAAAAGTGAGGTCTGAGCCTTTGTTATGGCTGTTGCCTCTCTAGCAAGTCTGAGGAGACAAGCTGTGAGCGCAGCTTCCTGCGGACAAGACAAGGCCTCCCCTTTGTGAACCTCCCATGATGCCTGGTCTCCAGCTGCATCTTTGATATTGGCCATGGACAGTTTTTCTGTGCTGTATCCCCATGGCTTATCTGGGGCCAATCTTAGAGTACCCCAGTGTCTTCGGGGTGGTTTGTATAAATCCACTCAGGGACTAGATAGTGGTGGATCATTTGCTATGACTCCTTTCTCCAGAAGTAGAGGTGGCCTGGACAAATCACCTTGCTCATTTTTTCTTGTGTTTCAGAGGTTAGAGCTCAGATGCTAAAGAATCCAAGGGACAAATCCCAAGGGTGCAGTCTCATTGTCAGCAGCCAAGCTTTCCTGCCACAGAATGAAGCTCTCTCTTCTCCATCCACACTGGCATTTGCCACTTGGGATATAGCAGCTGCTTCTCAATTCTTTGTCAGGCCTCTAGCCTCTCACTGCTGCTAATTCATGGACTCCCAGGAGGTTACTTCTAAAACTTCTTCCAATCCTTGTTATGGCTCATATGAACTTCTGAATAAAGTGGGAGAGGGTTAAGAAGAAGGAAATAAATCTCTATTCAGTGCCTAGGTGCTCAGCGAACACTTTGTCATCTGTATCAATGACACCACCAATCCAATTGCTCAAGCCCCAAATCTCATTGGGTTCTCTTTCCATCACCAGCTCCCAACATTCTTTGGCAATTTCTGATAATTCGAGCACCAAAACATATTCAAAATCTGCTGACATTTTTCCCACTTTCTCACAATTGCCACCACCTTGGTTCCAAATGGCTATGTGGACTTTTGCAGTAGCCCCTTAGAGTCAACAATGTTAGTGCTGTACTGTAGTGGATGTTGTGGTGTGTAGCCCAGACCCACTTCAGGAGGGGACACTCACACCTCCAGTCATAGGGAGTGTTGACTGCTGTTGCTTCATGGCTCTGTCCTTCCATTGGCTAAAAAGAGCTGCTGTGCCCAAGGTTATACTCCCTCCCTGGGGGCAGCTTACATTCCATGACTGATAGATTTGGGGATACAAAGGACTGCCCTCCTTTTCTCAATTCGGGACAACCCTGAAGGCCCTTCCCAGCTTTAAGCTTCCCATGGGGGTCCACTGAGGCCCTTGTAAGCACCCACATCATGATTCAGCTTTATGATTTAGCTTCTCTTACCCAACCTTATTTTTGCCACCTCCTTGTTGGTGTCATTGCCAAGAGCACACTCCAGTAAACCTCCTGTAGGCAGATAGCCATCTCAGAGTCAAAAATGTTGGTTCCATACTGTAGTGGATGCTGTGGTATGTAGCCCAGACTCTGCTTCAGGAGGAGACACTCACACCTCCAGTCATGGGGAGTGTTGACTGCTGTTGCTTCATGGCTGTGTCCTTCCATTGGCTAAAAAGAGCTGCTGTGCCCAAGGTTATGCCCCATCCCTGGGGGCAGCTTACATTCCGTGATTACATGTCTGTGGCCGATGACACCTGTCGAGTGTTCTGCTGCCCCTCCCCATTGTGTAGCAACCCTGGGTGGATTCTAGCAGCGTTGTCCAGCTGGCAGAACTCTATCCCCCTTGCCACAGTTATTGGCTCAGGAAGGGGTTTGTCACCACAATAGCCACTAAGCCAAGTGGCCAGTGGCATTCACATGGCCACAGTGATTGTTCCAGGGTGAGCATGTGACATAAACCAATCAGAGTGAAGCTCTGGACTTTGGTCAATGGCTAGAAGAGTGGCATTTGCTTGGGCAGAAGCATGGATCCCTGTTGTCCCTGGAAACTACCCCACAAGATGAGGAAAACCCACGTGGGGATGAAGCTGAAGCGGGGCAGAGCTGAAACAGTCACGGAGAAATGGAGACAATACCTGATCAGTGTCTGAAGACTGTCCTTCAGCTGAACATTCCAGTTATTGAAATATGAAATCATCTTTATTGTTTAAGCAAGTTTGATTTGGGTTTCTAATTGGTCTTTCTATTTTCACTCTTGGTATCTGTGATGGTTAATATAGAGTGTCAACTTGATTGGATTGGAGGATGCAAAGTATTGATCCTGGGTGTGTCTGTGAGGGTGTTGCCAAAGGAGATTAACATTTGAGTCAGTGGGTTGGGAAAGGCAGACCCACCCTTAATCTGGGTGGGCACCAGCTAATCAGCTGCCAATACAGCTAGAATATGAAGCAGGTGGAAAAAAACGTGAAAAGGCCAGGCTGGCCTAGCCTCCTAGCCTACATCTTTCTCCCATGCTGGATGCTTCCTGCCCTCAAACATCAGACTCCAAGTTCTTCAGTTTTGGGACTTGGACTGGCTCTCCTTACTCCTCAGCCTGCAGATGGCCTATTTTTGGACCTTGCGATCATGTGAGTTAATATTTTAAAAACTCCTCTCTCTCTCTGTCTCTCTCTGTCTCTCTCTCTGTCTCTCTCTCTGTCTCTCTCTCTCTCTGTATATATATATCCTATTAGTTCTGTCCCTCTAGAGAATCCTGACTAATACGGTATCTTAAAATTCTTTTTCCACAAAGCAGACTCTTATGGATTCTTGAAAAAGTTTAAATTAGTTCACACTCCTCTCCCCTACTTAAAACTTTCCAATGGACAACAGAAGAGAAATAGACAATTTGGAATTCATCAAATTAAAACCTTTTGTGCTTCAAAGGGCACCATCAAGGAAGTGACAACACACAGTGTGGGATAAAATATTTGCAATGATATGTCTGGTAATGAACTAGTATCTAGAATGTATAAGGAATGATTACAACTCAATAATAAGAAGACAAAAGAACCAATTTAAAAATGCCCAAAGGATCTGAGTAGACATTTCTCCAAGGAAGACATAGAAACGGCCAATAAAGCACATGAAAAGATGCTCAGCGTCATTAGTTACCAGAGAAATGTCCATCAAAACCACAATGAGAAATAACTTCATACCCACTGGCTTGGCTAGAATCAAAGTCAGAGAATAACAAGTGTTGGTGAAGAGGTGGAGAAATTGGAACCCTCCAACACCGGCTTTTGGGAATGTAAAATGGTGCAACCACTTTAGAGAACAGTCCAACAGCTCCTCAAATAATTCAACAGTTACCATGTGATCCAGAAATTCCACTCCTAGGCATCTACCCAAGAAAATGAAACACATGTCCACACAAAACACATACAGGTATGTTTTAGCAACATTATTCATCATAATCAAAAGGCTGAAATAACTCAAATGTTCATCACCTGACGAATGGATGAACGAAAAGTGCCATGCTATACAACGGAAATATTATTCAGCTATTAAAAGGAAGGAAGCGCAGTGGCATGCCACGATATGGATTGACCTTGATGACATTATGCTAAGTGGAAGAAGCCAGACTCAAAATAACCACATGATTACTTTCATATTCAAGTTCGGAACTAGGAAGTCTATAGAGACAGAAAGTAGGTTTGTGGCTGTCTAGGGCTGGGAGTTGGGAGAGGACAGTTGCACATATCTATGAATTTACTAAAAACCATTGAATAATGGATTTTTTTTTTTATGGAGTCTCGCTCTTGTTGCCTAGGCTGGAGTGCAATGGCGCAGTCTTGGCTCACTGCAACTTCTGCCTCCTGGATTCAAGCCATTCTCCTGCCTCAGCCTCCCGAGTAGCTGGAATTACAGGCGCCTGCCACCACACCCGGCTAATTTTTGTATTTTTAGTAGAGAGGAGGTTTTGCCATGTTGGCCAGGCTGGTCTCAAACCCCTGACCTCAGGTGATCTGCTTGCCTCAGCCTCCCAAAGTGCTGGGATTACAGGCGTGAGCCGCTGTGCCAGGTCGAATTATACGCTTTAATTGGGTGAATCATATGGTGTGTGGATTATATCTCAATAAAACTGTTAAACAGACAGAACCTTTCCCAGTGGCTTCTTATAAGACATAGAAGAAAAATCTGCCCTCCTGAGCAGACCTTTAAGAGCCTGCCTCTGACGTCACCTCAAACCCCTCCCTCTTTCCCTCTGTTCATGGCAGTATTCTTTCATTTCCTCAGACACAACAGGCTGGTTCCTGCCTTCGGGCCTTGGCACGACCTGCTGCCTCCATCACTGCAGTCTCAGCTTATGTACCACCTCTTCAGGCTCTTCTCACACCAGGTGATCTGAAGTGACAGTGCCCCCGGGTGAGCAGTTCATCAAACTTGGTGTTTAGTTTCTCCTCAGAACTGATCAGAATTCATATGTGTCTGATTGATTGATTGATTGAGATGAAGTCTTGGTCTACTGCCCAGGCTGGAGTGCAATGGCACAGTCTCGGCTCACTGCAACCTCCGCCTCCCGGGTTTAAGCAATTTCCTGCCTCAACCTCCTGAGTAGCTGGGACTACAGTTATGCACCACCACACCTGGCTAATTTTTGTATTTTCAGTAGAGACGGGGTTTCACTATGTTGGCCAGGCTGGTCTCAAACTTCTGACCTCAGATGATCCGCCCTCCTCAGCCTCCCAAAGTGCTGGGATTACAGGTGTGAGCCACCGCACCCAGCCTTATTTACATATTTATTTGTTTATCATCTGTCTTCACTAGGATGAAGCCTCCATGAGGGAACAGAGGAGAACCTTCCTATGTGCTGGCAACATCTGTCTACAACAGTGTCTGCCACATACTAATAAAGTTTAGTGATTGAAAATTTAATGAAAGTGTAGGTTTTCAGAAGAAATATAAGGGCTGGATGTGGTGGCTCACACTTGTAATTCCAGCACTTTGGGAGGCTGAGGTGAGCAGATCACTTGAGGCCAGGAGTTCAAGACCAGCCTGGCCAACATGGTGAAACCTCGTCTCTACTAAAAATACAAAAATTAGTGGGATATGGAGGCACACACCTGTAATCCCAGCTACTCAGGTGGCTGAGGCAGGAGAATTACTTGAATCTGGGAGGCACAGGTTGCAGTGAGCCGAGATCACGCCACTGCACTCCAGCCTGGGTGACAGAGTACGACTCTGTCTCAAAAAAAAAAAAATTTTTTTTTTCTTGCAATTCTTTAGAACTAGAGTAAAAAAAAAGTTTGTGAAAGTTTAATCTTTTTATTTTTATTTTTTTAATGCAATGTAATAAAATTAATAGACTTCATTTAGTCTATTAGAGCAGTTTTAGGTTTACAGCAAAGTTGAGGGGGACAGTGAATTCCCCATAAAACCCCTCCCCCTGCCACACACACAGCCTTCCCCACTATCAACATCCCACACCGCAGCAGCCCGCATGTTTGTTACAATGAACCTACATTGACACCTCATTATCCCCCAGAGCCCACAGTTTACATTAGGGTTCACACTTGGTGTTGTGCATTCTATGGGTCTGGACAGATGGAGATGACACACATCTACTCTTATAGTATCAGACACAGTAGTTTCACTGTCCTAAAAATCCTCTGTGCTCCAACTATTCATTCCAACCTACCCCCAATTTGCTTTATCTGTATATCAATTTTTCAATTAAAATGTATCAGAAATTCAATGGGCAGGAAGTAGTTTCAGAGGGTGAGGAAGAGAAATAACAGGCTGCCGTTTGTCATTTCCCCTTTAAGAAGTGCAGAGTGTCGAGGCCATGGGCACAGCCTGGAGCACCCTGTTCCAGTAGGGTGTGTGCCCCCTCCACCCAGGCCCACGACCCTGAGACCAGAGGAATGCGAGGGTCTGTCTCCCGCCCTCCTTGCACCACCAGGGCCCAGGGCACTCTTCCGCCCATGCAGATGGCAGCTGGGACGAAGGGGCAGCACAGTGCCAGTCTCCTGCTAGCCTGTGCGGGGCAGGCGACACTGGGCATGGTGCAGCCTTGCTGTCTCAGTGTCCCCTACCAGCCCCCTTTGGATCATGTCTGATTCTTCTGAGGACAGGCGCTGCGAATAAAACACCTCTGAGAATTTGGGGCACAAATGTGCTACACTGGAAACCCCTGCTTTGGAGGGGGCACAAAGCCAAATGACCCCTGGCTCTGGCCCCCGGGTCACAAGTGCATGGATGTGTTCGGAAATTCCCAGGGGCACTCCGGAAGCCTGGGATGCATGACCAGCAAAGCAGGGCTTCCTCCTTGCCTGCTAGGGTGCCCGCTTCATTCACTCCAGATGCTGGTGTGGTCTGGGGACAGCTGATGTATCATCACGTTAACAGTGTTATCCCCCACCCCGTCTTCAGTGACCCAGGTCACCCTCTCTTCTGGGGTGCTGTCCAGGCACTTTCCAGGATTGCACTGGCTTCAACAGGTCTTCGTGCCCTTCTCATTCCCCAAGAGAGAATCTGCTTACCCGGTGTTGTGAAAAGGGCGATATCTGGCCTGAGCTTTTGGAGAGGCTCTGGGCTGGGAGAAGGGTTTGTGTCATGCCCACCTCCTCAGCTGTTTGTTCCCCTGATGTCCTCTCTCCCAGGGTCTCTTTTGGGCCACTCATACCCAGAATCCTGGCTCATGGACACCTCCCGCCCCCAGGCAGCTCCCAGCGCTGTTGGCTTCTTCAGCTTCAGGAGCACCCGTGCCTCACAGCCCTGTCCCCTCTCTTAGTTGAGCAGGTGGGCTCTGCCCTGCTTCTCCAGACTCTCATTTTCCTCCTTCCATTGCCTGCTATTGCCTATAATTTGGCCAAAAGCCATAATAACCAAGGGTGTTGACTTTTTGCTCTCCAATCAAAAGATCCTGTCCTTACCAGGAACTGCCCTTGTTAGAAGGCACGGTGTTGGGGGGTGGAGATTAGAAACAATTTTTCTGCCTTTCACTGAGTCAATCACCAAATCCTGCCAAATTTGAAACCTAAGTGGCATGTTCTCCTCTCCACACAAATCCTAGTTCAGGTCCCAGAATTTCTGGCCTGGGCTATTGCAACAGCCTCTTTTTTTAATTATTATTTTTAATTTTTTGTGGGTACATAGTAGGTGTACATATTGACACTGTACGTGATTACATTTCCAATCTCTTTTGGAGGTGAGCTCTGAAGTCCATCCCTGGATTCCTCTAAGGATGAGAAGTCGGGTCAAACAGTCCCTCTGACCACCTAAAAGTGGCATAAATCAAACCTCAGCTTCTCCGTGGCGGCACTGTGAAGTCCACATGCCTTCGCGAGGTGGCAGGGCTTGTCCTCTGTGCTCCCGCCATGCCCAAGTTCTTCAAGCGTGTTGCATGGAAGACTTTGCTCTCTGGCTGTCTCTGCCTAGGATGCTTCTCTGCCCCCCACTACCTTGGCTGACACTCAACCCTTAAGCCATGGCAGCCCTTCTAGGAAGCTTCCTCACCCCAGGCCCTGGGAGGTAGAGGGGCCGCTCCTGCTCCACACTGCCTCCTTGCACCCGCATGTAGAAGCAGTGCCTGTGTCTGCCCCTCCAGTGTGGGTGCGCAGCTTCAAGACAGGGGCCAGGACTGGGCTGTGTCCCAGCTCCTAGCACGGCCTGGGAAAATGAATGAATGAATGTTGGAATGAATGAACGCATCCGTGAATAATATGCTGTGGACCTCCGTGCCTATCAGTTCTCCATTTGTTTTGGCTGAATGCTTGTGTTTGAACTGGTGGAACTCAGTGAGTTTGCAAGCCTGCCTGGTTCTGGCCAGAGGGTCAAGGTTCTCTCGGGCACCTTTTCCTGCGGGCACAGCTATGGGGCAGGAGTGCGTCTGCAGGGACATGGGGTGGCACCCAGAGCCTTTGCAGGAAGCAGCAGGGCCTTTCCTCCCTGGCGGCCTGGGGAGTGCAGCCAAGGGACAAAAGAGGATTCTAAGTTGTTTTCTGGAGCTCACTCTCTCAAAAATAAAATCCAAAACCCAGCCCATGAGGGCAAAGCAATTTTGTAGGAGATACTTAAGTCTTCAGTTAAAGTGAGAAATTAGTTCAAGGAAATAGGGAGAATGTGGCCTCAGACTTAGAGCTGAACTGAACTGCCCCTCCAGGCCCTCGGGTCACCCCCTGCGCGGGCGTGGCTGTGCCCCTGGACACACGGGGACTCCACCTGCGCAGAGTGGGCTGGAGCTGAGGTCTGCCTGGTGCCACCCCCGCCGGCTGGTGGCTCAGGAGGCACACGGGGCACTTCTGTGGTCTCCTTGGGCGCTTGGCCACGTCAGCTTTTCAGAACATTCAGTTCCTCCCCACTTAGCCTCTCTGTCTCCCTCCTAGGGAGAAATGAGCTCCCTCCTGCACCGGCCCAGCCCCTCACTGTCCCTGAGCCACAGGGGCTGGCGGGGAGGGCCCTTGTGGGAGCGCAGCGGACTCCGCTCTGCTTCCAGCCGCTGGTGAGACCCCCCTTCTCTCTTTCCGGGATTCCTTGACTGCAGTGGGTTTGGGTTGGCCTCACCCTTGGCACTTGGAGCCGCAGATGAGTCTACTGTGATAGGGCGGGCGTTGATGAGCGCTGTGACCACTTGCCCCCACCTACTTAGCCTTCCCCTTGACCCCGTGGCCAGGGCTGTGGCGCTGCCCTCCTCCCGGGCCCGTGCACATTGTAGTCTACGGCACTCTCTTGACTCGGGGAAACGCAGGCTGGCTTGTTTCTGAGGGTGGCCCCCACCTGACAAAACTGCTCAGCTCACTAAGAATCAGCGGCACTGGTCACATTACTTCTCCGGCTCCTTCTCCCTGTAAGCCTCTTCTGGCATGGTGGCTGGAGCCCTCCCTTGCAGCTGCTAAGACTGCGTTTCACCCGGCAGCCCCACATCCTGGGGCAGGGGCAGGTCATCGGTCAGACCTCTGGGTAGCCTGAATGGGAGGTGTCGTCAGCTGCTGATTTGGGTGCAATAAGCAGCTTTCAGATCCAGCTACGATGTGCCCCTCGCCTCCACACCCTGCCTGGCAGACACAAGTAATCTGCTCACTGGACAGGATTGGCCTTCACTGAACACGAGTTAATTGATACCAACGTCTCCTTCATCGCGTGATTGTGTGTCTGACAGATTCTAGGGCCTGACAGGATGCAGTTTCCAAGCGGAACCCAGCTCCCGGCCGTAGTCATCCTCCTCCTCCCAGCCACCTTCCTGGACCCCTGCTGTCCTGCCTTGGGCAGCCAGTCATGGGGTGTGAATGTCCTCTCCTTCCTCTCCCCTCAAACCTCTCTCTCCTCATGTGCCAGGCTCTCTGCTGGGCGCTGAGGGCAGAGGCGGGCAAGCCAGGGTCCCCTGGAGCTATGATGGTGCCACTGCACTCCAGCCTGGGTGACAGAGCAAGACCCTGTCTCAAAAAAAAAAAAAAAAAAAAAGAGGAGAGAATTCATTTCAACAGATATTTACTGAGCACCTATGATATTCCAGGCACAATTCGAGGTGGTGGAATATGGCGGGGAGTGAAATAGACAACAATCCTGCCAGCAATGTTGAACTGGAACACACCCACCCAGCATCCCAACCCCAGGCACATACTCACCCCACGGGCGTGTGAATTCACCGAAAGGCAGGCTTAAGAATGCTCACAACAGCAGAACTGGCCAGATCCCAAACTGCAAACCGCCCAAATGCCCATCAGCAGTGGAAGGATAAATTGTGTTCTGCTCACACAGTGCAATGCAGTGCAGCCGTGAGAATGAGCAAACTGCAGCTGCAGATATCCTCGCCATCTACGCCTCACAAACACCACCTGGTGGGATTCTATTAATTCCTGTTTGAAGCACGAGGCCAGGAGACCTAACCTTGCAGCGGGCACCCTCGGTTGAGTAGTGACAGGAAGTGACCGCAAGGGGGCGCTCTGCCCTTGCTCTGCGCAGGCTGCTGCGGGGATGCGTGTGGGATTTGAGCTGTGCGCTCAGGACTCGTGCGCTTTTCTCTGTATGTGCTGTACTTAGATACAATATTTACACTAAAAAATCGGGGCTGTGGTGGACCGAAGGGCCCAGGCTCAGGCCCTGGGCTGGCTGAATCCTGCAGTCAGCATCTCCCGCCTCGGTCTTCCTTCCAGGAGGTCGGGTCCAGGGCAGAAGAGGGCGACCCCAGATGAGGCATCTCCTGAGGGGAGGGGCAGCTGGCTTGGAGGCCAGGCTGTGGCTTGCCACAGGAACAGGGTAAGGAGGCGGTGAGGATCACCTGGGCCCCCAGGGACATTTGGCGGACGCAGAAAAGGCAAGGTCGAGGCCAGCGCTGGTCCCACCCCCCGCCCCCCCAGCCACTGAGACCCGCAGAAGCCGGGACTCTGGAGGCTCCCAGAACTCCAGCCCTCTGGGGTCACTCTCCTTAAAAGGCCAAGTGATGGGTGGGAGGGAGCTCACAGATGATATTGGGGCATGGAGAAAGGCCAGGAGTCCCCATTTCCCAGAGGCAGAGCAGTCAGAAAGCATCCCCTCCCCTGCCTGGACAGGTGTCCATGTAGAGCCCAGGCTCTGTGTCAGGGACAGCCCCGCTCCCTCGACAGGCCAGTTCCGCGGAAGGGGCCCATGTCTGTGTGGCCTCTAGTCTCACTTTGGCCAGGCTGGCTCCTGCCCTCGGGCAGGCCCAGGATCTGGGGTCTTTTTCCCTGTCCGGTCCCTCTCCTCTCCCCTCCTCCGGCTCCCGCAGTTGTTAATCATCCTTTCCCGTTTGGAATTTCCCGATCAGCAGGCCTGGGAGGCAGCTTTCTCAGGCCCCCACTTTGCTGCTGTGTCTCTGAGCTTGGTGTGTCCCCACCCCCTCTGGGGGTTTTCAGTCCATCACCACAGTGGGGTAATAAGCCTCACAGCCAAGGGGAGTGGCCCCCAGAACCTCAAAAACCCACAGCGGGCTCATTCCCTGACTTCTGCCAGGTAGAGGCGGCTGGGCCCTCTCCTCAGAACATGTTTGAGCCCCTTCTCAGAAGTTTCCAGAGTGCCAGTATGGTTGGCACCAGCCTTGTAAGCCCCTATGAATAGAGACACATCCCTCTTATACCCATACACAGATTGGAACTCCCGGAGGCAGGGCCTGGATTCCAGGGCATGTACTTGCTGTATAGTGGGCTCTGCAGGGAGATGTATGAAGTTAAGTGGATGTGGACATCGAGCCTGGAAAGGTTAAATGACATCCCCAGGGCTGGAAGCCATCAAGTGTCTGGAAGTGGAGCTTGGAGCTCGAGGTGCCAAGACCCTGAAGTGGCAGCCAGTGTCTGGTTATTGGAAGCCCCAGACGCTTGTTTAGAGAAATCTTTGCCTCCTCCCAGGTCCCACCAGTGCTCTCTGTGTTTCTCTTATCTTTGGATGTTGCCACACGGAAGCGGAATTCTAAAATAATTTCCTCTCCCTTCCCCCATCCCCAGACTTCTGAAGAAGATTTAAACTGGGCATTAGGTGTTTTCTAAATACTGTTGCAAAGTCCCAACAGCTTCTACAGTGAGAGCAACGCAGATCTGGGGAAAGATCCCAGTGAATTTGTATCTTTCTTTGGGGTCTCAGCAGCAATTGCATGATTTCAAAAGGAGGCAGTGCCTCACTCTCCTTTCAGGCTGCGCTTCTGAGCAGAGACAAAAAAGGGAACCTCTCAGGCTGGATCAAAGGCGAGCCTCTTTCTATGTGGGCCACGGATGCTGCCTGCAGCAGTGTGCTTTGGAGAGAAAGACCCTCTCTGTGGAGAGGGAACATTCTGGACACGTGTGCCCTTCTCCTGTGAGGCTTCCCTCCCTCCCTGGGGCTGGCCACCCTCCCTCCCTCCTTCCACGGAGGCCTGGCCTCTCTGTGGCACTGCCCCTCACCCCTCTGGGCTGCAGTGACTCCCAGAGGTGGGATCTCATTGGTCCCTGAGCGCCTGGCAGGACTGACAGGGTGCTTAGTAAACCCTTGTGGCCTGGATGCAGGCCGAGGCTCCTGTGGCCTGGGAGGGTCCAGGTCCTTCTTTGTTATGAACACTAAGAGGCAGGTCTCCTCCCTTCCCTGCCTCAGACACACAAGGGACACTTGATGTGTTTGTGGAGTGAACTAATTTCTCTCCCTCCCTCCCTCCCTCCCTCCCTTCCTTCCCTCCTTCCTTCCTTCCTTCCTTCCTTCCTTCCTTCCTTCCTTCCGTTCTTTCTTTTGACAGAGTCTGCTCTGTTGCCCAGGATGGAGTGCAGTGGTGTGATCTTAGCTCACCGCAACCTCCGCCTCCCAAGTTCAAGAGATTCTCTTGCCTCAGCCTCCTTAGTAGCTGGGATTACAGGCACGCACCACCATGTCCGGCTAATTTTTTGTATTTTTAGTAGAGACAGGGTTTCACCATGTTGGCCAGGCTGGTCTCGAACTCCTGATCTCAAGCGATCCACCTGCCTCAGCCTCCCAAAGTGCTGGGATTACAGGCATGAGCCACTGTGCCTGGCGTAGAGTGAACTAATTTCATAGCGTGGGTTGATGAACATGAACAGGTGGGGCGGGCCTACAGCAAGGAGCAGCACCAGCGCCTGTGTGTGTACTGTGGCCGCTGCTCGGCCCCGGGCGGTGCACTTTACCTGAACCGTCCTTCCAGGCCTCCCAAGCCATCTGCAGGAAGTGCTGTTTCCATCCCAGGCCTGAGATGGTGGAAAGGCTGGGGACTCCAGGGACACAGGGCTGGCAGGCGGGTGAGGTGGGCAAGTACCCCCGGCAGTCGGGCTCCGGAGCCCGCCTTCTTGACCAGGCCGCTGGCAGTGAGCCAGCCGGGTTCCGTTTCCATCGCGGGCCTTATCCGGGGCGTATTCCTTCCAGGTGCGGCCTCCGGGGAAGCCCAGTCCCCAGCCTGGAGGTGACGAGGCCGGCGCACCCACCAGGGGTCGCTGCAGGCAAGAGCTGGAGGCCTGAAGGCAGGTGGGGCCCAGGGAGCCGGCCCGGCACACTCGGATACACAGCTTTAGGTGTGCCAGATCGGGACGATGTTTTAATAAAAGTAAAGCAGACATCTCCGACCCACGAGGAAACCCAGCCTGGGTTTGGATCCACCTCTGAGCTCCACCTTCACTCAGCTGCCAAATGGGGACAGTGGCTGTGGCCCTGTCTCCCTCATGGGACCGCCAGGGGATCCTATGAAATCACAATACTTAGAGAGGGGGCCGGGCGCGGTGGCTCACGCCTGTAACCCAGCACTTTAGGAGACCGAGGCGGGCGGATCATTTGAGGTCAGGAGTTCGAGACCTGCCTGGGCAACATAGTGAAATCCCGTCTCTACTAAAAATACAATAATTAGCTGGGCGTGGTGGCGGGCGCCTGTAATCCCAGCTACTCGGGAGGCTGAGTCAAGAGAATCACTTGAACCCGGGAAGCAGAGTTTGTAGTGAGCCAAGATCGAGCCACACTGCACTCCATCCTGGACAACAGGGCAAGACTCTGTCTCAAAAAAAAAAAAATACTTTCAGACCGTGGAGTACCTTGGTGCCTGAGATGATCCTATTGGCCTCACTAGGTGCCCGTGGGGGTGCCACCACCAGTGATGAAGGGGAAGGGAGATCAACCCCTACTTTTCCGAGGGTCTTTCCCATGTAAGAAATACAAGCTGAATCTTCCTGAAATTCAGCCACAGATCCCACACTCCCTTAAGGCACACTCAGGTCCTACGATGGCCTGCTGCAGACACTGGCAACGTCAGGCCTGGAGCATCCTTGTCTAGGATGGGTCTGGGGCTTTGGGCTCTGTGGTGTTATTTTATTATTTATTTATTTATTTATGTATCTATTTTTAGAGACGGAGTCTCACAAAGTTGCCCAGGCTGATCTCGAATTCCTGAACTCAAGCAGTCAGCCCGCTGTGGCCTCTCAAAGTGCTGAGATTAAAGGCATGAGCCACTGTGCCCGGCCTTCTGTGGTTTTAAATGAAACTTTTGCAGGCTTTTTTTTTTTTTTAATTAAGAGATCATTCGCATGCCATAGAATTCACTCTTTTAAATTGTCCAATTTGGTTGTTTTTAGCGTATTCACAAGTTTGTGTAACCCCCCCAGCAATTCCAGAACACTTCATCAGTCACCTCAAAAAGAAACCTGTGCCAATCTTCCCCTTCGCTTACCCCTGGCAACCACTGATCTACTTAACCTTTTCTTTATATTGTGTCTTTTCATTGCCGCTTGTGTTCTATGGGGATTAAAAAAAAATAGATGGCTTACTTCATGTGAGCAAGAAGGGACCTGTGTCTCAGGGTAGCAGACAGGGTTATGGGGACTCCTTGGGGTTAGAACGTGGGGTCCCATGCCTCAACCCTCTCTGATGAGCTGTGTGAGCACAGAGGAATGAGAACATCTTTCTGGCTTTTTGTCTTCTCATTCTGTTTCATTCTCATTCATGATGGTTAACAGTGATGATACTTGTCCCACTTACAGCAAGGAAATCCCACGTCTCCTAAACAACAGAACCCCAAATCTGCCTGGGCTTGATGCTGGGAGGAGAAGCTTCCAGGGGCAGCAGGATCAAGGAGCTGGCTCTGTCCCTGCCTCTGTTCTCACTGTCACCCCTCTCTGTTTCCCATGAGTGCGGCCCCCAGCAAGCTGGGCCTGTGTGCTGCTCCCATGGCGGCCACGGCCCCCTTACCCAGGACACCACCAGCCCAGCAGGGAGGGGCTGACGTCCTCACAAAGACTTACTAAATATTCAAGGAGGCGACGGGGAAAAGAGAGCACGAAACACAGCATTTAGTTCCCTGAAGAATTAGAAGCAGTTTGCAAAGATGCACTCAATATGACAAGATTAAAAAACATACGTGAGGAAATCAGAGAGGAATAAAAATGAGGGGGAGAAAAAAATAAGATGAAGCCAGGGAGAGGTTGGTATGGAAACTCCAGATGGTGATTTAAGGAGCACTTATGCAGCACACTTACCACGATCCGAGCGCCGTGCAAGTATCATCAACTCATTTGATCCTCGGGACACTTTGGAGGCAGGGGCTGTGATTATCCTCATTTTGCAGTCAGAAAAGCCCAGGCACAGAATTGCAGCTTGTTCAGGGGCTCCAAGCTTCTAGGTGGCAGAGCTGGGTCTCAAGCCTGGGCAGCCTGGTGTGCAAGTTCATGCCACCCCTGCTGCTTTTTCATGATATCACATGAACGCACTGGGGGTGGGCAGGGGAGCCCGGGCATGAGCAGAATAAGCAGGGAATATCTTTGTCATCTTGGATCTTGTTCCAGAAATCATAGGTATTTTGCATTTTTCCCCATGATGTTTCTATATTTGTGCAAGTGTGTTGAAAATTAGGTTGTGTGT
The DNA here is from genome assembly GCF_000001405.40 of Homo sapiens. Taxonomy (NCBI): domain Eukaryota; kingdom Metazoa; phylum Chordata; class Mammalia; order Primates; family Hominidae; genus Homo; species Homo sapiens. Next base: position 10,837,906 of record NC_000002.12, read on the forward strand.
GTGTGTGTGTGTGTGTGTGCGCGCGCACGCAGGCACTCTGTCTGAGCTTCAGCTGAGGCCCTGAGGGGTTCTGAAGAAAGCACAAGGTGTCAGGTAGCCCATCTCTGCCTGGGCGGTTGAGAGCTGTTCTACCAGCATGGGCCCTCACCCACTCCAGGGAGAATAAGGCAGGGTGAGAGTTTGGGGAGCTTGAGGAGGCTGGTGCAGGGACTGCTCTGGAGAGGCTGCCTGTGCACTAGTCTCTCCCAAGTCTGGGGGAGGCATTTGAGGGAACTGTCTGGATAGTTGTGTGTGTCTTTGGAATTGGAGGGACCCAGGGACTGGTGTCTGAGCCCCTAGAAAATTCTCGTGATGAGAGAATGTTGGCTAAAAGGCTGGCGTTGGGCGCTTCCTTCATTCATTCATTCATATGACCCTCAACAAACATTTACTGAATGTTTGATTGTGTGTTCTAGGTGCCAGGGATGCACCTGTGGACCACACAGATTGCCCCGTGACCTTACATTCTAGTAATGAGGGTAACAGCTTCAGAGGGACCCTGCCCATGAGTTGGGGGCAAGGGGCCTGCAGGTGAGGAGTGGGCTGCAGCGGGCTCTGATTGGGCAGCTGGAAGAGGGCCCGGGTCTGTGGCCGGATCCCTGCACTCCGCATGCCCCAAGATGGTGGACGTTTGACACCATTCATTGGTTACCTACTGTGTACATATAGTATCTGTAATCTGCGTTCTCCCTGAAGGTAGAGATTATAGCCCCACTTTGCAGAGGAAAGCAGTGGCTCAGAAAGTGCCGGGGGTGGGTGTTGAGGTCCACCCAGGGGTTCTTTTCCTCAGAGCTGGCCACTCTCTTGCCACTCTGATGAGTTTCTCTTGGTTTTCAAAAATGGAGCAGGCAGGAATGGAACCTCTCTGAGCTCCATCTTTGCTGCAATCTGACACACGTCGTGAGTTATGTCAATTTTCCAGAGGCTCCAGGCAAGAACAGCTCCTCGTGGAGACTTCTCAGGCTTATTAAGGAGTCAGATCTGGGTGGCAGCAGCAAGGAAGCAGCTCTAAGCATGTTCTGGAATCATTCATAGGCTTTTATTTTCTGAGCTGTTCCCAAGAGTGTAACCAAATGCTAATACCATTGACATTGTTTTCTTAATGATTACTTTGGCTTGTATTAGGAAACAGCTTAATTAGCATTAATTAGAGTGTTCTCTCTACAGGACACATCTCCCTCAAAGCAAGGTCTCCTTAGTTTACTCATTTGCAGGGGGAGAACTGTCACTGACTGAGGTTAAGGGTGTGGCCCAAGGACACAGGAGGTGACAAACTGGGGAACAAAGCTGTCAGTCTGTTCAGGCTGCTGTAAAAAAATCACCACAGATTGGGTGGCTTAAAAACAGCAAAAATTTATTTCTCATAGTCTGGAGGCTGGGAAATCCAAAGATGAGAGCGCCTGCGGATCTGGTGTCTGGTGAGGACCCATTTCTTGGGTCTTCTCAATGCATGCTCACACAGTGGAAGCGGCAAGGCAGCTCTCCATGGCCTCTTGTGTAAGGGCACGGATCCCGTCAACCACTTCTCAAAGACCCCACCTCCCAATACCATCACACTGGGCATTAGGATCTAATGCATGGATTTTGGGGAGACACAAACACTCAGTCTATGGCAAAAGCTCTAACCACAGCCCCTAGTCCTGTGTTCTCTACATTTGACTGTGCTGCTTCTCAGAGAGCAGGACTTATCATCAGAGAACCTTCCAGTTTCTTGCTCTTCTGCTGGAGAGGCCTGTGTGGACGTTCCCCTTGCCAGGGCCAGCCTTGTCCATCGGAGGAGTCGCACAGGGCCACCCCAGGGTTCAGTAGGAAGTGACTTCATTCAGCGGCAGGCCTGACCGTACAGCATTTTCCACAGCGTTGATGAGAAAGGACAAAGGTGCTGAAGTTTATGAAGAAAACCCACAAGATCCAGGGTTTCTTTCAGGTGGTTGTTATTTCTGAAAATCTGAATTTTTAAAATGCTGGGTATGTAATTACCGTATTCTGTAGATTTGTACTCGAATAAAGGCTGCAACATCAACAGTCAGTCAACAAATACTCGCTGAGCCCCTCCTGTGTGCCGGGCACTGTCCTTGGTGCTGGAGATGCTAGGCAGTGCCTGGTCCTGGTCTCAGGGTTTAACGCTGCCGAGGGTGGAGTGGGGAGCAGACACAGAACAGACAGCCATGACAATTCTAGGTACAGGTGCATGCGGGGAGGATAACAACAGGAGGCCATGTGACAGCGGGTGACCAGGAGGGGGCCTTAGCCAGTAGTTGGTCAGGGAACGCCTCCCCGAGGGGAGAGGCAGAGCAGAGGCTCACATGATGAGGTGGTGGCAGCAGATGCCCTGGGGGATTCAGGCCAGGTCCAAAGAGTGGCCCAAAAAAGGCCCTGGGGCGGGGATGCTGTTGGGCTCGGAGCCTAGCGAGCAAGGGGAGACGCAGGTCCAGGGTGAGTGTGGGAAGGGGCAGGGCAGAGCACCACGGGGCAGAGCGTGGATTTCACCCTGGCTGAGAAGTCTCTGGAGGGTTTTAAGCAGGGTGCTGTGGAAGGAGACTGTAGATGGATGGGCGTGGAGGCAGTGAGATGGCTTAGGGGTTGCTCTGTTGCAAAAAAAATCAGGAGGACAAGAGAGACCTCGGGGTAAAGCAGGAGATCACAGGCAGCTTGTTTCCCCCCCCCCTTTTAATTTCTATTTCTCTTTTCTTTCTTTAATATCCCACCTCAGCTGGACTGGGACAGATGAGAGTTATGGTGAGTTAAATTAGGGCCATGTGTTAGTCAGGGACTAGGCAGGAGACAGAAACCACACCGGTACTTTGAACAGGGAAAAGGTAACAGGGAAAATGACTCATCAACAAGCACAAAGGGTCTGGTATTATGGGTTGAATTGTGTCCCTGAGAAAGACATGTTGAAGTCCTAACCCCGATACCTGTGAATGTGACCTTATTTGAAAATAGGATCTTTGCAGATGTAATCAAAGGCAGGCTTTGTCCAATATGACCAGTGTCCTTGTAGGAAGAGGGACATTTGCATGCAGACACACAGGGAGAAGATGGCCATGGAATGCAGAGGGAGAGAGTGGAGTGAAGCCACTGCAAGCCATCAGTGGAAGAGGCCAGGAGGATCCCCGGGGTCTTAGAGGGAGCAGGGCACTGCTGACACCTTGATTTCAAATTTCCATCCTCCAGAACTGTGAAGAACATGTTCCTGCTGTTTTTAAGCCACTGGTTTTTAGCACTTTTGTTACAGCAGCCTCAGGACACTACTAACAGGTGAAATCTGGTGGCTGAGTGCTACAAAGGGTAGAAGAGGACTCCAGGGATCTCAGGAACAGCAGCTGCAGGAAGCGGCTGCTACCTTTAGGGCTGAGAGGGAGTCAACAATGAAGGAACTAAGACTTCCGCCCCCTCGAGTGGAGCCCCAGACCTTCAGGAGGGGATGCAGCTGCTGCTGGAACACCAAAAACTGCTGCTGGTGGGGAGATTTGCCAGCGTGGGAGCCAGAGAAGTCTAGAGGACCAGCCCAGACGGCGGCCTGAAAACTCAGAGAGAGAGAGAGAGAGAGAGTGGGCCAGAGCTACTCCACAAAAGTGGCTCGTAGGGTGTAGGGTGTGAAGTTTGCTGGAGAATGAGTGCCATCACTGCTCCTGCACACCAGCCCCACTGGCAGCTGTGCCACAGGAGGAAACGCCATGTTCTGGCAGCAGGAAGAGAAGCCCCTTCTTCTGCTGTCTTTGGGGCATCCCTCCAGAGCCCCCTGTGACAAAGCCTAACATTGCACCAGCTGACAAAGGGGAAATGTTTACAGGGCCCAGCTCCAGTATTTCAAAGCAGGGCAAAGAAGGGTGACTTCAGAGCTGGGACATAATAACATGATGACTGGCATAGCTGGTAGCAAGAAAGGGGTGGGGGAGCTTGTGTGAGCAAACAAGGCTTGGGCCTCCTCTGCAGTTGTTCATAGTTCTGTGACATTACAAAATTGCATTTAAAAAATTGTGATAGGGAGGACACCCTGCCCTGATTAATCACATAACCTGGGTTTCCCTGTTGTCATCTGTCTTGTCAATCCACATAGTGATCATCATCTTGGCTGCACAGATGAGTCAATAGAGGCGTGGAGATGTTGAATAATGAGCTTAAAGTCATGCCATTAATCAGTGGTGTCCATCTGCCTCCCAGGCCTGTGTATTTTCTATTCATCCTGCCGTCTCTCTTGTGGGGAACCAGAATGCCTGGAGGATTCTGCTCCTGAGAGCTCAGTGCTGGCTCTCACTTTGTCCTTCTTTGATGACTTGGCCCCTCTGCTGTCTCTGTGGGTCCTGGCCACAGGAGACACTGACCTCTACACTCCCAGGCCCAGGGTATACACTGGCTTGAGCACAGGTCCCTGGACCATGAATGCCCTGCCCAGCTCCAGTTTAGGAACAGCATACTGGAGCCCAAGCACACAAGGCATGCAAAAGCTCAAAAGTAGATCTCACCTCTAGGAGGGTACAGTCAGGTTTTCAATGGATTCTCTTGATTACCACTTACAAGGATTTCTACCCCTTAAACATGGAAGGATTTCTCCTTTGACGGGAAGTGAGCTTGGAGGCATTCCTGAGCACCCATTCCTGCAGAATGCCTCCTCCTTTGGCTTCTTGATAGCAGGCTAAGAAAGTATCTGGCAGGTGCAGAGACAAGCCTGCCCAATGTGGACAGGATCCAGCCAAGTGCCAGCTTGGATCAAATGTCCCATGCCCTGGGCAGGAAGAAAGATGATCTTCCTAGAGGAACCAGAACTCTCTGGCAAAAGCTCGTGAGTGTTGTAGGCCAGCTCCAGTATTCGAGGTTACAATCAGGCATCCTCTGGGGAACTTACTTCTCTTGTCAACACTAGGGCGAGAGGTGGCTGGATTTCTTTGGAGGAGCTTTGAGGATGCTTTCAGATTCTGTATTCATCAGTTCCTGTGTTTATCAATATCTACTGAACCTACTGAATGCTGGGTATTGTAGTAAGGTCTTTCATGAGTTATTTTATTTATTTATTTATTTTTCAAGACAGAGTCTCACTTACTCTGTTGCCCAGGCTGGAGTGCAGTGGTGTGATCTTGGCTCACTGCAACCTCCACCTTCTGGGTTCAAGTGATTCTCCTGCCTCAACCTCCTGAGTAGCTGGGATTACAGTTGCCCGCCACCACGTCTGGCTAATTGTTGTATTTTTAATAGAGACGGGGTTTCATTATGTTGGCCAGGCTGGTCTCATACTCCTGACCTCAGGTGATCTGCCCGCCTCAGCCTCCCAAAGTGCTGCAATTACAGGTGTGAGCCACCATGCCCAGCTTTTCATGAGTTATTTAATCTTCATGACAACTCTGTGAAGTCACCATTCTTGTCCCCCTTTTACAAATAAAGAAACTGAGGCTCTGGGAGGTTAAATAAGCACACGGCACTAGCATGGGGAGACTTGGTTCTAGCAATTTCTGGCAGTTGGCTTTTGATGGCCATTTCCTATAGGACAGGCCCTTCTCTTACCGTCCCCATGCCCTTAGAGGTTTGGCCTGTTTGTTAGGGTGTCTGTGTGCATAGGTATCCTCCTGGCCTCATTCCCAAAAGGGCTTGAGATAGTGTGTCCAAATACAAATGGGAGGAAGACCGCATACATGGACAGATCAGGGCTAAGAAAAATACAGGTAAAGTGAAAGACAAGGTCTGCAGGAACGTTCGTATGTGCATATTCAGTACAGTCAGGGCAGAGATTCCTCATCAGTTACAGTCAGGGCAGAGATTCCTCAGAGCGAAAATAGAGAAACTGATTAGTTAATGTGTTTTCTACTTTACTAGTACACGTCACTAGTACACGTCAGGTAAAATAAACCAACTAGTCCTGTATGTACACGCGTTCGTAGATCTCAAACAAAACAAAAACAAAACAAAACAGGAGGTTGAGTGGAAAGGCAGCTGAAAGGAAAGCTCAGAGAGGTGAAGTAACAGCTCGAGGTTGCAGCCATCCCTGCATTCCTTCAGGCTGCAGAGCTCCAGTAGCAGACCCAGGATTCAAATCCAAGTGTTTCTGGCTCTGGAGCTGGGCTCAAATTTAGGGCATTACTTTTTTCTTCCATTTCAAACAGGACACATATCCGACCCTCAAGAATAGGAGATAAAGCAGGCGCATAAATAGCTCCTTGTGTTCTGTCTTTCTAAGGACACAGGAGGGTGAGGCAGGCTGTGGGCAGGGCTTCAGAGCCGCGCAGGCAGGGGCATGGGTGGGCGTGGCTGCGTCTTATAGGCTGAGCCACTGGCTGTGCCCCTGAGCTGAGCTGGGTGAGTACTCTAGGCATTCCTGGCAGAGGATACAGCAGGAGCAAAGGCCTGGAGGCTAAAAATAGCTTGCGGGCAGGGGAGCTACCAGCAGTTCAGTGCTTCTGGAGTTTAAAGAGCCCGGCGAGGGTCATGTCAGATGACGCCGGTCCACGAGAAGGAGGGTGGATTATATCCTTAGAGACGCCATAGAGTGAGGATATAATGGCTCTGTAACAAGCATAAACTGTGATGGTCTGGGATGCCCTCGTCATAGACAGCCCCTGGAGAGTCGTAAGTAGAGTGTGACATAACCAGATTTGTGCTTTAGAAAGGTTGCTGGTTGCAGAGCTGGTGGGATGCGTTTTTATTTGAAAAGGTGAAACATACTCAACATAAATAATTTGGACAGTAGGAGGAGAATGGGAAGAGTATACAGTGGCAAGCAAGGTCCTTCCTCATCCTTATCCCCAAATACCCCTTCTCAGAAGCAGCGATCACTGTCACCATTTTCAGTGGTTTTTTTTTTTTTTTTTTTTAGATAGAGTCTCACTCTGTCGCCCAGGCTGGAGTGCATTGGCACGATCTCAGCTCACTGCAACGTCCGCCTCCCGGGTTCAAGTGGGTCTCCTGCCTCAGCCTCCCGGGTAGCTGGGATTACAGGCGTGTGCCCGCATGCCGGGCTAATTTTTGTATTTTTAGTAGAGACAGAGTTTTGGCACGTTGGCCAGGCTGGTCTTGAACTCCTGACCTCAGGCGATCCACCTGCCTCAGCCTCTCAAAATGCTGGGCTTACAGGCGTGAGCCATCGCACCTGACCAACCCGCTGTTTTATTCTAGAGATAGTCTGAATGTGCGTGTGTGTATGTATATATACCTCTTCCCTTTTATGCAGGTGCCATGTATTAGATACACTATTCTATACCTAGCTTTTTATTTATAGGCCTTGTAAGTCATTCTATATTGATACATAGAGCTGCCACAATGTTTTCATTGCCTGTCAAATGTTCCATGAATCTAGCAGACCGTATCAACTTCTTCCCCACAGATGGACATTGAGGTTGTTTATAATTTCTTGCATTACATTCAATGCTGCAATTCATATCCTCATGGCTAGGGATGAGTACGTGGAGTGAGTTCCCTGAAGTGGAGTTGCTGGGTCAAAGTGTATATACATTTGTAATTTTGATAAATATTGTCAAATCGTCCTCCTTAGGAGGGGAGTTCATTCTATGCACCCATTCCTGTGCATGAGGATATTTGCAGCAGAAATGCTTTGAGTCCTGGATGATGGGGCCAGGTGGATTATTGGATTGGAGGTAGGGAGAGTAAACAGTGATTACTACAAGAGTCTGGGGGAGAGATGGTGAGGGTCTTGCCTAAGGCATTCCTGGTGGTGAGTAGCCAGGAGGCGAGGATTTGGAGAACTGTATCAGGAAGGAAGGTTGCTTTGAGGTATGGGATGGGGCTGGCGGGGGGCTAGGTAGAATAGTGTGAGTGGGGAGTGGCAGGGGCAGTTGGAGGAGAGCTGGGTGGAGACACCAGCAGTTGGAGGCATGGCCTGAAGCTGGGGAGAAGCTCTAGGCTGGGGGAGCTTGGGAGGAGGTAGGAGGTGTGGCCTTGAGCTCCAAGGGGCCACCTGGTAGAGCAGCGCCGAGGGAGAGGGCTGACTGGGACTGAGCCAGGGCAAGCCAGGTGCCCGGGATGCAAACTGGGAGCAGGCCCTGCCCTGCACACCCTGGGAGCCAGGGCCTCCTGACATTTTGTTGCCTGGTTGCCTCTCTTGCCTCACCCTTGTCCCAGCCCTGGGGGAGGCAGCCTTGGGACCAGCCATGGATTAAAGGGGCTGGCTGAGGGCAGAGGCTTGAAGGGAAGGAACAAAGAGGTAAAAGAATGTGTTGAGGGGAAAGTGTCCTGGAGGGCCAGGGCATGCACTCCCAAGTTCATGGGAGAGAGGCAGGGAAGGACTAGAAAGTGTCCTCCATTAGATGTACTGATTAGGCGCCACTGACACCCTTAGTGAAGCCGTTCTAATAATGCAACAGAGGCTTGGATAGTCTCTGACTCTATGAAACAATAATAGAAAGTCAGGGTGTTTACTCATTGGTCGTATCCTAGCAACAGCGTGTTCTCAGCAAGGGTAAGTGTTCTAGAACGCGAGACCAAATTATACGAGAACATAATGTTCTAGAATGTCTGCATGCATTTGCCAGCCGATTTCTTCTCAGAGGTACTCAGGAGATGCTTGAAAATTACCCCCCTTTCCTCTGAATTTGAAGGTAGTTGATAACAAGCATTTATTATGTTAACAGAACTTAAATGCTTGGCCAGGGTCACCTCCCAGAATTCAAAGTTAGCATGAGGGGGAAGAGGATTAAGAGCAGCGTCCCCGCAGGGAAAATGAGCTGTGAGTTGTACCTTGCCACTCTTAAATCAAACATCGCTGACTGTTCTTCAGAATCACTGTGGGATTATTTGTTCTCCAGAGAATATGTGAACAATGCATTCCTTTCCCCGCTCTTTGGATCCTGCCCGTCAGTGGTGGCTGACTGGAGCAGCTTTTATGGATGCACAGAAAATTGGAGGAGGTCTTATTAGGCTTCTTCCTCCAATGCTGCCATTCCCATTCAGGACCCTTCTGGGAATCCTGCACACTCATGGGGAGCCCTTGGCACTCCGTGCATGGCATTTGTTCTGTTCTACCATCCCCCCAATAGCTGGGCGTGATCTGGTCTCTGAGTGAGGTTGGGCGGTTCCCTCAGTGGTGCTCTCTTGAACCCCAGAGCCCTTTGGACCCATCCTTCTGTCCAAGTCCTCCTAGCCAGCCCCCTTGGCCCAGCCAAAAGGCTCCCCTGAAGCAGCCCCCAAGCATGAGCTGGTCCGGACTGCCCTGAGGTCCTCCTGCTGCCAGCTTCCTCGTAGGACACCCTGCTCTGTCTCTAGTCCCACTTCTGCCCAGCCCAAGGCCTGATACCCAGTGACTTCCTGAGGACATGTGAGTGTCTGATCCTGGGCTGCTGGCCTGGGCCCCACGTGTCCACACCACTGGCTGCCACCCTAACTGCTCAGAGCTCCCTTACTGGGTGGCACTCTTCCCAGCGCACTCAGGGAGGGGTTGAGCTCGCTTATCAGAGCCCAGCTCGTTGAGCAGGCATACAGTAGGCGCTTAAAAAAAAGTCAATGGATTAAAATATTGGCAGAATAGAAATGTTCTGCCTGTTTTAATGTGAAACTTTTTTTTTTTAAATCATTTTCTTTGCTCTGCTGGAAGGATGGCATGTAATTATCCCCTGCCTCATAACATAGGAAGTTAAGCTCTCCTTGTCCTGGAGGGAAGAGGAACCGATACAGAATTTCAGTGGCTCTGGACTCAAGGGCCACTAAGGTCAACTGTGAAAGGGTAAGATTTGTTTTGGGGAGCGAGTAAACTGGCATGGAGGAATAAAGAAGGGCAAGAGAGAGGGGTGACTAGAGGAGCTCGCCTGCATTCAGGGGGCTCTCAGAGGAGCCCTGGAAGCCTGGGTGTGGGCTTAGGAAGTCACTCAAGGATGGAGAGGCAGTGGCGGAGCCAGCGGAGTCCCCCCACGAGGGCCTTGTTCAGGTGCGGAAGACAGCCTGTGGATGCCTCCAGTTCTGCAAGAGCCTTCCCTGGCTGGCACCTGGGCTGATGCAGCAGATCCTCCTGTGGGTGCCGGAGGGTCTTCAGCCCTGATGTTGAAGCATCACAGAAGCTGCACTCTGGGACCTGAGACCAGGCCGGCTCTGTCTGATGACTCAGTCAACATTCAGGGCCTACAACCACTGACCTCCCACCAAGACACACACAAGGAACTCGCGCTCTGACCCAGGGGTACAGCTCACCCTTTCACGCGTGCAGGCCTGGGCTTCCAGAGGCTTCCCAGTGTGCCTGCCCGAGGTCACATCTCCAGCAGGGGCAGCCCTGGGTTGGGAACACGGGCCTCTGATTCCAAGCGAGCTCCTCCATTCCTGGCGGCTTCAGGAGAGCTCCTGGGGGTGCTCCGAGGCTTGTTCTCCTCTTCTGTCTGGATGAATAAGATTCTGGAGAATCAAAGACAAGAGGCCTGCAATTAAATTCTATTTTAAACAAGAAATGAAGACACTGCTTAAAATAAGTTCTGTGGAGATATGTGAAATGTAATGTTAATGAAGGTATTGGGTATTTACTGAGAGCCAAATACTGTTGTAAGCTTGTTACAAGGTCCTGTATCCTCAATCCTTAAAACAACTCCCTTACATTGGCTCTGGAGAGGAAGCCAGATGGCTGCTGGCTTTTTCCTTACAAAGCAACACCTCCAGACACCTGGTTTGTGGCTCGGGATGCCAGAAAATGGTGCTCCTTTTGCACATTGGTAACTATTTCCATGTAGAATACTTCTGGAAACTGGAGATCATCAACAGGTTCTGCAAACAAAGCCCAGAGAACAATTGTGACCCTGCTCAGGGTGTTTTCTTCCCACTGCATTAGCCTGAGAACAGTCTTCCGTGTTCCTGTTGGAGGCTCAAGGGAGAACTAAGTTAGACATAACCATGGTAACTAACATGCAATTAACTCCAATCACTGCTAATCGCTGGGTTAGAATTTCCTCCTTAGAGTCTTAGAAGAGTACTGTGAGACACATACGTCCTACCATGCAGGGGCTGTTCCTGTGGCTTTGAGACTGTGGCAACAGTGGCAGGTACTGTGGGGTGACCCCAGTCTCCATTCAAGATCCCTGGGCTCCGGGCCCAGCCTCCTACCCGGCCTGTGTGATCTCAGGCAAGTCACTTCCCTCCTGATCCCTCGGAGTTCCCTTATGAAAGGGGAATGATACTTCACGGCTGCCTTGACTTCTTATAAGAATACAAAGAGTTAAAGCTTAGGAAACATATATTGTAAGCAATATGTCAATGTCAGGGTTCCCTGCCTTACTCTTCAGCCCCAGGAAGTGACTTGTGGGTGGTAGAAGTTGGATGATACATCTTTTGAATTTTTTTTCAAGCTTTTTTATGATGGTGTATTAGTCTGTTCTCACATTGCTATAAAGAACTACCTGAGACTGGGTAATTTATAAAAAAAATAGGTTTAATTGGCTCATGGTTCCATGGACTGTACAGGGAGCATTGCTGGGGAGGCCTCAGGAAACTTTCAATCATGGCGGGAGGCAAAGGGGAAGCAGGCACATCCTACAAGGCTGGAGCAGGAGGAAGAGGGTGGGGGGTGGGGTGCTACGCACTTTTAAACAGCCAGATCTCATGAGAACTCACTCACTATCACGAGAACAGCAAGGGGAAAGTCCACCCGCATGAGCCAATCACCTCCCACCCGGCCCCTTCTCCAACACTGGGGATTACAATTCGACATGAGATTTGGGCCGACACACAGACCCAAACAATATCATTCTGTTCCTGGCCACTCCCAAATCTCATGTCCTTCTCAGATTTCAAATACAGTCGTGTCTTCCCAACAGTTCCCCAAAGTCTTTTTTTTTTTGAGACAGAGTCTCACTCTCTCACCCAGGCTGGAGTGCAGTGGCCTGATCTTGGCTCACTGCAACCTCTGCCTCCTGGGTTCAAGTGATTCTCCTGCCTCAGCCTCCCGAGTAGCTGGGTCTACAGGCACGTGCCACCATGCCAGGCTAATTTTTGTATTTTTAGTGGAGACAGGTTTTCACTATGTTGGCCAGGCTGGTCTCAAACTCCTGACCTCAGGTGATCTGCCTGCCTCAGCCTCCCAAAGTGCTGAGATGACAGCTGTGAGCCACCGCCCCCGGCCGCTCAATAACCTTTATCTCCCACAAGATTCCCCCCACATATTTACCTTATCACAATTTGCTGCCTCTAGGAACCCAAATGCCTTGTCTTTTGTCTTGCCGTTTCTCTACAAATTATTACCTTTTGTTATTGTGAAAGGAAAAACATCTCGGGATCCCCAAATCACTAAGCCAAAAGATAAGTCAAGCTGGGAACTATGTCAGGCAAACCTGCCTCCCATTTTATTCCTAAATAAGATAGCTACAAAGATAAAAAACCTACATGCCTCCCTCACAATTTGCCCACAGGGGAATTCCTTGTGGGGCTCAAGATCTTTACCCTAAAACAGTTCTGTTGAATTTCACCCTGGCAATGTAAACTGTTAGCTCGCCTTCACAGGTGTGGGACAGAAAGTTATCCCTCTGCTTACCTGAGACAAATGCCTATCTGTTGCTTCCTCTGCCCTGTTGTTTATGTGAAACTGCAGATTCCCTGAGCCAGAGTAAACTGTGTATTCAGTGAAAGGCTAATCAAGGACTCAAAATAATGTAACTGGCCGAGCGCAGTGGCTCAGGCCTGTAATCCCAGCACTTTGGGAGGCTGAGGTAGGTGGATCACTTGAGTCCAGAAGTTTGAGACCACCTTGAGCGACATGGCAAAACCCTGTCTCTACTAAAAATACAAAAAATTAGCCTGGCATGGTGGCAGGTGCCTGTAATCCCAGCTACTCAGGAGGTTGAAGAGGTAGGATCGCTTTAGCCTGGGAGGTCAACGCTGCAGTGAGCCACAATCACACCACTGCACTCCAGCCTGGGTGACACAGCCAGACCCTGTCTCAAAAGCAAAACAAGGTGACAACAAAAAACAATGCGACCTTTGTCTGTTGTCTGCTTATGACCTGGAAGCCCCTTGCTTCTAGTTGTCCTGCCTTTCCGGGCCAAACCAATGAATATCTTACACGTATTGACTGATGTGTCATGTCTCCCTAAAAGGTGTTAAAGCAAGCTGGGCTGGGCGTGGTGGCTCACGCCTGTAACCCCAGCACTTTGGGAGGCTGAGGCAGGTGGATCACTTGAGGTCAGGAGTTCAAGACCAGCCTGGCCAACATGGCGAAACCCCATCTCTACTAAAAATACAAATAAATTAGCTGGGTGTGGTGGTGCACACCTGTAGTCCCAGCTACTCAAGAGGCTGAGGCATGAGAATTGCTTGAACCTGGGAGGCGGAGGTTGCAGTAAGCCAAGATCGTGCTACTGCACTCCAGCCTGGGCGATAGAGTGAGGCTCAGTCTCCAAAAAAAAAAAGCAAGCTGTGCCCCTACCATCACCATCTTGGGCACATGTCTTGAGGACCTCCTGAGACTGTGTCAGGGCACAGCCTTAACCTTGGCAAAATAAACTTTCTAAATTGATTGAGATCTGTCTCGGATACTTTTGGGTGCACAGTTACAGCGGCATATAAGCCCTCAGGTCTACCTGTCTCTTTGGATCCTCATTTCTTTTCTGTGAAGGCCTCCATGTGCACATGAAAATGAAAATTACATCAAGTAAAATCTATATGCCTTTCCCCCTGTTAATCTGTCTTTTTTCAGCTTAATTCACAGACCCTCACTATAGAATGTAAGACAGTAGAGGAAAGCATTTTTCCCTCCCTTATAGCAGTAAGGATATTCACATCGTGCAACTATCACCACCTTCCTCTCCAGAACTCTTTCATTATCCCAAACTGAAACTCTATGTCCATTAAACAATAACTCACCACTCCTCCTTCCCTCCAGCCCCTGGCAATCACCGTTGTATCATCTGTCCTTTTGAATCTGACTGCCTTAGGTACCTCATACAAGTGGAATCATTCAGTACTTATTCTTTTGTGACTGGCTCTCTTCACTTAGCATGTTTTCAAGGTTCATTCATGTGGGCGCATGCATCAGGATTTCTTTCTTTTTAAGACTGTGTGATATTGTGATATTATATACATACATACTTGGTTTATGTCCTGGCAGCGAGCTCCTAAAACCCTTGCAATTTCCTGACTGATGGGGTGATAGAAAGATCTTTTGTTAGGATATTTGGTCTTAGTCTTTGGTTCCTGACGTAAGAGCATCTAAGGCCCTTGTATCACCAGATGAGTGTCTTTCTGTAGGCTAATGAGATGATTGGTGGATGGGCGCCCCTAGATACCTTTAGGAGGAGGGCTGGCCTCCAGAAAGACCAAGGTATTACTAGAGGGTTGGAACTTTCAGCTTCAATCCCCAATCTCCAGAGAGGAGAGAGGGACTGGAAATTAATCAGTCACCTAGAACCAACGATTTAATCAGTCATACCTTCATAACGGAACCTCCATGAAAATCCTAAACAATGGGGTTCAGCGAGATTCTGAGTTGGTGAACACATTGAGGTACTGGGAAGGGAATCCACTCAGAGAAGGCGTGGAAGCTTCTCCCCCTTCCCGGATACCATGCTCTGTGCATCTCTTCCATTTAGCTGCTTTTGAGTCATATCCTTTATGAGAAGGTGGTAATAGTAGGTATGTGCCTTCCTGAGTTCTGTGACCTCTTCTAGCAGATTATTGAACCAGAGGAGGGCATTGTGAGGACCACTGATTTACAGCTTGTTGGTCATAAGTACAGGAGGCCCACCCTTGGGATTGGTGTCTGAAGTGGGAGCAGTCTTGTGGGACTGAGCCCATAGCCTGTCTGATGCTAACTCCAGAAAATAGTGTCAGAATTGAATTGAGTCATTGTATATCCAGTTGGTTTCTGGAGAGTTAGAGAATTGGTGGTTGATGTGGAAAAAAACCCATTCATTTGGTGTCATAAGTGTCGGGAATAGAAACAGATCATGGCAATAGGCTGAGTGATTTTTCATTGTGTGTATATAGCACAACTTGCTTATCCATTCATTCACTGATGGACACATAGGTTGTTTCCACCCTTTGGTGAAAACAATATTCCTTATTGTGAATAATGCTGCTATCACATGGGTGTACAAATATCTGTTCAAGTCCCTTCAGTTCTTTTGAGAATATATACCCAGAAGTGGAATTGCTGGGTGAAATGGTAATTTTATGTTCAAGTTTTTGAGGAACTGTCATACTATTTTTCACATGGCTATACCATTTTATATTTCCACCAGTTATGCACAAGGGTTCTAATGTCTCAACATCCTCACCAACACTTGCTATGTTCTGTTGTTGTTGTTGTGGTTGTTTTCTATAATAGCCATTCTAGTGAGTGTGAAATTGTATTTCATTGTGGGTTTGATGTGTGTATCCCTAATGACTAAGGATCTTGAGCATTTTTTCATGTGCTTATTGGCTACCTGTGTATTTTCCTTGGAGAAATGTCTATTCAAATCCTTTGCCCTTTCTCTTTTTTTAAGAAAATATTTTCTCATTCTTGCAAATAATTTTTGCCATTTCTTTCTTTATCTTATGTATATATACTACTATGCTCTTTAAAATTTTTGTCCTCCTCTTCCAATATTTCTGCTTCAGACACGAAATGATGCTTACCTAGCTGGCTTTGTTTCATGGTAGTTGTCCTCAGGAATCTGGTTACATTGGCCTATGAGCTCAGAACCCCATGAGAATGGGGTTTTGGTTACTCCCTCTGGAAATGTGTTCTTGGGAAGGGTCAAAGGCCATGCCCATGTCCATCCCTGCGTTTAATGGAAGGAGAGAAATGGACCCTAGGTTGAAGACCTCCAGATCTCAGATTCACTGGATTTTTGTCTCTTCACCTGGCAACTGCATTCTTCAGAGTTGTACCACCAACCCCCCAGGGAAAAGCAGTCTTGGGCAGAGCCGGTCTCCTCAGATCCCAGGGCTGTGGGTGTCTGTGGGTGAGTGACTGGGGTTGAATGCTCTGTCCTCACCTGTTTTTATCAAATCCTCACCCTGGCAGGAATCATGGATTGCCGTGACATTATTTCAGACACCAGGAGCAGCTGCCTGTCCTGAAGGGCCAGGCAATGGCTGCACCAAGCCTTGCAGAACGGGGACCAGAGTGGAACTTAGAAATGCCTTCTTGCCTACCTTTTTTTTTTTTTTTTTTTTTGAGATGGACTTTCACTCTTGTTGCCCATGTTGGAGTGCAATGGCATGATCTCGGCTCACCACAACCTCTGCCTCCCGGGTTCAAGTGATTCTCTGGACTCAGTATCCCGAGTAGCTGGGATTACAGGCATGCGCCATCACGCTGGCTAATTTTGTATTTTTAGTAGAGACGGGTTTTTTCCATGTTGGTCAGGCTGGTCTTGAACTCCTGACCTCAGGTGATCTGCCTGCCTCGGCCTCCCAAAGTGCTGGGATTACAGGCGTGAGCCACTGTGTCCGGCCTCGCCTACCCTCTTATTGCCCCCTCTGGCTGTCTTCCAGGCTGTAGCTCCCTATGCCACCACCTCGATGCCAGTCCCACTCCAACCAGTAAGAACCAGAGCATCTACCCCACACTGGGCATGGACACTGAAAGCCAAAACACCCTACTGTGTGTATGAACCTCACTTGATGTTATTCCTGTCTTCATCAGCACGACTTTATTTTCCCAGGAGTCACCATCAAGCCCAGGCAGATGGCTTGATAGTTCTTATAGGAACTTCTGGAAAGACTCATCTACTCTCTGATGGAAAACATCAACAGGTAGTCTTTGAATTCTTTGCCTCAAAATCCTCACCTTCCTCTGTCTACCATGTCCAGACTGACTGTTGCATCATGGCTGTTACCCAGTGCTGATCAGATTTCCTCATTTGAAACGCCCCCCCCTTAAATCAAACTTCCAGTTCTCAATAAATTGTGGCCGTGCCTTCTCCTTCCCGTCTGAAACACACCAAACTTCGGGAGGTGGCCTCCCTTTCCATAAGGGGACACACCCAGACACACACCTGCTCTGTTTTCTCAACAGGTGCTGGTGATGCTGGTGGCAGCTGTTGACACCAGGCACCACTTCTGATAGCTGTCGGCTGTCCAGATTTCAAAAATCTCATTGTTCTTGTCATTTGTTCCTCTGGTCTGTTTCTCTTGCTCTGTAATTTCTCCAGGTGGATTCTAGGGAAGGAGGCACTAGGGCAGCAACCGTTTCCATCTCAGCTCATCCTGCCTTCTAGTGGAACTCACATTGTTACCTCGTAGATGGTCCAGGATAGCGTGCCAATTTCTGAGTTGGTTTAATCAACCCCCTACCTTCATTTTGTATTTTCCTGTGATTGACCCTGAAATCCAACTAATCTTGATGGGCATTTCAGTTTCAATCAGGAAGGAAATTTGTTAATCATGTGACTCAAACACAGTGGTGATCTAATAATGGAGTAATAATATCAGCTTAATTATCCCTGCTCCTTGTGACTATTTTTAAAATATAAAGTCTGAAGGCAGTGAATAATTACATACCAGTAGATGTTTCAGTGGTTTAAAAATTTCTTATTTTCGAATTCTAGGTATCTTGTTAGTGTAATGGGCATTTTAATTCGTATGCAATAAAAAGCCATGTATTTACAAAAATTAAATACGGTATCGAAGTCCTGGCTGTTTCAGCTGTAATTACTGACTGTGATAGTACTGGCAATATCCCTCCCGCCGAGTTCCTGTGGTAACTTAGTTGCCTCTGACATTGTTGAAAAGACAATGAGGGGAAAGGAGCACACTCAGGATTTGAAGCCAGACAGACCCAGGTTCAAGTCCTGGCTGTGCCACTTACTAGGTGGGATGTAGATCAGAGTTGGTGACCTTTCTGATCCTTGGTTTCCTTAGATATAAATAAAAATATTTTTATCTCATAGGATTCTCAGAATGATGTTTACTGTTATTGTTTGTTTGAGTGAAGCAGATACCATCTTAGGTTTTCAAAGTTATCATATCACACCCGACACCACCAAGGACTTGGATACCTTTCCTCACCCAGCATATCCCATAATCTACAAAGATGAACAGATCCTTCAAAATAGGAAGAAGGGCATGTATTCATTAAAAAATGACCGTGATGGGGAAAGGTTGGTGGAATCTGAATATGGATAAAACCTCAGCTTCTGCAGAAATCCCTAAAAAGAGACGAGGGGTCCCTTGCCTGGCTGACTAAGGATACAGGCTAACTGTGACCTGAATGTTAACACGAGAGAGAGCCGAGTGTGTCAGACCACCGGAGGAGCTTGGCAGAAAAGTTTAGAACTGCAGGTGTGTGTGTTGGGGGGGGGTGGTGGGGGGGCATTGCCCAAGGGTGGAACCCTGACTTAGGGGCTCCACCAGCAGGCCTGCCCCATGGTGGAGGTGGGGTGGGGGCCGGGCTGCCATTTCTCCAACACCACTTCTTCTCATTCCGAGGGGCTCTGAGCTCTCTCTCCCTACCCCCATTATCATTAGACTTTTTGTGTCATGCTCTCCGGGCTTGCAGGGGTCCAGATGCAGTCTCCGGAGTGGGTGTGCACAAGATGGTTCACTGGGGACAAATATTATAACTTCCGTTTGTCTCTGTCTCTCTTCTTGTCCTAGCAGCCTATTTTTGGCTTATTTGTTAAGAGTATAATAATGGGTCGTATAATCATGTTCAATACTTAGAACGTTTATAAAAAATGAATGTGCACTTATTGAGGGTGCATGCTTTATTTTACCAATGGGCTGCATGTAAAAACAATTGGGAGATCACTACTCTAGACTGTCTGATCCGTGTGGTCATTCTATTTTGAGTTGCAAATTAATTCTCTGAAATCCTTTCTTATGCTCCCAATCAGCTTCTTGGGAGCTTGAGTGTTAGCAGTTGGACTCCCCGATCAGAGAAGTGGATCAGAAAGGTGATCAGAAAGGTGGAGCTTCTGGGTGTGGGAAAGCTGAGTACCAGCCTCTTAACTTTCACACCTTCCCTCCAACAGATGCATAGCTCTGCAGGCCAACCTGACTCCCTGAGTGATGTTTCTGACATTGGGCTCCTTTATTTCAGTCCTCTGCTGCTAGTTCTGACAGAACTTAGACCTAACTTAGCCATTTCTCCATTGATCCTTTATTATAAAGAGAAAGAAATTTCATTCTTGAAAATGCATTCTCACCTCTCACTCCCTTGTAAGTCTTAACCTCTCTGAGTCTTGGCTTCTGAATCTTTCAAGTGATACAATAGCCATCTAGTTTGCCTCACAGGGTTGTTGTAAAGAATAGGCCAGGTGTGGTGGCTCATGCCTGTGATCCCAGCACTTTGGGAGGCCGAGGCGGGTGATCACCTGAGGTCAGGAGTTCGAGACCAGCCTGGCCAACATGGTGAAACCTTGGCTCTACTAAAAATACAAAAAATTAGCTGGGTATGGTGGTGCACACCTGTAATCCCAGCTACTCAGGAGGCTGAGGCAAGAGAATCGCTTGAACCCAGGAGGCAGAGGTTGTAGGGATCCGAGGTAGAGCCATTTTACTCCAGCCTAGGGTGATAAGAGTGAAACTTCGTTTCATTAAAAAAAAAAAAAAAAGAATGTGTGAGAGATCATATCGTACTGAAACTACAGAACACCAAAGATAAGAAGACATTAAAAGTGGTGAGAGAAGACAGATTACTTTCAAAGGAATGACAATTTATATGAACAGATTTGTCCCCCTCCTCCTCTTCCTTCGTCTCTTCCCCCTTCTTATCCTCCTCCCCAACACCTCCTCCCTCTCTTTCTTCTTCCTTTTGTAGATGGTGGAAGAGCCTATTCTATTTAGAGTTCACCAGTTCTCCTCTGTTTAAGTAGTCCCCAGTTTTGTTTTGTTTTGTTTTTGAGATGGAGTTTCACTCTGTCACCCAGGCTGGAGTGCAATGGTGCGATGTCAGTTCACTGCAACCTCTGCCTTGCGGGTTCAAGTGATTCTTGTGCCTCAGCCTCCAGAGTAGCTGGGATTACAGGCATGTGCCACCATGCCTGGCTAATTTTTATATTTTTAGTAGAGACAGGGTTTCACCATGTTGGCCAGGCTGGCCTCGAACTCTTGACCTCAGGTGACCGGCCCGCCTCACCCTCCCAAAGTGCTGGGATTACAGCTGGGATTACAGGCTGTGAGCCACTGCGCCTGGCCCCCTGGCTAGTTTATATATATGTATTTTTTCAGTAGAGACAGAGTTTCACCATATTGGTCAGGCTGCTCTCGAACTCCTGGGCTCAAGCAATCTTCCTGCCTTGGCCTCCCAAAGTGCTGGGACTACAGATGTGAGCCACTGAGCCCAGCCACTCATGTTTCTTTAATGAACAAAAATTCTTAATTTTAATGTTATCAAATTTATCCATCTTTCCCTTTATGATTTGTACTTCTTTGTGTCTTCAGAGTTTCTTAACCCGAAGTCATAAAGATAAAAACTACATTATCTTCTTAAAGTTTTACAATTTTGCTTTTCATAAACAGGTCTTTAACCTGCCTAGAATTGATTTTGGTAAATGGCATGAGGAAGAATCCCATTTTATTTTTTTTTCTGTATGATTATTTTTATTTCAATATCATTCATAAAAAGTACTTTCCCCCACTAGTCCACACAGACTGTTTTGTCATAAATCAAGTTTCTGTGTATGCCTCGTCTGTTTCTGGGCCTATATTTTGTTCCACTGGTTTATTTTTATATCCCTTCCCAATACCAAAGTATCTTAATTACTGTAACTTGTTACTAAGTACTGCTCCCCTGCAGGGCTAGTTCCCCGACCTGGTTCTTCTGTAGTATTTTGGCTATACGTGGCCAATTGCTCTTCCAGATCCATTTGCTTATCAGCTTGTCAGATTCCACACACACACACACAACATTGTTGGGGCTTTGAATAGTGTCGAATTGTATGTGTAGGTTGGTTTGGAAAGAATTAACATCTACATGACTTAGAATATTTTGAATTAGGGAACCTGATATACCTTGCCACTTACTTAGGTCTTCTTTCATGTTTTTCAGTAAAAATTGAGTCATTTTATCTACCTTGGGGTTGCATACTTTTAAATATGTATCTATCACTACGCATATATTTATGATACTATAAATGGCATTTTAAATATTTTTAAATTGACTGCTGCTGGAGTATTACTGCACATTTTACTTTAAAAACAAAAGATAGAGATGGGGTCTCACTCTCTGTTGCCCATGCTGGTCTCAAACTCCTAGGCTCAAGTAATCCTCCTGCCTCAGCCTCCCAAAGTACTGGGATTATAGGTGTGAGTGACCACACCCGGCCCAGCACATTTTACTTTTGTCCTGTTTTTCCTCCCAACTGTATTCTCAGGGAGAATCACCTGAGCCCAGGAAGCTGAGACTGTGGTGAGATGTGATCGTGCCACTGCACTCCAGCCTGGGTGAAGGCGTGAAACCCTGTTTCAAAAAAAAAGAGACATGAAGAGACTCTGTGAATCTGTCCATTGCTGGTGGGAATGTAAATGGGCACAAATACTCTGGCATTACCTAGTAAAGCTTAAGATGCCCGTATCTTAGTACCTAGCAGTTCCACTCCTCGGTATGGAGCCTAGAGAGAAAGTCTTACGAAGAATGCTCATAGCAGCATTGCTCCTGGTGGCCTAAGATTGGAAACCACCCAAATGTTCATTGGCAGCGAAGGGATAAATAAGTTCCTGTATAGTTACATATTTACATAGTAAGTACTGATATTTACATAATGGAATGCTACAAAGCAGTGAAATCAAAGCCACTCCAAATACGTGCACGAAGAAGAATAAACCCAGAATATACAGTTGAGCAAAAAAAAAAAAAAAAAAAAAAAAAGCAGTAGGAGAAGAATGAGTCTATATCATTTGTGTAAAGTTCAAAACTCTGCAAAACTAAATACATCTTCAGTGGTACAAACATGATAAAACTATGAAGTACAGCAAGGAAATGTAATCACACGACTTATGAAATTCATGATCAAGGCATAGAGGTGGCTGCAAAGGTACCTGCTGTGTCCTGGTTCTTAAGCAGGGCCGTGGGGCTGTCGGTATTTGTAGCACTAGTGGTCTTGACACCCTACGCACTGCTTATAAATATCCTGTATCTATCTATATCTACTAATTTCTTCTATATCTGCTCAATAGAAACAACGGTTTAAACACTTTGAGTTTATAAGGGAATATCATTATTGCGTCTTCCTGGGCAGACCTGCCTTGCTTGTAACTGCTTTTGTGCTTGTACAGAGGTCCCCGCTTATCTGAGCTTTTGCTTTCTGCAGGTTCAGTTACCCCTGGTCAACTGAGGCTTGAAATATTCAATGCGTAATTCCGGAAATGAATAGTTCATAAGTTTTGAATTGCACACGGTCTGAGGAGTGTGGTGAAGTCTTGTGCCTTCCCACTATGGCTCCCTAGGGTGGGATTCCTCCCCGTGTCCAGCGTCTCCACACCGTAGACACTCCCTGGCCGTGAGTCACTTAGTAGCTCTCTGGGTGATGGATGTGCTGTCGTGGGATTGCAGAGCTTGTGTTCAAATAACCCCGATTTTACTTACTAGTGTCAAGTGCAAGAGTAGTGATGCCACATGTGGCCATCCTTGTTCTATTTTATTATTAGTTATTGTTGTTAGTTCTCTTGCTGTGCCTAATTTATGAATTAAATCTTATCATAGCTATGTATGTATATATGTATAAGAAAAAACATATAGAGGATTCAGTGCAGTCTGCAGTTTCAGGCATCCTGGGGGTCTTAGAAGGTAGCCCCCAGGGATAAGAGGGGCCCACTGTAATTGCTAACTAGACTCTACTGAATACAAGCCTGATTTCTGTATGCGGTGTTTGTACCTTGGACAGCAGGAGTGAGGAGGCTGCCATGTTGCCAAGGGCCAAGACAGGAGGAAGGCAGAAAGCGGGTTCCTGAGGAGGCCACCCTGCACTTCCCCATGGCGACATCAGAGGCAAGGAGCTGCCTGTCCCTCGGAGCCTGTGCAGACCTTTTCGTCCAAGAGTTTAGCCAGGCCAACACCAGGCGTTCCTGGGCCCTAGGAGATGCCATGCCTGACAAATCACCAGAGAGTGAGCCTTTAGATTTGGAGATAAGAGTGGAATACAGAAAGCCGGGGCACCGGGATCCTGCCTTACCTATGGTTGCCAAGGTTACCAGTGCCTCATGTTTCTTAGTTACCACTCATCCCAAAATAGCCTCCATTGGTGCCAGCCAGCAAACTGCATTCCATATCACAATCATTTTTTTTTACCCTGTTTTGAGGGGAGGAAAAGGAAGTCACTTTACACCCAATAAGGTTATACAAAGCACACACAACTTGTTTCCTCATCTGATCTTTACCGTAGGTGGGTGAAAGATTACAATCTCCATTTTACAGGTGAGAAAACAGACCCGGGCAAGTGACCGGCCAACGTCAGATGACTGGCAGGTATCAGAACTAGAAGGAGCACCCAGACTTTCTGAGGCATCAGTCAGAACCCCTCCTACACTGGGACATTGCCTCTCACCGCTGGCATTTTGTTCCAGCCTGGGAGAGGCTGTGCTGGCCCCACAGTCCTCTATGGCAAGTGGAGGGTGTGGGGCAAAGGGTGTCCCTTGGTAGCTGCCACGGCCACTGCCCTCCACCCTATTCCTTCCCAACAGAACCCCAATTCTCTTCAGTTGTGGGGGGTCTAGATGATGCTTGAGACCTTCTCCTGCCCTAGGGTGTGCAGGTTGATTAGTCATAATGGTAATTCTATGCCTTTTGCTAGTGGTTGTCAAAATGTCGATATGTGACCTAATTCCAGCCAATAGAGGTTGGAGTAAATCTGCAGAGGCCATTACTTCTGGGAAAGATGTTTCTCTGTAAGAAAAGTAATTATCAGGAGGAAATGCCCCCCCCCAACTGGTGTCTTTTTGTGTGATATCAACTATTCGATGGTATGTGGCTGATGATGGTTAAGTGCAAGGATGCAAAGCTCTGGGGCTCAGCTCTGAAAGGTCACCTCCCCATCAAAGCCAGGCCGCCTCCATCCAGCACATCTGCATGGGGCCCCTTGGATTTTGCCTGTGGGCTTGTGCTTGTGGCAGGCCTCTGCTTGCCTGTCTCTCTCTGTATTGTTGGGCTGTGAGCTCTGTTTTCCTGTGTCCCCCTATCCTGTTGGGCTGTGAGCTCTGCCTTCCTGTGTCCCCCTGTCCTGTTGGGCTGTGAGCTCCCTGGTGCTGCACACTTGTCCCTTACTGCCCCTCCCCAGTGCAGTCTTTACATGGTCGGGGGCATGGTGGGGAAGTCCCTGAAAGCAGGGCCGTTTCATGAATTCTTCGTAGTCCCTATGGGAGGTATTCGTACCCCTATTTGTGAGGGACCCTGATGACTCTCTTTAGAAGGTCCTTAGCTTCGGTTCTTATAGTCAAAGAGCAAGTACCGCTCCT
The DNA here is from genome assembly GCF_000001405.40 of Homo sapiens. NCBI lineage: Eukaryota > Metazoa > Chordata > Mammalia > Primates > Hominidae > Homo > Homo sapiens. The sequence continues at coordinate 10,862,239 of NC_000002.12, forward strand.
CTCAGCATCTTCAGAGACCAGGCTTGTTTTGGAACTCTGTCAACGGAAAGCCTCCATGGTATAGACAACGATCATTGCCACCATTTGGGGGGTTTTGTTAATGTGCTCTAAAAAGGAGGGCCGCCTCATTCTCTCCCTCCACCTTTCCTAAGGGCCTGGTGCATGCTAAGCACTGGGCTCGGAGGGAAAGCTCACTCGATGGGTCTCCCACCCGCAGAGCCCCAAGCCCAGCAGAGCCCACACAGCCAGAGAGAGCCCTGGCGGCCTAGGGCCCGGTGCTGTGGACAGGAGCCCACACTGTGCCATGGGAGAGGAGCGGCCCCTGTGTGTGGGAGGGGACAGAGGGCAGGCAGACGCTGACTGGCTAGTGGAATAGAAAGGACCTCAGACCAGAGGAGGCAAGAAGCAGGTGGGCCCCAGCGTCCCTGTGCAGCCCGTTTGGAAGTTTATGTGGGAAGCTGTGGGAGGATAGAGTGACTGTGGCTCCTGAGGGCCCGGGCCGGGAGAAGATGGGGGTCTCTGTGTGACCTGCAGTGACTGGGAAGACACTGATGGCTTCAGACTGGGGAGTGAGCTGTGCTGCTGGCCGCGGGAGGCAGGTGGCTAAAGGAGAGTGGAGCAGGGAGGCCGGCTGGGAGGTGGCTGCGGTAGGTCCATGAGGGTCCTGAGGGATGCAGGAGGCGCTGCCTGGCGGGGAAGAGGAAGGCAGCTTGAACACACGGGGCCAGTCCTGGCTTGGTCTCCCCCAGTGGATGGACCCAGGTCATGTTATCACTCCTCTCTGGGTTTTTAGTTTCTCAGTGCAAGCAAAACGAAGAGCCACCATGATCTCCCGCCCTGGGCCTCTGCATTCCCGGCTTCTCTTGGCATGAGCTGTGCCTGTAGAAATCGATGCGGGTCATGGTGCTGACTGGATGTGCAGGCCAGAGGGAGGGAGACTCCGGGGTGGCACCCCTGCTTCTGGTCCTTCAGGGTCTGGGAGGGCAGGCTGTGAGCAGGGACGAGGGGGTCAGGTGCAGTCAGCTCTGTGCGGGGAGGTGACAGGCTTGGTGTGACTGCTGACGCTGACATGCTGGCAGGACACCGGGGTTAGGGAGCAGGTGTCCAGCAGGTGGCTGGAAGAGGTCAGGGCTGGAGCCCTGGTGTGGAAGTTCTTCACATGGAAGGGAGAGGATAAGATAGGCAGGGATGAAGTAACTGAGGGAGACGATGTACAGAGAAAAACCAAGAGCAGAAACCTGCAGGTGCTCTCCTTTGGGGATCAGAGAAGCATCAAGAAGAGGATTACGTGCAGGAAAGTGGCAGAGACGTAGTTCAGGAAAGCCTACCAGGAGAGGAGGCGTTTAGAGGGATGATAATGTGGTTCATTATAGACATGAAAATAATCTCACTATCGTCATAATAGGTGTGAGACTCCATTACAAAAAGCATGTATGAAATCCCTTCTGGATTGGGCACCATGGCTTATGTCTGTAATTCCAGCACTTTGGGAGGCCGAGGTGGGAGGATCACTTGAGTCCAGGAATTTGAGACCAACCTGGGCAACATGACACTACCCCATCTCTACAAAAAACCAAAAAATTGGCTGGGTGGGTGTGGTGGTGCGTGTCTATAGTTCCAGCTACTTGGGAGGCTGAGGTGGGAGGATCGCTTGAGCCTGAGAGGTGGTGGTTGCAGTGAGTCAGCTGTGTTAACGACACTGCACTTCAGCCTGGATACAGAGCGAGACCCTGTGTCAAAAAAAAAAAAGAAGAAGTAAAGAAAACACATACACACACCCACACAAACACACACACACACGCGCACACACACACGAAACCCCTTCTGTAAACAAATGAGGATGTGGTCAGTGCCCTTCAGCTCAAGCCACAGACCAGCATCTGAACAACCCTGGGCTCATTGCAACCAGGAAGGGAGCACACTGCGCAAGGCCCTGGGGTGTCTCAGGAGAGGGGTTCAGGAAGGACCTGCTCACTTGGGCTGCATTAGGGGATTTGGAAGAGGTTTTAAGGATGCGGAGCTTTCCTCCTTGGATTGGATTCTATCGGAAAGCAGGGCTAATTCTGTGAATTGTGGTCTTAAATCTTTTCCAGAAGGAGAGAGGAATGAAGTGAAGCTAGAGCTGTTCTTGGTGAATAAACTGCAGTCCCTCATAGTAGCCAGGCCAGGGAGTGTTTGAAACAGCAGGAGGGACGCCTGAACTCTTAGGGGAAGAAAGCAGGAGATAGTGGGTGCGGTGACGGGAGGGAGTGGAGGATGGCCTTTCTGTAGGGAAGGAGGGGGCTGGCTTGGGAGGAGCAGAGAAGTTAGGACGATCCTTCTGTGACCCACACAGACAAAGAGCTCCCGGTCATGGCTTTTTGATATAAAATCTCAGCCGCTGAGCTCGCTAGCATTTAGGACTCAGGAGCGCACACGGCTGCGGTTGCTTGTTTTTCCAGCCGTCTCTTCATTTCTTTGCTTGATTCCCAAGCATGTGTCAGAGTTAATGGAGCGGTTCTATTATTAAACCACTTAGAAATTTAAAAGGCAATGTACTCAGGTTTGAATGGGACCATTAGTTATTGGGAAAACAACATTTGTAAGAGAATTCCTTATAAAGCTCAATGTTACCCCTTGGAACCACATCCCTGAAAAAAACAGGATCACCTCCAGAGCTTAGAAACCGGCTACTCTGTGCATTTGGTAAAAAGCAAAGGCATCTCTATTTCCAGTGGAGTGCTTCACGAAACACTTCAAAATATAGATCTGAAACTCGCTTTCTGGTTTAGTGTCTACCGAGAAGGTGAGATTCAGTTTTCACTTTTGAAGAAGTGTGCAATGCTGCTGAAAGCCACAAGGGCTTCCTTTGGCAGAACCTACACCTGCTAAGATGCCAGGGCGCCATGCGCCGTTCTGTTCTTTACTGAGAGTCATCAAATGTATTTTAAACTATATTTTTGTTGATGGAGGCATGGTGGCTTTAGGATATGGTGAAGATGTGGAAGGGGCCGGGGTGGGGGACTGTCAGCTGGGCAGTCTGGAGAGAGTCCTAGGAGGTCTTGTGGCATTATCTGTGCCCCAGTTCTATTTCCTGCTGGCTAGCAGACACAGAGCAGCCTCGACCTTGGCATTAACCCATGTTTGCGTGGCTCAGCAATTTACAAGTCTCATCCATAGGCATTACTTCACCCATTTCAGATCTCTCTCGGAAACAGGTGCAAATAGTTTCCTTCAAAGGGCACACATTGCTCACACAGTCAGAGTCAAGGCGAATTTGAATTGTACCCACGAATTTGAATTGTACCCAGTTCCAAATTTGTCTGGCCTCTATGTGCCAAGTTAGACATATGTATGTGTGCATAAATGAGGTGTCTGGCACGGGACCTAGAGGCAACTGGGAAGGGTGAAAAGCTAGATTTGGAGCTATGAAGACCTGAGTTCAGGTCTTGGCTTGGTCTCTTATTAGTTACTTGACGTTGGGCAAGTTATTTGCCCCTCTGAGGGTAAATTTACCTCTTCTACAAGATGGAGCTGGTTACAGTACCTTCTTCTCAGAGGGATTTCGAGGCACATATGAGACATGGAATGTGGAAGCATCTTATAAATGATGAAGCACCCTGCATTGGAGATCACCGGCAAACTCAGCGTGTCTCACGGAGGGTGTGATCAGAACGCTGGAAGACCTTGGAGTCCTATCGTGTGTGATGGTGAAAAAACCAGCATGGCTTAGCCCCAGAGACAAGTTCATCCCTCACTGCCAGTTTCTGGCAGGTCGACACGGTGTAGAGGAGCTATGACAAAGCGAGTGGGTCCCTGGGGGACTTCTGCTGAGTCACCTCTGAGTCTCAGTGCCCAGCCCGGTGCCCAGCACATGATGGGGAAGTAGAATCTAATCGAACAGTGACCACTAGGAACCACAGGTGCACTTCTTCTCTCCTTTGTTCCTCCCTCTTCCCTCTCCTCCTCCTGTTTATTTTTGTGTTAGTTCTCTCTGGCTGATGTTCAAATAGCTCTAATTATTGAGTTGTCATTTTGCATTTAATTGTTTGCCCATGAGTTGATTCACTTATTTAACACAATTTATTCCAATGCACACACTTATTGTGCAAAATGAGAGCATTTAGCTGTGACATTGACAGGGGATCAGAGACCAGGAACAGAGTTCAAGAACGCTCTTCCTGAGCAAGTCAGCTGAACACTACTCCCGCCCCAAAGCCTCCTTAGTCAGGTAACACTGCCCCCACCCCAAAGCTTCCCTATCCGTGAAACTGGGAAGAAGACAACTCTGTCCTCAGTATTGTGGAGCAGATCACATATGTGTGAACACTCTGTATTAACTGAGAAGATATGAGGTCTTTTTCGCAGAACAGATGCTTCCCAGAGAAAACCAGACAGTTGCCATCCAGAAAGAGGGGTGATGACGGTCAGCGAATTTATAAGGTAGAGTCTTCAGACCAGGGAAAAATCACTTTCAGGGATTCTGGAAGCTCCTGGGGAGCACTCATGGGGTCATCAATTCTTGCTGAGGAAGTTAAATCAATCAGCAGTAGTTCCCAGTTCTCTGCAAATGCTATAATGTCCTTGGGGGATATTAAAGCTACTTTTTCTCTAAAAGAATGAGGAATGGGGAAAGGAGTTCATAAAAGCTTGTTCCATTCAATGCTGAGCTATTTGGTGTTTGAAAAAAATCTTTGTTTGCTGCCCTAACCAGATGAGTGGCTTAAATAATATAAATGTATTTTCTTACAGTTCTGGAGGCTGGAAGTCTGAGATTGGGCTGCCAGCACAGCTGGGTTCTGAAAAGGGTCCTCTTCCTGACTCCTGGATAGCTGTCTTCTTGCTGTGTGCTCACACAGCCACATCAGAGAGCTCTGACTTCGCTTCTTTTTTTTTTTTTTTTTTTTTTTTTTTTTGAGACAGAGTTTCGTTCTGTTGCCCAGGCTGTAGTGCAGTGGCGCGATCTTGGCTCACTGGGTTCAAGTGATTCTCCTGCCTCAGCCTCCCAAGTAGCTGGGATTATAGGTGTGTGCCACCATGCCTGGCAAATTTTTTTTTTGTGTGTGTGTTTTTAGTAGAGACAGGGTTTCACCATGTTGGCCAGGCTGGTCTTGAACTCCTGACCTCAAGTGATCTGCCTGCCTTGGCCTCCCAAAGTGCTGAGACTACAGGCATGAGCCACCGTGCCCGGCCTGACTTTGCTTCTTATAAGGACAACAGTTCTACCCCATGAGGGTTCCACCCCTTATGACCTTACTTGACCTTCATCTCTTCTTAAAGGCCATATTTCCAATACAGCCACATGGTGGGGGAGGGGGGCTAGGACTTCAGCGTATGATTTTTGGGGGCACACGATTTAGTCCACAACAAATTTCAAGTGTGGAGTCTGCAGAGGTGGAAGGGGCTAGGGTTTAGGAGTCAGACCGACCCAGGTTCTAACCCTTCCCTGCTGCCCATAGCTGAGAGACTTGGAGCAAGTTTTTAACCTCTCTGAGCCTGTTTCCTCTTCTGTAATGGTGATAACAAGGTCATGCCTCCCAGGCTCTGTGTAAGAATTACACCAGGTAACGACTATGAAGCACCAGGAACTCCACCTAACATGTTGCAGCACTCAAGATGAGTTAATGCCTTCCTTTCCCGGCCTCTCCTGAGATGCCACCTCTTGGCATTTTGCCTTTTACAGGCTGGGGAGGTGAAGCTGCCTTTAGGATCTGCTTCTGCTCCTTCATTCTGGAATTCTGTCATATGGAGACTATAGGATAGTTCCTAGTAGGGCACCTGGGCTCCATCCTTGGCCCCAGTGAGGATAATAATCCCTAACTTTCACAGTTATGAAGATTAACGAAGATACCACATGGGGAAATCCTCAGTTCACTTGTTGGCATGCAGTAGATAATCAACATTCTTGCCCTGTGGCCCCGATGAGCCCTGAGTTGGGAGGATGTCAGTAGGCAAAGATTTATAGAGCATCTGCCACATGCTGGATGCCAGGGGTATAAGAGAGGAAGAGATAAGCACAGTCTCTGCTCCTGTGGAACCAAGAGTGCTCGGGAAGAAGGGAGACATTAAACAGATTGTTATGAAGAATGATAAGAGCAGGGCTGTGTTTTGGAAAACCTGTGTGCAGAATCAGAAAATGTTGTCTACAGGGGCTGTCAGCCACCATTGTGTTCACCAGAGCGGGGAGGGGTTTTTCCCAGGCTCACACAGCGAGGCAGTGGCAGAGGGGTTGACCATACCCTTCAATATGCCCTTGATCCAGCAAAAGGGTCGCTTGAGGAAATAGAAAACTGACAAAATAGGGCAACTGGGTGTGTGGCTGGGCAGAGGGGTACCTATTGTGGGGGCTCAGGAATACTAGCTCTGGCCTACTGTTCCCTCAGCCATCCCTGCAAGGCTGTGGCACAGGCCAGGCCCAGCTAAGGGCCTGCCTCTGGCACTGGGCCTGCTGTGTGCCTGGAAAGCTCTGAAAGGAGCGAGCTGGGGACTCAGCATTCCCATCTACCACCTCCAATCAGCCACAGAGAGACGATGCTGCTCCCCCTGGCCCTGGCTCAGGGCTTTAATGCTCGATCTCATTTAGTTTATCCCCCAAACCAAAGCCCGTGAGGGATCCTTGATCCCTGTCTCTGGGCTGGAATGTGCCCAGCAGCACAAAGCTGGCAGATGCCTGAGCCAAGGTCCAAACCACTCCTGTGGGTTTCCAGGCCCTGGTTCAGCCCACCCCATGCCACGGCCTAGGGGCCTGCGGGACACAGGAAGCTCGGGGCTCAGGCCCACCTGACTGGGGCCTCTGAGGCTCTTGTTGCTGCATAGAAGCCATCCCCCAGAGGGGCCATCCTCGGGCTCGCCAGCTCATTCCTTCTGGGAGAGGTGCCCTGAGAGAGGGGTGCTGAATTCCTGCCCTAAGTGCCTGGCGCCTCATCACATGCCAGCTCAGCTTCCAGCTATGCATCTCCTCTAGACCATCTCCTGTTTTGGTGTCCTCCGGGCAGCCACTCAGGTCTCCGTGAATCACAGAGCCACTTCTTAACCCCTGGTCCTGCTCGCAGTGGGAAACAGAATTCCACTTGTCACAAACACGCTCACAGGAATTGAGGAGCCTCTTCTGTGGATACTATCTAGGCACAGTGATCGAACGTGCTTTGGACCGGGGCTTGGGAGATGCAACTTCTGGCCTTAGCTTTGCCAGAGACTTGCTGGGAGACAAGGGCATGCATTTGCCCTTCTCAGGGGTGTTAAGAGCTCTGTAGTCTGCAGAATGCACGGGTGGGCTGGGTGATATGAGACAGCCAGATTGGGTGTAAGTGTCATCCAGATTTGGAAGAAGGCAGGTTTGGGGTGGAATCTTATTTATGCCACTTACAAGTTGCGTGACTTGAGATGATCACTCGACCTCTTTAAGGCTCGATTTCCTCATCTATCAATCAAAGATGATAATCCCTATGCCATGGAGGATTTCATACGAAAATGCATGTAACAGTGAATGTTCAGTTAAAGATCACCGCTCTTTCACTCTCCTGCTGCTGGTGAGTTAAATGGTGTTCCTCCAAAAGATATGTTGAAATCCTAACCCCCTGTACCTGTGAATGTGACCTTATTTGGAAATAGAATCTTTGCAGGTAGAACAAAATTGAGATGGGGTCATACTGAATTCGGTGGGCCCTAATTCAATGATCGGTGTCCTCTTAAGAACAGAGAGATTTTGAGACACACAGGCAGATCCCCATGTGAAGACAGAGGTGGAGACTGGAGTGAGGAGTGGTTGCAGCTACAAGCTAAGAAACACTAAGCATTGATGGCCAGCAGTGGAAACTAGGAAAAGGCAAGAAGGGCTCTATTCTGAGTGTTGGGGGACATGGACCTGCGAACAGCTTCATTTCAGACGTCTGGGCCCCAGGACTGTGAGAGAATACATTGCTGTTGTTTTAAACCACTCAGTTTGTGGTGATTTGTTGTGGCAGCCTTAGGCAACTAATACACTGTCCTTAGTCTCATTCCAAATAGGAAATTTTAGAATTTTATCCATTTAATTGCTCAGTTGTAAAAGAAATATGGAGTTGTGGGGGAGATACTCAATGAATATGTGTTGGCTCATAAATGAGGTAAGGTGGGGGTAGCACAAGAGAAATGTGATAGAAAAAATGTGGAAGTCCTGTTTCTGCATTCCTCAAGAGAGAATTTTAGAGGTCAGAACTGAAAGGTCTCTACCCCTGCCTTCCTCTCTCTGGCCCATTTTAATGACAAGGAATATATTGGCTTAGGCAATGGATGGACAGTGACTGATGCTATCAACGTCTGCGCTAATCCAACATATAACACCCTAGAAGACATCCACTTTAAACCCTTGAAACCTGTCAATGTCACCTTATATGGCAAAAGATGTGGTGAAGGATATTGAGAGGAACCAAGGTGGAGGCAGCCTGTTTCTCTGGGTTTCTCTGCTTACCAGGCAGCAAATGCTTTCAACCATTTCTATCTTTGTGTCTAGAGTGTGTCTTCTGCAGGCAGCATGTAGTTGGATCCTGTTTTTAAAATCCAGTTTGACAATTTCTACATTTTGATTGGATTGTTTAATCCATTAACACATAATATTACTATTGATATAGTTAGTTTTACATCTATTATTTTACTTAAAAAAATTTTTTTTTACAAATTTTCCTAGGAGCTGGAATTACTTTTTGTTGTCTATATGTCTTATGTCTTTTTCTATCTTCTATCCCTCCTTTACTTCTTTCTTTTACATTAAGCGAATATGTTCCAATGCAACATTTTAATTACTTTAATAATATTCCCTCTAATTTTTGGAGGGTTTTTCTCCGGGGCTATTCTAGGGCTCACCATATACATCTTCATGTATCAGAATCTGCTTTAGACTTACACTGACTTAATTCCAGTGAGATTTAATTAAGTTCCAGTAAACTTAGTCCTGTATAGTTCTATTCTCTTTCCCACCTTTTTGTGGTATTATTGTCAGACATATTACATTTATATGTTATAAACCCAGGAATACATTGTTATATTATTACTTTATGTAATTTTATGTCTTTTAAAGAAGCCAAGGAAAGAAAGGAGGGCAAGTATATATTTATAGCTTATGTTATACTAACCTCCATATTTCCTATTTCTGGCTCTCTCCATTTGTTCCTGTAAATTGAGTTACCATAGGGAGTTATTGCCTTAGCTCAATACAGCTGTTTTCCCACCCACTTCCTTTGTGCTGTTATTTATGAATATGTTCCATTTCTACATGGTTAGGCTCAACAGTACAAGTAAGTACATATTGTTTTATATAATTGCTTTTTAAATCAGTTAAGAAAGGAAAAGAAATATGTCTTTATAATGTCTTTTATAATTATATAATTATCTATACTCATGGTCTTTGTTTATCATGTGGATTTGAACTATGGTATTGACTTACCTACTTTCAGTCATAAGAATTTTTTTTTTGAGACAAAAAAAAAAAAAAAAAAAAACAGAATAGCTCTGTCACCCAGGCTGGAGTGCAGTGGCATGATCTTGGCTCACTGCAACCTCCACCTCCCAGATTCAAGCGATTCGCCTGCCTCAACCTCCTGAGTAGCTGGGATTACAGGCTCATGCTACCACACCCAGCTAATTTTTGTATTTTTAGTGGAGACCAGGTTTCACCATGTTAGCCAGGCTGGTCCCAAACTCCTGACCTTGTGATCCACCCACCTCGACCTCCCAAAGTGCTGGGATTACAGGTGTGAGCCACTGTGTCTGGCCCAGTCATAAGAATTTATATTGGCATTTCTTCTAAGACATGTCTGCTAGCAATGGATTCTCTGTTCTTGTTGATCTGAGAATGTCTTTATTTTTGAAAGACAGCTTTAATGAACACAGGATTCTTTGCTGACAGCTGTTTTCTTTCAGTACTTTGAATGTTGTCCACTGTGTTCTGGCCTCCATTGTTTCTGATGAGAAGTCAGCTGTTGATCATGTTGTGACTTCCTTTGATGCGTCTGTTTGTGGATGTCTTTGTGTTCATCCTATGTGGAATTTGTTGAACTTCTTGGATGTGTAGATTAATGTTTTTCATAAAATTTAGGAAGTTTTCAGCTATTATGTCTTTGAATAATTTTTCTGCTTTTTTCTTTTTCTTTTCTCCTTCTGGGACTCTCATTATGCATATGTTGATGCATTTAATGGTGTTCCACATTTTCCTGAGATTCTGTTCATTTTTCTTCATTCTTTCTTTTTCTCTTTTCTTCAAATTGCATAATCTCTATTGATCCATCTTCAAGTTTGGTAATTCTTTCTTTTGCCAGTTCAAATAAATCTTTTGAGCCCATCTAGTGAAAATGTCATTCCAGTTATTACTTTTCAACTCCAGGATTTCCATTTGGTTCTTTTTAAGAATTTCCATCTCTTTAGTCTATATCAATAGTCTCTATTTAGTTCAACATTGTCATCACACCTTCCTTTACCCTACTTTAATCATGGTTTACTTTACTATAATCATGATTTCCTTTAGTTATTTGAATATATTTATAATAACTACTTTGAAGTCTTTGTCAAATTTGATAGCTGGTTGCTCTCAGTTTGTGTTTCCTGCTTTTCCACTCATATATGGGTCAGATTTTCCTGTTTCTTTACATGTCATAATTTTTTGTTGGAAATGGGACATTGTAAATAATACAGCAACTGTAGAGATGGGTTCTCTTCTCCTCTGGGGCTTGTTAGTAATACTTGATTGTTTATTTGTTTAGTGACTGGCTGTGAAGTCCACCCTCCAGTCCCCACAAGTTAAAGCCTCTGATGTTGCTCCTCAGAGGCACAGCCTTGGGCATATGCACAGTTACCCTGGGTTAGCAGCAGATTTGACAGGGCTCTCTTTGATTGTCTTTTTCCCTGACCACAGCCATATGTTGTTAAACTCCACAAATTGCTGGCTGATTTCCCTGTTGTTTTCAACAATGCCCTAGGTTGCTCTATTGACTGATTCAATTAAATTTGGGCTTCTCTAAGGAATAGCTTTTTGTTGTTGTTGTTTCATTCATTAAATCATTTAGAAAATCTTTATTGACTACCAGCTCTGTGCCAGCCCCGTGGGAGGCACCAGGGATATGAGTGTTAACATGACAGCCCCAGTGCCTGCTGTTGGGCTGAACTGCCTCTGACCAGCACTGCAGACTCAGACGTATCACTGATGTGGAGACATGCTTGTGTGATATTTAAAACCTGCTGGGTAGCATTTTGGCAGAAAATGCCATTGGTACTTTCCAGATACAGACTGTGAGAGCCATTTCAGGGACCAGTTTTTTTTTTCTCCCTTCTTTCCCCCAACCAACAACCTCAACTTCTCTGGTGTGAGAGGCGGGTGCATAAAATTAGCCAGGCCAGCAAGAAAAGTGGTCATCCTGAGGCTGGCAGAAGCAGCTGAAGCTGCCCCTTCTGTGGCTTCACCCCCATCCTCCAGCTCACTGGCTCCCCGTGCCCTGTAGAGAAATCCATCCTTGAGAGGATTAGGGGCTGTGCCAAGAGCTTCACCCCACCCACCCACCCACCCACCCATCATAGTCCATTTTAGAGTGACAGCAAGGCCTTCACTGGGTAAGAGCCGTCTGACTCGTCTGCCTTCTGAGTGCCTCCATTTGGTGAGATGATAAAGTCACTGATGAGAAAAGGTGGGGCCAGGAACAGAGGCAACTGTGGCTTCCCAAGAGAAGTTTCTCAGGGGATTTCTCAAGCAGAATAAATTAGAGCTTCTTAGAATGACTCGATCCTGGCTGTGCATCAGGCAAACGTTCTCTTCATGGCTCATTTCCGGTTCTCCTGGCCTGACGGGTGTTTCCAGATTATAGGTGAAAAGCAGTCACTTGGTCCCATACCGCATGAGGCCCACAGTTATCTTTGACAGCTGATAAGAAGTGATGATGATAAAGTCAATTCTGTTTCCTTAGATGTCTCCTCTCACAAACAAACAAGCAACCTTCACACTCCTTCCTGTGCCCTCCTGGCACCAGCACAAGCTACGTTCCAGCACAGAGCTCACTCCAAGGATAGGCAGTGCCAGCTCTTGAGCGTGGTGTGGCCTCTGCTGTCCTTAACTCTGTTGCACTTCAGCAGCACTTCCATCTCCCTGACATTGTAGACCAGGAACTTCTGTAAGCCACTAGGCCCCAGGTGCTTTGTGTTTTTGTTGCTCCCATAACCAATGTTGGGCATTAAGATCTGGCCCTTGCACCTTCTACAAACCCTGTTGTCAATACCTCTGGGTTTCCACCTGTTATGCTTCATTTTGACATACGTCTGACTGGTGCTGGATGAACTTCTTGGTCCTCTTTTTTATGATCTTGAGTTTCACAAGGGGTCTGAGGGTGGCCATGATGCCGAGTAAGAGATGGCTGCCACCACTCTAGGTAGCACCGAGAAAGAGGGGGATGGTGGCACACAAAGACTGATAGGGTGTAACCTCTCTGAGGGATAGCTTTTTGTTGTTGTTTGTGTTTTCTTTGAGACGGAGTCTTGCTCTGTCATCCAGGCTGGAGTGCAGTGGCGCGATCTCGGCTCACTATAGCTTCTGCCTCTTGGGTTCCAGTGAATTCTCCTGCTTCAGCCTCCCGAGTAGCTGGGATTACAGGCATAAGCCACCATGCCTGGCTAATTTTTGTATTTTTGGTAGAGACGGGATTTTACTATGTTGGCCCAGCTAGTCTCAAACTCCTGACCTCAGATGATCTGCCCACCTCGTCCTCCCAAAGTGCTAGGATTACAGGCATGAGCCACCACACCCGGCCTCTGAGGGATAGTTTTTAAGGTCAGTGTTTCAGATTTGTTCTTACTCTAGGAGAGATCTTTTTATCTGCTTCTTTTCCTGGTTCTTGCTGGAAAACTAGCCAACCTATGGCTTAGCTTATATCTTTAATGAATCTACTAGTCTTCTCCTAATTGCTTTTCACCACAGCCTCCATTGTGTTTGGCATTGCCTCAGCTTGGAGGAAGCCTCCTCCTTTCAGCTGTACTGGCCCAGAGCTTTGCCTCTGCCGCAAGGGATTGGGGGCAGAATGAGAAATGCTGACATCTTGTTCCTTCCAGGCAAGCAGGAAGACACCATAGCTCTCCAACTAAGAGCTGTGTGTTGCGGGTGGGTGAGCCAGACAGAGCTCTGTGTTCTTGGCTGCACCTGTCTGGAGTGGAATTTCAGTCACTCTGAGGTGGAACTAGGGGAGGAGAGAGTAAGTCGTGGTTCAAATACCACAAATTTTCACTCTTCTTACTGAGTTCTTGCAGATTTTCTTGAGTAAATGTTTCATTTACTCATGCCCTTGGGACTATTACCAGAGAATTTAAATTGTTGGTTTCTTAAAAAAATAATGTTCACCAGTTTCACTGGGGAGCAGGTCCAGGAGCTACTCATGTCACCATACTGGAAGTCGAAACTTAACAGAAATTTTTATACAAACTTCAATTGTTTCTGAATTGCTCTGCTACAGAACGTAAGGCTATTATGTCTATGCTAATGGCTTAAGTATTCTTAGATATAGGTGTCTCAACTGAAACTTTCTGTTAATTAATTAATTAATTATTTTTTGAGATGGAGTTTCGCAATTGTTGCCTAGGCTGGAGTGCAATGGCACGATCTCGGGTCACCACAACCTCTGCCTTCTGGGTTCAAGCAATTCTTCTGCCTCAGCCTCCTGAGTAGCTGGGATTACAGGCATGCATCACCATGCCTGGTTAATTTTTGTATTTTTAGTAGAGATGGGGTTTCTCTATGTTGGTCAGGCTGGCCTCGAACTCCCGACCTTAGGTGGTCCACCCACCTCAGCCTCCCAAAGTGCTGGGATTACAGGCGTGAGCCACCACGCCTGGCCTTTATTTATTTATTTTGAGATGGAGTTTGGCTCTATTGTCCAGGCTGGAGTGCAGTGGCACAATCTTGGCTCACTGCAACCTCAGCCTGCTGGGTTCAAGTGATTCTCCTGCCTCACCCTCCCAAGTAGCTGGGATTACAGGCACGTGCCACCATGCCCAGCTAATTTTGCATTTTTAGTGGAGACAGGGTTTCACCATGTTAGCCAGGCTGGTTTTGAACTCCTGACTTCAGGTGATCTGCCTGTCTCGGCCTCCCAAAGTGCTGGGATTACAGGTGTGAGCCACCATGCCTGGCCTTTCTGTTAATTTAAAGACAAGTGTTAGGAAACTAACTCTGGGATCAGACAAACTTTGGTGTATAATTCAGTTCAGCTAAAGCAAACCACTTCATCTCTCCGATCTTCAGATTCTTCATCTATAAAATGGAAATAACACCTACTTCCTCTTTGTAATAAAAACTCAAGAATTTATTTGGCTTATGTGGTTGCCCAACTAGAGGCAATTTTCCCCAGCTATGCTTATAGCTCGTATAGTCATAAGACTAAGAATTAGCTAATAGAGTGTGACAGAAGCAATCTCTGCAACTTCCAGATCACCGTTTGTTTTTTAAATTAGGAAATTACATGCCTTCCTCCTTTTTCTCTCTCTTTCCTGTGGGTTGAAATGTAGAGGTGATAAAATGAGTGAGTTTTTGTTGTGGAATGAAGATAACACCATAGGGTATTACAAAGCAATAAGACAGGAGGAACTTGAATGTTGGAAGCATTCTTTTTCTTTTCTTTTCTTTTCTTTTTTTTTTTTTTTGAGACAAGGTCTTCTTCTGTAGCCTAGACTGGAGTGCAGTAGCACAATCATAGCTCACTGCAGCCTCAACATCGTGGGCTCAAGTGATTCTCCTGCCTCAGCCTCCACAGTAGCTGGGACTATAGGTGAAAGCCACCATGCCCAGCTAATTTTTTCTATGTTTTATAGGGACAGGGTCTCACTAGATTTCCCGGGCCATTCTTGAATTCCTGACCTCAAGTGATTCTCTTACCTGGGTCTCCCAAGGTGCTGGGATTATAGACGTGACTCACCATGCCTAGCCTGAGTGCTGGAAAAGTTCTGTACTTTGACTTGGGTGGTGGTTACACAGGTGTATACACACATAAAAATTGATTGAGCTATTCTTTTAAGATTTATGTGCCTATTGCATGTAAGTTATACCTCAGCAAGAAAAAAAAGATAGAAGGAAGCTGATTCCTGGAATGCCCTTGTGGAGTGGAAGTCACCTTGGGACTGTTACAAAAGAGAAAAACAAACTCTTATAGTGTTTGGGTCATTGTCTGTAGGGGCGTTTTTTGTTCTAGCCATTTAATGTGTACCTTAATCAATATATTTATTAAGGGTAGGAATTTTTAATTTTAATTTTGACTCCATTACCCCATTACAGAGCTTGGTGAATAGAAGGTACCCAATATCTGTTTAATGAATGCATGTTTTTGTAGATGGCTTTTATCAGCATGTTAGAACATCCAGTATAAATAAATTTAGAAAACAGAAAAAATTACGACATGTAAAGGGAGGGACCTTCTTCCCCGACTTCCCAACCCACCTGACTTCTGAGTACTTCCTTTCAGTGGGATCTGGTGCAGCAGTTTTCAACTTGCTTAAACAAATGACAAGAACGTTCTGAGACAGGAAATGCTATCTGCTCGGCTGATGGTGCCAGCGTGGGGGTGAATGTTAAATGGAGTGCTTGGGGGAGACCCCTGATGCTCATGTCCCCACGACTCAGAATCAGACGCAGAATCACAGTGCTCTAGGTGCTGTTAGGCTCTAGGAACTGGGGGGAACGATCCCATCGCCAACCCTGGAGCAAGGCAGTGTGTTGTAAGAGGGGATGCTGCCGGGAGTGCTCCTGAGTCATTAAGGGAAGGCTGTGAACAGGAGGAGGAAGGGCTGACAACACAGCCCACACCCTGCTGAGCCTCCAAGGGGATGGCTCCCTCGTGCAGTCAGCAAACATTCACTCTGGGAGGACTGGGGGCTCGGCTGCAGAGAGGAGCGGCACACCCACCGCCTCTGTCCTCAAGGAGCTCCCGGTCCAGCTGCCCCCGGACAAATCCTATGTTACCAACAGTATAACAACGCAATTTTATTTACACCGACTAGATGTCCAGCACCTATCAGTAATACGCTATTTTATTTTCACAAACATCTGGCTCATAGATAATGTTTATCGATGAGAAAACAGAAATTTGAAGAGGCAAAGCAAGTTGCCCAAGGCCAAGGGAGAAGGTCAGCGTGAACTGCTACCGCCATGTTGAAGTTCATCTTCTCTTCACTGCGAGAAGCTGCCTGGACACCAGGGTGGAGGAGCTGTCAGGGCCCTCACTGTGGAAGGTGCTGGCAGAGGGTGGGGAGGTGTGGCCTGAGAGGGGCGTCCATAGTCCCTGAACTTGGCCTTCATGAATGAGTGGCGATCCAGTCAGCAGACAAAAGGTGGAATTGGAGTGAGAGTAGGGGGTCATTCTAGACAGCAGGAACAATGTGTGAGAAGGCCCAGAGCAGAGAAGGCAAGGCATGTGGCAGCTTGGTGTCACGGAAGCCTGGGGTGGGCAAGGGGCTGGGGAGGCCTGGGAGTTGAGGCCAGGGAGGCGAGCAAATGTCTGGTGGGGCCTCCCTTTGGGGTGAACCCCTACACTGGTCCAGAGGCAGAGGGTCGGTTGTCTGTCAATAGGATGAAATTCCTGTTAGTCGGGGTGCCCACTCATTCACTGAGCACGAGCAGGGGTCTCTGCGGGGCCTGGTGTTGGCCTGTGGCTTGGTGAGACACCCTCTCTGGAGGGGCACCCAGACTCTGTGGTCCCTGCCTGGCCCCTCCTTCTATGTCACCTTCCTGGGGTACCACAGATGCATGCCAAAGACCCCCACTTCTCAAAGTACGTTTCATGGCACACTGAGTTTTTTTGAGGAAAAAGGTTTGTGGTAAAATAAATGGAGACAAGGGGGTGATTGCCTCCTCCTTCTTGGAACTTCTTGCAGGTTAGCTTGTTCAAGTCTCTGAAAAGTAAAATGGTTATGGACGTTGTGTGTGTGAGTGTCCCAGTGTCCCAGTGTCCTGGGGCTGCTGTAAGAAAGCACCACGCTGGGGCTTGAGCAACAGACATCGATTCTCTCACAGTTCTGGAGGCCGGAAGTCTGAGATCCAGGAATCGGCAGGGCCGTGCCCCATCTGGAGGCCTAGGGAGGGTCCTTCCTGCTCCTCCAGCTGCTGGTGGCTGACAGTCCATGGCGTCTGTGACGTCTGTGGCATCCGTGGCACCTCAGGCTTGCTTCTGTCCTCATGTGTCTCTGTGTGTCTCTCTCCTAAGGACACAGTCACACTGGATTAAGGGCACACCCTAGTGCAGCAGGACATCTTATTTTAACTAATCACATCTTCAGCAAACCTGTTTCCAGTGAAGGTCACCTTCTGAGGTGCTGGTGAGGCAGGAGAATAGGGTTTGGAGGCGGGGAACCTAAGGCCGTTTCAAGCCGACTTCCTAGAACTGAATTGAAAGGAAACACCTAACTTTCCAGGACTAAGTAACAAAAGGACCAGAGGCTACTCCCTGTGCAAAACCCCCACCTTTTCTGCACCACAGATGGGAAATTGGTTTTCCGCAACCAGTCAGACTGATTGCCGGGCCGCTGAGTCTTCCTTTGCATAGAAATGCAACTTTGCAACTTCATCTTAGCCTCTGATTGGTTGCTTTTTGCAGCCAATCAGATGTTTGCACAGGAGCGTGATCTTGGTAACTTCATTTCAGCTTCTGATTGGTTGCAGAAAGCAACCAATTGTGGGCCAGCACTTCATTTACATAATATGATCACCAAGTGGCCAATGGGAAACGTGTAGAGAGTATTTGGACCCTAGAAGATTCCAGATCTGGGCTCTTGAGCTGCTGCTCAGTCCACTCTCACACTGTGGAGTGTACTTTCATTTTCAATAAATCCCTCCTTTCGTTCTCTTGTTGTTTCATTCTTTCTTTGCTTTGCTGGGCGTTTTGTCCAATTCTTCGTTCAAAAAGCCAAGAACCTGGACAGCTTGCCGTCACGACCCTCTAGTGGTAACACTGGGGGTTAGAATCTCAACAAAGCTTTCGGAGGGGGCACGATTCAACCCATGACGCTTCAACCTGGAATTTCCCACAGAAGTCATTTTTTTCCTCAGAACTCTTTCTGAAAATGCCCCCTCCCCACCCGCCCCACCCACCATCCCTCAGACCTGGTGGCTGGAGCAGCTCCCTTTGGGAAATGCTTCCTGTGGTGAACAGGATGGAGCTCCCCATGGGGACAGGGCCGTAGAGGAGGCCTCTAGGGCAGGAAGGGGAGTCCGGCGCCACCTGGGGCCCTGGCAAAGGAGGCGGCCGCAGAACGGGGACACAGGAGGGAGGAGGGTGGGGACCTGTTCATCAAGCCCTCCCTTCCCAGGCCGTCCTGGGCCCAGGGGCTGCCTGGTGGCTTCAAAATGCAGCCAGTGTGGGTTGGGCCGGGTTGGGTCCAGGATGTCAAACTCCCAGGAACTCTGTCTGCCTCATGACCTGGTGTGGAGGCCACCGCTGAGCAACGTCCAGTGTGTCCTGGTCACATCTGGGCCCGCACCACCTCACAGGCTCCCGGTGCGAAGGAGTGGGCGGCCTTTTCAGATTCGCCAGAGCTGGTTTGCGGAAGCTCCCAGAACAGACCACGGTCTGTAACAAGCTTACTTCCTGCCCATGAATTTTTCCCTCGACAGGGCTTACAATTAAGTCCATACCCCCGCCTCCCGCCTGGCTTTCACTTCCTTGCTTTTGGAGAGAAGATGAATGGAAATGTATGACTTTGTCTGTGGTATAAAGACATGGATTCAAGTTCAGGGTTTGCCATGGACCTGCCGTGTGACCTTTGGTAAGATCTTTCACTTCATTTTCACATTTATAAAACAGAAGCAATGATAATACTGGCCCTGCCGGCCTTCCGCATGTGTCTGTGGCTGTGGCGAGTGACACGAGCATGAGAAACAGCATCATGAGCATGATAACAGCCACTTTCCTCATCTCCATTCTGTGCCAGCGACTGTCATAGAGGCAGGGGCTCTAAAAGTTCCTCATCAGGTACAGTGCACGCATGCACCGTGTGTGTGATAGAAATCTTTATTTATAGCCCTCCATACAAAAATATGGCATTTAGTCATGGATTAATCAGCAGAAATTGGTATATATAGTGCTCTTTTTCTCTCATTTTAGTGATAAGCTTTTGCTAAAAAAAAAAAAAAGGAGGAAACCATCACTGAATATGGTAATGATAATACTTAAAAAATTTTAAAGTCAGGTTTGTTGAGGTGTAATTTGCATACTGTGAAGTTTAGTTGGACAGTTTTGTAAGATTTGCAAAATGTATAGAGTTGTGTCAACACCACCACAATCCACAATCCAGACAGAATATTTTCATCACCCCCAAGCGATCACTCTCATCCCGTTTGAACTCAATCACTCTTCCCATCCCCAGCTCCTGGCAACAGTGGCTTAGATTTCTGTCCTTAATGGTTTTGCCTTTTTCTGAGTGGCACATAAAGGCAATCATACAACAGCCTTTTGTATCTGACCTCTTTCACTTAGATTATACCTCTGAGTGTGATCCATGTTGTTGACTGTGTCCGCCATTCCCTCTTTTTCCTTGCCGAGTGGTATTCCCTGGTGTGGATATGCCAGTGTGTTCATTCTTTCACCTGCTGAAGGACATCTGGGCTGTTTCCAACTTGGGTCTATTACAAATACAGCTCTTCTGAACATCTATGCAGAAGTCTTTACATGGACATCTATCTATACATTGTTAACATTTAATTTAATTTAATTTTAAGTTCCAGGATACATGTGCAGGATGTGCAGGTTTGTTACACAGGTAAACATGTGCCATGGTGGTTTGCTGCACCTATCAACCCGTCATCTAGGTTTTAAGACCCGCATGCATTAGCTATTTGTCCTAAGGCTCTCCCTCCTCCTGCCCCCACAACAGGCCCAGTGTGTGTTGTTCCCCTCCCTGACATGGACATCTATATTTTTTCCTCTAGGAGTAGAATGGCTGGATCTTATGGATCTTAACTTTTTTTTTTTTTTTTTTTTTTGAGACTGAGTTTCGCTCTTGTTGCCCAGGCTGGAGTGCAGTGGTGCGATCTCCGCTCACCGCAACCTCCACCTCCTGGGTTCAAGCGATTCTCCTGCCTCAGCCACCCGAGTAGCTGGAATTAGAGAACCGCTCCCCTCCCCAGGACTTTCACCCCACAACTCACAGCCATCAGAAAAGGCAGCTGTGGAACAGCTGTGGAACAGGAGCACTGGCCTGGGAGTCTGTCATCATGTCACCTTTCTGAACTTATTTTTCTTCTCTGTAAACCTGGAATAGTTGTCATCTCTTCCATCATCATTAGGAAAACTAAGCTGGAAACTGCATATAACTTTGAACACAAGGCCTAGCAGAAACTGAGTTCCCTCATAACAGATCACTCCCTCCCTGGGTTGTCTGCGTGATAGAAGTTTATTTCTCTCTTGTTTTTGGATCTTTCCAAAACAAAATAATGCACAGGATTGCTGAGATGGGAACACAGCAATGCAGGGTACAGAGCTGCTTTTGACTTGGGAAACACCAGGAGAACCTCATTTAATGAAATACCCACTAATGTCCACCATGTGTCTAGGTGCTAGGAACACATGGTTATGACATCGGGAGAAGAGGGAGGCTACACTACAATGCTTTGGGCAGGAGTGGGCCAGCAGCTTCCTTTCCATAATAGAATAAAATTCTTAGGTGAGGCAGAAAATGTCTTTCCCAATTCTGTCATGCTTTGCTCTGTCTTAATCTCCATTTTCAGTCCTGTAGGCCAGTCTTAGGTAATCGTTTAATCCTCTCCTGGGAAGGAGAATGGGGATTAACATTTATTGAGTATCTACTGTGTGCTCAGGGAGGGTCATTTCAGTTTCACTTACTTGACTGGGACGTTGGCCAATGAGGAATCTGAGGCCCCAGGAAACAAAGCTATTGTATGGTAGAGTTAAGATTTGAACCTGGATCTGTCTAACTGCACAGTGCTTCAGACCAGTGAGCAGGCCTTATGTTTTCCACAGGCAACTCTGTGGCCTTGACAGCAGGGACCTTATCAGATTCATGTCTGTCTTCTCAGCAGCATCCAGCATAGCACAGCACGCATGGGTTGGGGCAGGGGACTTATCTGATGTCTGGTGGGGCGACAAGGGAGTGGGCAGGTAGATGGATGATCGGATAGAGTGATCAGCATCCTGCACATGAGAGTCCTGCCAACAGCCCCCCAAGAGTCCCCAGGCCGCCGACTGGAACCCGCTGCTCTAAGAACTCAATCCTTTTCCCTTTATGTGTGCAAGAGTAAGTGGGAAGGAGAGGAGATGACAGCAGCAGGTGGGGAAATGGTTCTCTCAACATTCCCCTCCTCTAAATCAGAAGCTCCTGTCCCACCTCCTCAGCCCCTGAGCCTGCTGACCCCAGGCTTTGGCTCTACGGGCTCTGTTCTGCTGGCTGGGGCTGGAAAGGGCTATGTACTATGGTCCGAGAGAAAGTGCTTTCTGAAATTGATGTGGCTTGTGTAGGAAGGAGGTGCACTTTTTAGCCTTTGTCCTGGTTACAGAGACTTGGGTATTTAACTGTGTTCATTTAAAAGTCAATTTACCCCAGGAGATGGGGGAACAGAGTGCTCGAAAGCTCAAATGGCATGATTTTTGCAAAAGCCAGACGCTGGGTAAATCAACCCCGCTCCCATTTTCAAACTATCAAAATCAAGGTCTCTTTGTTAAGTTGTTTATTTGGTACAGACAAGCTGCCAAGACTGCAAATGAGACGGCGCTTGGTTGTTGTTCATTCCTGCTGATGGCTTGGCGAGGCCAATCTTCCTTCTGTGTTGCGAATCCACATGGCTTAACCCCTCCGGTCCTTCCCTCATCACTCTGCAGCCTTTGCCATGAGCATTTCTCGGAGCTGTTGTGAGAACCCAGTGGGTCAGAGGTGACAGCTTTATTAAAGATTAAGCTGTCCTCTCTTCCCTTGGGGCTGGTAATATTTAACTCTTGCTTTGCAAATTGTTTTTTCATAGATTTACACACTCTCCAACAGGATCATCATTGCTTGAGGGCAGGTATCACACTGTACACTTTCCACAAGGCCTTCACTGTCTTACACAAGCATTCAATAAATATTTGTGGGTTTAGGGTGCATGCGTGTGTATGCACACATGTGTACACATGTGCAATGTTACTGGAGATGGAAGAGTTACACAGAAAACCCCAGGGAATCAGTCAGCAGGCAATTTTAAGCCCAGCTGCTTGGGGGGTGGTGGGGGTGGTTGATAACAGGACAAAGTCCGCAATTATCATTTAGGGGACTTTTTGTAATGGAATCCTTTAGAGAATCAGCTCAGATGACATATTATTCTAACCCCAAACTCAAGATTTTCTCTCTGGCTGCCTGTAGAAAAAGAGGTGTGCATTTGCATGGGAGGATAGCTGTTCCTGCAAACATTTATTCAAGGACAGGAAAAGGCAGGGCCCCTGAGAACAAGAAAAAATCAGTGGGTGGTTGAACCACGCAGTGGGAGGAGTGGGGTTTCTGAAGCCGTCAGGGCAGCATACAAAACCAGGCTCTGCTGCTTGCAGTGAATCTCTCCTCCATTGTAACTGAGATACGTATATCCTCTTTTTTCTTTCTGCTGTTTCTGTGTTAACGGCAAATCCACTTCTTAATTTCAGGAAGGTCCACAGAAAACATCCTGGGGTCCTGAGCTGAAGTGTGATGGGAGGAGTCCTCTGTATCTCAGTCTGATCCTGGTCTCCCTCTCGGCCATGGTCTCACACTAGTGCTGCTGGGAAACCATCCCTCACATCCAGTCCTGGCATCGGGCAGTGACTCTGGTCCAACTGTTGTCCAACTCAAGGGTTTAGCTGCTTAGATTTTCCTAAAACTTGAATTTCATTTTCCTCTAGCCATGGAATACAGATTAATCCTTTACAATTAAAATCCAAGTTCAGATTTTATTTGTTGTGGTTTTTAATTAAAATCTCACCAGCACTTTGTGGATTTTTTTTTTCTTAGAAAGGCAAACACACTGTGCGTATCAGTCAGCCTGGACTGCCATCACAAAATACCATAGACTGTGTGTCTTAAAACAACAGAAATGTATTTTCTCACAGTTCTGGAGGCTGGAAGTTCAAGGTCAATGTTCTGGATGATTTGGTTTCCAGTGAGGCCTCTCTTTCTTGCTTGCAGATGGCTGCCATTCTTCTGTGTCCTGTAGGGAAGTTCAAACTTTTCCTCTGAAGGTTTGAACAAACTGACAATATGCAGACTAATAGGAGGAAGAAAGGCATTCAAAGTTGCTAATGTGCATAAGCACAAGGCCACAGAAAATATGAGATTCAAAGGAGCACCAGGCGCCTGAGGCTTAAATACCCTCCTCATAAGGGAGAGGGAAATGGGGTTGTAGGCAATTGCGAGGGGCAGTAAATGACTTTCAGTAAACGCATGAGCCCAAAGAACAATGTCCTGGGACAAAGTTCCCCTCTGCTCTGGAGGACGTGGTGGGAAGGTGAGGGGTGGAACTTCACTGTGCACAAAGGTTGTCTAATTATGCAGATAGAGTCTCCCAGGTGATGTCTCCAGCTGCCCTCAGAAGAGTAGATGAAATTCTCTCGGGGAGTGGTGAAGACTCCTGGTCTCTCCTCTTCTCCCTGTGATTAATCTTCTCCCTGTGGTTAATCTTCTCCCTGTGCTTAATCTGATTTCCAAAATCAGATAACGAAATTCCAGAGTGCCCCTTCTATGCTGGGACAGGGGTGGGGAGAGGTGGGCAAGAAGCAAGAGAAGATTAGAAAGTCCTTGGCTGTGAGGCACCTTCTAAAGCTTCCAATTTCCTCACATTCAGAAGTGCCCAGCATGCCAGGCACCATATCCTCGGGTCTCGTTCTCTGTGCCCCACATGCTCACAGCTTTTCCTCCATGCATGTGCACAGAAAGAGGTTGAGCTCTCTGGTGTCTCTTTTTTTTTTTTTTTTTTTTTTTTTTTGAGACGGAGTCTCACTCTGTTACCCATGCTGGAGTGCAGTGGTGCAATCTCAGTGCACTGCAACCTCCACCTCCCAGGTTAAAGTGATTCTCCTGCCTCAGCCTCCTGAGTAGCTGGGATGACAGATACACACTACCACACCCAGCTAATTTTTGTATTTTTATTAGAGATGGGGTTTCACTATGTTGGCCAGACTGGTCTCAAACTCCAGCCTCAAGTGATCCACCCACCTTGGCCTCCCAAAGTGCTGGGATTACAGGCATGAGCCACTGTGCCTGCCTTGGTGTCTCTTATAAGGGCACACGTGTATGACCTCATTTAACCTTAATTACTTCCTAGAGGCCCCATCACCAACTACAGCTGTATTAGGTGTTAGAGCTTCAGTATATGAATTCTGGGGGGACAGAAACTTCAGTCCATAACACTGAGTTTCACAGTTGGTGCTTTGGGACTCAACGGCACACAAGGACTAGATGTTAGAAAGTAGAACTTCTCATTTGAAGATGGGGAAACTGAGTCCTCAATGGGGAAATGATGCAGCAAATGAGAGGTACAGCCAGATGTGTTCACTTTATCCTTCTCCATGAGCAACTTTATGGGAGGAACAGCTAATGCGGAGGGCATCAGGCAAACGCCCAGGCTGTGCTCTTGTTTGCCTGGGAAGTGTTCCTCTGAGTCTAGGTGAGATGGTCAAGGCAGGTCTCAAATACCACCAAGTACAAGTTGACAATTCCTCAGGGCCAGATGTATTTTGGAATCAGTGTTTTTCCCAAAAATATTTTAAAAAGTAATATCATCTATATTCTGTACATTGCACGACACCTCCAGCAACTCTAGAGATCCAGGCAACACCCTGGAATCAAACACATAAATACTTCTGCAGAGAAATCTCAGCGTCTGCACACTACGTGGGATAGGTCAAGGCAGCCCAACCTGTCAGGCCCAGCAGTACCACCACAAATCTATGAAATGACCTTCTGTTTTCAGAATGGCCAACTGGGGATCATGCACTCTGACCATTCAACAGATGTCACTCTTCTGGTGGACGGAGAAGAAAGAAGTAGCTTATTGACAGTTGGAAAGCTGGCAAGTCTGGGGGCTTCCTCCAATGGCCTGGATGGTCCTAGGGGCTCTGGAGACACGAGGAGAGCCCGTCTATTTGCTGACAGTGGGGAGCTACAGCAATGGCTCCCTTCCTTCCAAGGGAAACAGCCCATGACCCACACCTCCCCAGCCCCCATGTTTGGCCAGAAAGGCTTTTTAGCAATTTCTCATCCACTCATTGCCTGCTGAGCTGCAATTGCCACCTCCCCCAATGCTGAAGTGTGCAGAAGTTTCTCTCTGATCCAGGATGTAATTAGCACCTGCCAAAGTACTGGGCTGAGATGAGAGTGGGATTCCACTCTTCTCCCAAAAACTGTTCCTCAAGAAGCAGTTGGTGTCTAGGAAGAAAATTTCTGACTTGGAGGGATTAAAAAGTGATCTTCTAAAATGCAGAGGCAGGTGGTGTTTGTCTGGGCGAATGCGTCTGGGTTTACATGTTTGATTTCAGCAAGCACACTGACAGATGCCTGGTGAGCTGCAAACACTTACTTTGTTCAATAATGGGCCCATAACCCCACACATGAATGCCTCATCTGAGAATATTTTACTGTGCTCCCCTTGACACGAGAGAATCTTCTGTAGGTAGGAAGAGGTTGTCTGTTAACAGTTGCTTTTATCTTCATAGTTATTTCATATAAAGCAAAACAAGGGACAGAGAACTTTAGAGGCTCTGTTTATGATAAATTATTTTAGGGAGCTTTGCAACCAATTAGATATTCAGTGATAAGTGAATTCCTGAGAAGGTTGTGGTCTTAAAGGACATAGTTGCACATGGCATCAGAGTTTTTCTTTCAATTTTTTTTTTTTTTTTTTAATGAGACCAAGTTTCTCTCTTGTCGCCCAGGCTGGAGTCCAGTGGCGTAATCTTGGCTCCCTGCAACCTCCCCCTCCTGAATTCAAACGATTCTCCTGCCTTAGCCTCCCGAGTAGCTGGAATTACAGGCACATGCCACCATGCCCAGATAATTTTTGTATTTTTAGTAGAGACAGGGTTTCGCCATGTTGGCCAGGCTGGTCTCGAACTCCTGACCTCAGGTGATCCGCCCACCTCAGGCTCCCAAGGTGTTGGGATTACAGGCATGAGCCACCGTGCCTGGCCTTTCTTTCAATTTTGAAAGAAGCCAAAGTTGTTCATACACAGATGGGTTGGCTGGCCACAGTGATAGCAGTAACGATGAACACTGCACCATGCCTTTTGGTTTCTGAAGAATTTTCACATTCATGGTTTCTTTTGCACTCACAACATCCTTATATCCAGTTTGTAGATTTATATACAGACTCAGAGTGGTTAAATAACTTGGGCAAAATAAGGGGAGGAACTGACACGAGATGTCATA
The DNA here is from genome assembly GCF_000001405.40 of Homo sapiens. Lineage (NCBI taxonomy): Eukaryota > Metazoa > Chordata > Mammalia > Primates > Hominidae > Homo > Homo sapiens. The sequence continues at coordinate 10,888,588 of NC_000002.12, forward strand.
CATTTTCCCAGAGAAGAATCCTCCATTCTCCTGCCTTGAGAGGTTTGGGTGGAAATAGAGACACGAGCCTTACAAGTACATCTGTTGTATTGAATTAGGGTCCAACACAATTCATAATTTATCTGAACTTGATTACACCTGCAAAGACCCTATTTCCAAGTAGGGGTACCAGGAGTTAAGACTTCAACATATATTTGAGGAGAAGCACAATTGAACCCATAACACACTGTTCATAATGAGATTTGTGATGCCACCAATGGACCTGTAACCTGTCATGCCGCTGAGCGTAAGTCAACTGTGTAATCACTGTATTAGTCCATTTTCACACTGCTGATAAAGACGTACCTGAGACTGGGAAGAAAAAGAGGTTTAATGGGACTTACAGTTCCACATGGCTGGAGAGGCCTCAGAATCATGGCGGAAAGCAAAAGGCACTTCTTACATGGTGATGGCAAGAGAAAATGAGGAAGATGCAAAAACGGAAACCCCTGATAAAACCATCAGATCTCGTGAGACTTGTTTACTACCATGAGAATAGAATGGGGGAAACCGCCCCCATGATTCAAATTACCTCCCACCGGCTCCCTCCCACAACACGTGGGAATTATGGGAGTACAATTCAAGGTGAGATTTGGGCGGGGAAACAGAGCCAAATCATATCAGTCACTAATTGCAACACAGCCTGAGGACATAAGAAAAACTTGTGCTGTCTCAAATTATATCGTTAAAGACAGGAAGACTCTACAGATGCCGTCATAGATTATGCACCATGTTTTCCTTGGCTATGTACATTTATGAGATGAAGGCTTTAGCTTTCTCTAGGAATAGCACAAGAGGCAAGGCATTTTTTGGAAGAGGATCAGGGTGGGTTTGCAATTCCAGAGAAGTAAGGGTGAGGTGAAAGGGAAGTGAGTCCAGAAAAGGGGGAAAGCAAACACAAAGCAATGCACGGCTGGGCCGGCCACAGCTCCCTAAGAAAGATGGAGCTGACTTCACAGTCACATGGATGTCACTGGGGAAGCCATCTGAACCACTGCATTACAGAACAACCCATTAGGGTGGTGGTGGGAGATGTGCTGGAAGGGCAGGAAATTCATCAGCCAGCCCCTTCTGCTCTCCTGGCTCTCACTGGTTAAAGCTCACCCTCATGGTTGGTAACTTCTCCATGAGGCTATGTTGAATCACTGAGTGCCTCTGGGGAAACCAGAACCATGCACTGTGTTCCATTTGAGACCAGAAGCTGTAGGAGGAGCCAGGTCATGTTCTGCTGTAGGAGCTGCCAGCCGTTCCCAGGCAGGTGGGCTCAGCTCAAGCAGCCTCTGTGCTAGAGGCAAGTCTGTACGGTACAGTCTGGGGCCAGCTGCACATGTGGACCATGCTGCTGCAGCCTAGGCAGCCTATGAGTCAGCGGTGCCCATCCGCGTTGCCCAGCTGGGGAAGGCATGCTGGAGGCTGGAGCAGGTGGGTGCTCTGGCTGCCATCCAACAAATGGCCCCACGCCGGAGGCTGGGCAAATCCGGAGGGGCAAATCAGGACAGATTCCATCTCCATATGTTGTGGCTCTATTTTGGAAACGCTGATCAGCTTGTTACACCTGTAACCATGGATCCCTGCCATTCACCAGTGGATATTTTGAATGCATGAAGTTGATCTCACGAGTTTTCTAAACCATTGAGCTGACAGGTGTGGGCTGTGACCTGCCACACTCTCCTGCTTGGCACCTGGTGAGAGCCAGTGCTCAGATGGAAACCACCCTTCTTGCAGCCCCTCCTGAGGAATCCTCCCCATTTCACATGGGACAGTCTTTGCCAAGTCAGTACTTACCATTCCTAACTCTGAGGTGCAGACCTGCAATTTGAAAGCCCTACGAGGAAATCAGCGTTGTTGCAATTGCCTTTACTTGGCTCAAAAGCCGGGTGAGATAAATCTTCTTTAAAAAGAGGAGGGATGCAGGCAATTCCTCAGCTCCTGTGGGGGAATTTTTTTAAAAAAAATTTTTAGTAGACTATCTACTCGACATCAAGTAGAGATGCCCCACCCAGGTCCCCTTTTAGTAAGAGCTTGTTGCTGCCAATGTCCGCTCCTTCAGGGCTTGCTGGGGCTTCAGAGGGTGACTTCAGCCCAGGCTGGGCAGGGAAGGGCCCTTCCCAGGATTGTCCACTTTCAATGAGTGATCAAGGCAAGGGCTTCAACTCAGCCATCGTGGCCCAGTTCTGCTAGACAAATCCACTCCAGAGCTCCCCAGGGGGCTGACGAGGCTTTGCTGGGCCTGCAGTGCAGCTTGGGTTCCTTGTCTGCTCAGTCCTGCCTGCTGGTCCTCCTGTTCACCGGTGTCTACCCCTGATAACCCTCTGGCACAGTGAGTGCCTCCTCACATCTGCTTCCAGAGGACCTAACAGGCAACACCTCTGTGACAAGGTCCTCTTGCCTGCCCTGTGACATGCTGGATGAAGAAGAGGTGATGCCCTACATCAGTCCTTTTTGAAAGAGTGAGTTAGTGACCTAAGCAGGGCAGACGAGACAGGTCGGCGACTCTGGGGAAAGGAGGTGCTGTCTGCCAGACTGAATAGTGTCCAGAGGGAATGCTGGTCCATACGTTCTCAGCAGGGAGGTCCAGCCAGAGAGGAAAGAGCATCATAATGGGTCGTGCTCTAAGAGGCTGGGGAGGTGAGCTGACCCAGGCACACGCTCAGGTGGGCAGGCACCAGGAAGGCTATCCAGGTAAGGACTTGATTCCCAGACCCAGGATTAAAGTGGCCAGCTGAGGCCATGAATGTGAACTTCAGGAGTTGTTTCAGTGTTCAGGAGCTCGGCTGCCACTAGCCCATAGAGAAACTTTATACAAATTAGGAGAAGGCACCTCCTGTCTGCCCAGTTCCCACCTGGATGTCATCCCACAGGCACTTGGTGTGGTGTGCAGATGGCCCTTTTGGGTAAGCAAAATGGTGCCCCCTCCCGTAGACAGATGCAGCTCTGCTCCAGGGAGCATGGCTTGGCAAGGGGCACGCGGGCTGGGTTTCAGCTCCCACTCAGCTCCTCTGCCAGGAGCCTTTGTTCTGGGCACAGAATATAAAATTGTGCACACAGCCTTGCTCCCAGATTTCCCTTGGAATCAGTACGATCCTCGGCCTTGGAGAGTCAGTGCAGATGGAAACAGGGCATCTCAGATGGCCCCAAACATGCACCACACAGTGCTAATGGGCACTTCCTCTGTCACCTGCAAACTGTGTGACAATACATGTACGTGGTCCTTCCAGAGTTGTCTCTGATCCTTGAAAGTGCGCTGTGAAGTAAGTACTGTTAACATTCACATTTTAAAGATTAGAGAAAAGAAGCTCAGAGAGGACGGGCGATTTACCTAAAGTCACACAGCAAATGAGAGGAAAACTGGGGCTAAAACTGCTCCACCTGACTCAGCAACCCAAAAGGAAACCATTCCATTGTGGAGCATTTAACAGACAGTCAGCATTTTAGAGCAAAGAAGGCCGTGCTAGTTCATCTAGTCTAAGAGTACAGATAAAAAATCTGAAGTCTGGAGAGGTTTCATGACTTGCTTAAGATTACGCAGCAGCTTAATCAAACAGCCATATCCAGAACCTGGTCTGCCTGCTCAGGGCACTGTCATGTTCATCTCCCATGATACCCCTCTGCTGATTCTTGAGCAAGAAAGAATGTGAGAGAAGCCCAGTGTTTGCCAACCCATGGGGCATGTCCTGCACACCATGTAGAAAAACCTCTTCCCTCTATGTGCTTCCCATTATTCCATCAGTAAGAGCTCTCAAAATCAGAGCCTTTACCCTCCACTCATCCATCCTTCCTTCCTTCCTTCCACTCATCTATCTATCCATCCACCATCCATCCATCAATTTATCCATCCATCCATCCATCCATCCTCCCATCCATCCATTCTTCCATCCATTCATCCTTCCTTCCATTCATCTTCCCATCCATCCACCTAACCATCCATTTATCCATTCTTCCTTCCTTCCTTCCTTCCTTCCTTCCACCCATTCATCCCTTCTTCCATCCATCCATCCATATCTTTTTACCTCAAACATTCATTAGGTCCTACATTGGGTGCTGAGGACATAGACAAAATAGAGAGTCCATGCTTTCAAAGAGCTCACTGTCTAGAGGGGGAGGCAGATTTGCCTGTAAATCAATAATTGCCACCCAGCGTGTGAGGAGCCATGGCGGAAGTGAGCAAAGGGGTGGGGAACTGAGAAGTGCACTGTATATCCCTGGATCAGGCGAAGGCCTCTGGAGATGGTGTGCGGAGTTGTGGGTTGAGAGGATTCAGACAGGCATTTATGAAGGGGTCAGAAAGGATGTGCAGGTAGACCAGGGTAGCCAGGAACTGCATCTAGCTTTGACTTGATGCTCTGCCCTCCAGGTCTACTGGGGTGAGGGTCTCACCTCCACACCTTCACCTGCCCCCATGGATTTGCCAGGTGCAGCCCATGCTGCAGGTGGCAAGAGTTGGAGTCACATGCTAGTGACTCTTACAAAATCGCATGCCAGTGGCTCTACCAGTCTGGGGTCATGGCGTGGCTCCACTTCGATGGTTCTGGGGGCATTGCCCTAGTAGGGGCTCTCTGTAGGGGCCAAACCACAAGGTAGTTCTCTGCCTAGGACCCCCAGCTCTGTGGGGTATCCTTTGAAATCTAGGTGGAGGCAGATATGGCCCCATGGCTTCTCAGGGCACAATGCATGCTGCACTGCAGACTCTCTTTTGAAATTGTTCTGCCCTAGTGATCCTTGCATTCTGTGGTAGAGTTATTGCCTTGGACAATAGGTCCTGGCTTCTGTGTAGGTGGCTGACTGATCTCCCCATTGTGTTGACGAATACCTCATAGCTTTTGTTGAGATGGTCCATTCATACTAATCTCCTTATCAAATTTGGCCACACCCTTCTGTCTCTGAAAAGACTTTCTTATTTTTTCCAATATGGATAGGCTGAGAATTTTCCAAATTTTAAGTTCTCATTCTCTTTTTATTGACATTGTTGTCTTTAAATAATTTATCTTTTCCAGAATTTTACTGTAAATAGTCAAGAAGAATCAGGCCACATCTTCAACACTTTGCTTAGAAATAGCGTCAGCTAAATATCCAATCTTGTTCCTCACAAGTTCCACCTTCTACAAAACACTAGGACACAAACACAACTTAGCCAACTTCTTTGCCACTTTATAAGAAGGACTGCCTTTCCTACAATTTCTGATAACATGTCCCTTGTTTCTGTCTGAGACCTCATCAGAATGGCCTTCTCCATCCATATTTCTACCAACATTCTATTCACAACCACTTAGACATTCTCCAGAAGATTGAAACTTTCTCTACACCTCTCACGTAAATATTTAGACCATAGCAGGAGTTGAGATCTGTATACTTTCTGCTTTAAAGTGTTTTTTTTGTTAAGGTCCTGATGGGCTGTGGGCCAGGGAGCTTGACAGGGCAGAGATAAAGATGCTGCAGTTAATGGGGCATTGCTCTTACTCTCTGGTGGGCTCAGCTCCATTTGCCCTCAGAGGGAAAGGTGAGATAGAATAGGAGTGGGACATGGCTTCTTCTTCACACTCTTTTTCTTTCTGCTTTTTTTCTTCTCTTCACGAAACCCACACCACCACCTCTCTGACACTATACTTGCTAACCCCAAGGCTTTAGTCACACACAAAAAAATAGCCATTTTTCTGTGCTCTCATAATGCTTCACCATGCCTTCTACTTAAAGAATTCCAGAAACTGGCCTTAGGAAATCTAAACATTGAATTAAGATTGCAGAGTATCCCACCTTGGGAATGAATGCTGAACAAGTGATTTGCAGCCCTGTTACCACTGGCCAGACCACCAGGTGGCCCAACCACAAGGTGCCCCATTACTCAAGATAACCATGGCAACCAAATAATGCTGACCCACATACCTTACCCCTCAAGTGTTTTGCCCAACCCAGCCTGTATATCTTACCTCTGATGCCAATTCCCGCACTTTTCCTAATAGAAAAAATCCCTACCAGCTTTTTGGGGAGCCAGCTGGAGGATCCTTGCACCTCGCCTCTGCTGTCTCCCTTATGATACAGCACAAGCCCTGAAATAAAAGGCTTGTCTGGGACATCTGCTTGGCCCTGTGTTAATTTCCATTAAATGGGGCGCCAAAGAGCCTGTGGTCTGTAACAAAGGGACTCTGCACTCACCATTCTTTCCTGACTGCATCCCCATTTGTGGTCCACATCCTGTGCTCTGGGCACTGTCGTTCCCCAGGGAAGTGTTGCTGGGGACAAGAGCCCTCCCAGGGGTGTTAGTTTCTTTAGCCACCTTCCCTGGGTCTACCTCAGAAGGGACACCTGCATCCTCTTGTTTGGTGTGCACAGACTTTGTCCTGATCCTTTGCCTGCCTTGATTTCTGCCCCCGTGCTATCCTTCCTGTGACCTTCCAGCTTCCAGCAGCATGGTTGCTGTTTCTACTCCGTCTTCCTCAGTCAGTGCTCAACTGGTCCCTGGCTCTGTATACCATATTTGTGTTCTCCTTCCTGCTACATGGCCTTGGGAGCCTTCAGAGGATAACCTGAGCCCCAGGATGTCTTACCTCCTGAAGGTACCGGACTGGGGGCTCGGTCTCCCATGACTAGTGCTTCCACCCAGACTGTCCTCCAGTGGGAATGGGCGATAGGGAACAATTAGTCAGGGATGAATTATTTCCTGGTCACTGGAACTTTTCTCATCCTTCCTAGATCCTTCTAGTGGACTTTCTCTTCTTATTTTTGCCCTCCCAGGCCTCAGGTTCAACCTGTCCTGTTCTCCCTGCCTTCCCTCCCACTCCACCCTAAAAAGCCTGTTCCAAGATCAGCTATGAGAAGAGGCAACAGCACCTGCAGTAGACAGATCGGCCTGCTTCCAAAATGCCCAGTGGCCATGGCCATAGCATTTGCTGTGTCTCTAGCTATGCCCAATGGGTCCAAGGAAAAGGAACAGAGGTTCCAACTGGATTTTCTCCTCTGTTGCACTTCCTGCCCTCAATAACATCTTGGGAAAATAATTTGGCTTCTCTAACTCCAAAAACTCCAAATTCTCGGGCCTTAGGCATTTTAGGATGGCAGTCTAATTTTGCTAAGAGAGCAGAGATACAAAGTTTTAATCATAAGCTAAATATTATTAAATAAATAAATATTATTGGATATTTAGCTTATTTTTTTAATCAAAGTTATATTTTCTGCTTTTGGATGGGATCCTTTGAATCCTGTCTTTGTCTCCTTGTAGGACCTCAGGGAAGACTGCAAGAAGCAGCCAAGTCACCCTGATATTCTGTTTGTTTTCTGTTTTTTTGAGACAGAGTCTCGCTCTGTCGCCCAGGCTGGAGTGCAGTGGCACGATCTCGGCTCACTGCAACCTCCACCTCCCGGGTTCAAGCAATTATCTGCCTCAGCCCCCCGAGTAGCTGGGATTACAGGCGCCCGCCACCTCACCCGGCTAATTTTTGTATTTTTAGCAGAAACGGGGTTTCACCATGTTGGCCAGGCTGGTCTTGAACTCCTGACCCCGTGATCCGCCCGCCTCAGCCTCCCAAAGTGCTGGGATTACAGGCGTGAGCCACCGCGCCTGGCATCACCCTGACATTCTAATCCTTCTCTTCTGTGTTCCCTGATGGTATAGCCTTGACCAAGCATGCTTGTATCTCCCCAAACCACAAATAACTATTAAACACCTGCAAAACAAGAACGCCAACATTCCAACCTGGGACACTGCTACTTGCCAGCTTCTATTCAACCAATTACAGATTTTAAGTTTTGTTGTAATGATCACATTTCCTTGTACAAAATTTGGTAATGGGGATGCTGACAGTTCCAACGCAAAGTGGTTTAAGCAATAAAGGAATGTATGGGCTCACGTGACTAGAAAATCCAGACATAGTTCAGGCTTCAGGATCAGTTTGATCTAGTATTTCAAGAGGACAACATCTAAGTGTGTCTCTCCATCCTGCCTTTGACCACATACATTTCATCTGAAGCCTGGCTCTCCTTATGGTTGCGAGATGAGTGCCACAGCCTCCAGAGAATCATGCTTTCTTGTCCTTATCCAGAAGAAGAGGGAGTTTTTCTTGCCTCAACAATCAAACAAAAATCTTTTGTTACATTTCAACTGGAACAACTTGGCTTCTGTCCACTCCTCATCACCATGGCCAGGGAAATACCCTGAGTGGTTTGAGACTGGGCCACTTGTCTTTCCCCAAAACAATAATGAAGACAAGGGAGATTGACATGGTTTGGCTGTGTCCCCACCCAAATCTCATCTTGAATTCCCACGTGTTTTGGGAGGAACCCAGTGGGGGGTAATTAAATCATGGGGCACCTCTTTCCTGTGCTGTTCTCATGATAGTGAATAAGTCTCACGAGATCTGATGGTTTTAAAAAGAGGAGTTCCCCTGCACAAGCTCTCTCCCTTTGTCTGCTGCGATCCATGTAACATGTGACTTGCCTTCTTGCCTTCCACCATGATTGTGAGGCCTCCCCAGCTATGTGGAACTGTAAGTCCAATAAACCACTTTATTTTGTAAATTGCCCAGTCTCGGGTATGTCTTTATTACCAGTGTGAAAATGGACTAATACAGAGATGTATATGTCAAGAGAATGATGAGAGTGGCTTAGACTGATAGGACTCCCTCTGAAGATGGAGATGGGGCCAATCCTATCCAGACCCCATAGCTACTACATGCTTGGTGGGGCAGGTGGAATGAACGTAGGAGAGGCAGACACAGTGAGCAAAGCTACGTTAGTGCATATGCAAAGCCAAAAGAAAACAATAGGGACAGAAGCATCTTCCCAACACCTAACTTCTTTCTACTTCCTTTTCCATCTGACTGTTAGCACATTGTTACAGACTGGGACATTAAAGCTTATACATCTATTGGTGCTGGGAAGTGAAGAAATGTGTATCTGATTTCCTAGGTCCCTTTGAAACCCAATATTATGAAAAATATGTGCAGTGATAGCAATTCTTCATATCATACTTCCCAATGTGATTTCTTTATTACTAAAAGTAACCATCTGATATAGGTCTACTGAGTATCATCTCCCTTTTACAGAGAGGCAACTGAGACTGAGGGACAAAATGACTTGTTCAAGGTTATACAGCTCGTATACTGTAGAGGTGGGACTCAAAGCTGAGTTTCCCAACTAGAGATCCAGCCTACCTAGATAGACATTGCCTGCACCGTTTTAAGGTGTAAAATTACTTCACCATCAGGAAGTTGAAAGGGATTCTTTTTCCTCCCAAGAGTTTGCATGTTGTACCCTGTTCCCTGGATGTTAGGAGCTCCCCATCACTGGAGGAATCCGGGCTGAGGCTGAGGCCTGCTTAGAGGGATACAGTGGCAGAGATTTCTACTTTGGGTGGAAGGTTGACCTCAACGATTCAGACTCCCTGGAAACTGAGGATCTTCAAGGATCCATCTGTGCACTTGTGAAATCCTATTTGATTGTCATAACCACAGGAGGAAGAAACTTCTATTCCCCCAAAGAGCTCTGTCTCACAGCCGGTGCTATGACTAAGGCATAGGAGGCTGTCGAGGACGCCTAAGCCAAGTGCATCTGATGACTGGATGCTGATTTGGAGGAAGGCTCTGAGGCCCATGACATCATAATTATTTGGTTCTCTTGTACTGAAATATCCCACAAATGACAGTAATTATTAAGTTCTGCCTGGCATGACATTTTCTCCCAAACATTGGAGGATGTTCCAGAATTTTCTCTCTCTACTCCCATTCCACCTTCCTGCTCTCTCTCCATCCATCTCCTGCTGTGCTCCCAGTTTACTTTCAGCCCACGCCACTTCTTATACCATTTCCTTTCTCTCCTCATTTGACCCCATAAGGTCCTCCTCCTCCAGCACCTCCCTTCCTAATCTCTGGTCAGGAACAGATATGGAGCTGGGAGCACCAAGAGACAGCATTTGTTATGTGCTTGTTGGCTATTTGCATAGTCTCTTTGGAGAAATTTTTATTCACATCCTTTGAGCATTTTTAAATTGGGCTATTTGTCTTCTAATTGGTGAGTTCTAAGGGGCTAACATATATTTTGGATACTAGCCACTTATCAAATACATGGTTTGCATATATGTACTCCCATTCTATGGGTCTTTTTGTCACTTTTTTGATAGTGTCCTTTGACACACAAATGTTCTAAATGTATCTATTTTTTCTTTGGTCATTTGTGCTTTTAGTGTCATCTCAGAAGCATCTCACTGCTTAATCTAAGGCCACTAAGATATTGCCTATGTTTCCTTTTAAGAGTTATAGTTTTACCTCTTACATTCAGGTCTTTGATCTGTTTTGAGTTAATTTTGTATATGGTGTGAGGTAAAGGTCCAACTTTATTCTTTTGCATAAATGATTTCCCAGCCCCTTTGGTTAAAAAGACTGTTCTTTCTCCATTGAATTGTTTTGTCACCCTCTTTGAAAATCAATTTGACAATAAAGGTGAGGGTTTTATTCTATTGATCTATATGTCTGTCTTTATGACATATATATTTGATTATAGTCCTTATTACTGCAATATTGTAGTAAGTTTTGATGATTTGCCAAAATTCTGTTTAGGTGTTTGAATCTATGTGTAAGAGAGATATCTGTCTTAGTCTTTATAAGAAATATAGTTATCTTGCAGTGTCTTCATCTGGCTTTGGAATCAGGGTATTGCTGCCCCATAAATTGATTTGGAGAATGTTTTTGCCTCTTTTATTTTTTGGAAAAGTTTGTGTAGACTTTGTATTATTTATTTCTTAAATGTTTGGTCCAATTCCTCAGTGAATCCATCTGTACCTGGAGTTTTTTTTTTGTGGGAAGTTTTCTAACTATAATTTCGATTTTTAATAGATATAGGGCTTTTCATGTGACCTATATTTTTCTTGAATGAGCTTTGGTAGTTTGTGTCTTTCAAGGAAACTGAGAATTGCCAGTCTTTGCACATAAATATAATATCTTGAACTAGATGTTGCTGTAATGCTCATTGGAGTGAATAATTTTTGTAGGCAAGAACAATAGCATTTTCATTTCTGTATTTCCCACATCTGGCCCAGAGTCCAGCATAAAACAGGCACTCAGTTAATGTCTGTGGAATGAGAAGGAGTATTTAAGAGTCTGCTTTAATGAGCAAAATCTCTACCAAAGCAACTAAAGTTAATGACTGAATATATTGTCTAGTAGAGTTCCGAAGGGTCATGCTTTAATGAGACATAAAGGTGATAACAAAAAAATAGAATAAAAATGGAGCTTCTAAAATCATTGAAATGCACTTCATTGATAATCAAAGAAATGCAATTAGAACAAGGTACCATTTCCACTCTTCTGGCTGTCAAAAATTTTAAAAGATTGATTACATTCAGAAATGGTAAGAGTTTGGGGAAATAGGTACTTGAGGGTGCCTCCTTGAAAGTTATTTTTGTAGTATTTATCAAAACTTAAAAGGTCTGCACCCTTTAGCTTAGCCATTCCACCAGTAGAAATCAATCCTATAGAGGTATAAGTGTTCAAGGATACAGGCTGTATATGATATTTATTATGGGATTATTTTAATAGTAGAAAATTATAAACAAACAATATCCAACCATAGGAGAGTAGATACATAAGTTCTATGATTACTAAAATGGTGTAATGTCTGTGAGGTGTTACTCAACAGGAAGAAAGCAAAATGCAAACAGAAGAATCTTTCTTTCTTCCTTTTTATCTATCCGTCTATCTGTGAAAGAGGCCTGGAAATATGCACATCAGAAGTGTGTAGTAGACACAGTTCTCCAATGGCTTCATGATTCCCGCCCCCTGGTGTCCACCTTCTGTACAATTTCCGCCTCTTGATTTTGGGCAGGACTGTGATTATGACAGAGCTCAGTCCTGTGGTTAGGTTATGTGGCACACGTAAAGGGATTTTGATGATGTAATTAAGATCCCTAATCAGTCTGACTTTGAGTTAATTAAATGGGAGAATCTCCTTGGGTTGGGGGGGGGCCTGGCCTAATCAGGTAAGCCTCTGAACAGATAACTTAGACCGTTCTGATGAGAGTCTACTGCTGGCCTTAATGAAGAAGGAAGCCTGGGTAAGTTCCACAGCTGCAAGGACATGGATTCTGCTGCATGAGCACGGAAGAGGACCCTGAGCCTCAGATGAGGCTGCAGCTCTGGGCAGCACCTTGATTGTGCCTCGCGAGGCCCTGAGCAAAGGACCCAGTTAAGCTGTGCCCAGACTCCTGCCCCATGGCACCTGTGCGCTAGCAAAAGTGTGTTACTTTAAGCTTCTATGTTTGATGTAATTTGTACCCAGTAACAGAAAATTGATAGACTGTGTATCATTCTGACCTTTGGGCAAGACGGAAGTCAGGGATGTAAATAAAAGCCTTCCTTTCACATTACATTTTTTTTTTTTTACAATAAATAGATAACAATTTTGCAATTAAAGTAAAGGAAAATGGGAAAGGATTTGTTTCTGAAGAGTTTTCTTCAATCATTTTGTTTACTTTCCTAGTGTGCTTTAAAAGCAAGCACAAAAGCCAACAGCAGCCCCACGCCCCACTACTCCAACCTGGCAGGCCACAGGCAGGAACATTTATCCTTCTTGGTCTTGTTTCCTAACTGCTTTTCTCTCTTCCCAGATCTCAGGCCCAGAGGGGTCCTACCCGCAGCCTCTGGGGCAGCTGAATGCGCCCAAAGCCTCTGACATCTTTCTACACATCTGGGGTGTGTGGCAACCCTGTCCCGGTCCTCCCACCTGCCTGCAGGCAGGATGAGTCATGGCTGAACAGAAGCCATGGGAAGCAGAGGCAGAGGCGAGCAGACTTCAGGAAACGTGCCCACCTCGGGAATGGGAACAAGGAAGTCACCCCTCCCGCTCTCCTCCCCCTGCTCTTCTTGGCCTTGGCAGGTTCAGCAGCTTGTCGATTACAAAGCTGTTCATGCCCAATAATGTATTTGTTCCTATAAGATCTTATAGCCAGGAAGGAAAGAGTCATTAGCTCCATTTTACTGATGAAAAAATTGAGGCATAGAAAAGAAAAAAAATGCTTAGAAGCTGGGGTGAAAAAAATGAAGTTTCCTGATGATTCAGTTTGACATCCTTCTCTACCCACCTCCATCCAGCACCGCCTCCCACCCAGCTGCCTCATGCACTTGACTTCCAGGGGCCATGGTATTCAGACAGGAGTAGACCAGCTGGGTCTTTCTGTCAATCAGCTCTTCTTGGTGGAGGTGGGGAAGGGGGATGATGAGGGGAGGGGGATGATGAGGAGAAGGAGCGGGGGTGGGGACGGGGCAGCTCCCTGATACCGATGGGTACACAGCAAAAAATGAAATGTAAATTTTCAATGGAGTACAGAACTGAATCTTTTTTTTTTATTTATTTATTTTTTATTGATAATTCTTGGGTGTTTCTCACAGAGGGGGATTTGGCAGGGTCATAGGACAATAGTGGAGGGAAGGTCAGCAGATAAACAAGTGAACAAAGGTCTCTGGTTTTCCTAGGCAGAGGACCCTGCGGCCTTCCGCAGTGTTTGTGTCCCTGGGTACTTGAGATTAGGGAGTGGTGATGACTCTTAACGAGCATGCTGCTTTCAAGCATCTGTTTAACAAAGCACATCTTGCACCGCCCTTAATCCATTTAACCCTGAGTGGACACAGCACATGTTTCAGAGAGCACAGGGTTGGGGGTAAGGTCACAGATCAACAGGATCCCAAGGCAGAAGAAGTTTTCTTAGTACAGAACAAAATGAAAAGTCTCCCATGTCTACTTCTTTCTACACAGACACGGCAACCATCCGATTTCTCAATCTTTTCCCCACCTTTCCCCCCTTTCTATTCCACAAAGCCGCCATTGTCATCCTGGCCCGTTCTCAATGAGCTGTTGGGTACACCTCCCAGACGGGGTGGTGGCCGGGCAGAGGGGCTCCTCACTTCCCAGTAGGGGCGGCCGGGCAGAGGCGCCCCTCACCTCCCGGACGGGGCGGCTGGCCGGGCGGGGGGCTGACCCCCCAACCTCCCTCCCGGATGGGGGGGCTGGCCGGGCGGGGGGCTAACCCCCCCACCTCCCTCCCGGTCGGGGCGGCTGGCCGGGCTGGGGGCTGACCCCCCCACCTCCCTCCCGGACGGGGCGGCTGGCCGGGCGGGGGGCTGACCCCCCCACCTCCCTCCCGGACGGGGCGGCTGGCCGGGCGGGGGGCTGACCCCCCCACCTCCCTCCCGGACGGGGCGGCTGGCCGGGCGGGGGGCTGACCCCCCCACCTCCCTCCCGGACGGGGCGTCTGGCCGGGCGGGGGGCTGACCCCCCCACCTCCCTCCCGGACGGGGCGGCTGGCCGGGCTGGGGGCTGACCCCCCCACCTCCCTCCCGGACGGGGCGGCTGGCCGGGCGGGGGGCTGACCCCCCCACCTCCCTCCCGGACGGCTGGCTGCCGGGCGCAGACGCTCCTCACTTCCCAGATGGGGCGGCTGCCGGGCGGAGGGGCTCCTCACTTCTCAGACGGGGCGGCCGGGCAGAGGTGCTCCTCACATCCCAGACGGGGCGGCGGGGCAGAGGCGCTCCCCACATCTCAGACGATGGGCGACCGGGCAGAGACGCTCCTCACTTCCTAGATGGGATGGCGGCCGGGAAGAGGTGCTCCTCACTTCCTAGGTGGGATGGCGGCCAGGCGGAGACGCTCCTCACTTTCCAGACTGGGCGGCCTGGCAGAGGCGCTCCTCACATCCCAGACGATGGGCAGCCGGGCTGAGATGCTCCTTACTTCCCAGACGTGATGGCGGCCGGGCAGAGGGGCTCCTCACTTCCCAGACTGGGCGGCCGGGCAGAGGGGCTCCTCACAACCCAGACGATGGGCGGCCAGGCAGAGACGCTCCTCACTTCCCAGACGGGGTGGCGGCCGGGCAGAGGCTGCAATCTCGGCACTTTGGGAGGCCAAGGCAGGCGGCTGGGAGGTGCAGGTTGTAGCGAGCCGAGATCACGCCACTGCACTCCAGCCTGGGCACCATTGAGCACTGAGTGAAGGAGACTCCGTCTGCAATCCCGGCACCTCGGGAGGCCGAGGCTGGCGGATCACTTGCGGTTAGGGGCTGGAGACCGGCCCGGCCAACACAGCGAATCCCCGTCTCCACCAAAACCAGTCAGGCGTGGCGGCGTGAGCCTGCAATCGCAGGCACTGGGCAGGCTGAGTCAGGAGAATCAGGCAGGGAGGTTGCAGTGAGCCGAGATGGCAGCAGTACAGTACAGCTTTGGCTCAGCATGAGAGGGAGACCGTGGAAAGAGAGGGAGAGGGAGACCGTGGGGAGAGGGAGAGGGAGAGGGAGAGGGGGAGGGGGAGGGAGAGGGAGAGGGAGAGGGAACTGAATCTTAATGAAAGGTATTATTCAATTCAGCAAAACACAAGGAAATTTTAACTGAGCAGAACTGATTAGCCCATAAAAAGGAATAGATTACAGCTTGCATCATTTGCCGTCTAGACAAATCACTTAGATACACAGGCACTGGTTTTAATTACTGCCATAGAAATCTAGCATTCTGTAGCCCAAAATGGTATTGTTCAACAAATAAAAAAAATTTTTAATGAGAAAATGCAGCTCAAACAACTACTTCCCATTATGCCTAAATAAACTGTTCCCCCACCCTTTATTTAAATAAGAAACCCGCAAGGTAAAATTGCTGCTTCTTCTATGTCTAATAGATTTTGTGCTCTACGTCCCTTCCCCCATGGCATCATGAAATGTATAATTCTCATAGAAGGTCTATGCTGGACTGAATACATCACAGCAAGAAGCTTTCCATTTTTAGCCAAAAAGTTCAGACTTTTTTTTTTTTTTTCTGGTTTAACCCTTCAGGAAATTCTAAATGGATCCAGGCTGCTGGCTCAAGTTTCTATGCAACAATGACCTTCAGTGAGAAAGCAGCATGTTGATTTTTCTCTTTTTTTCCTAATCCATGGGATCCCAGCCTCGCCTTTCCAAACAGGATCTATATGGTCAGAGGACAAAGGGCCTGTTTCCAGAGCTTTGAGAAGAGGAAGGCAGAGGCGGCACTTAGCAAGTGTGAGGGAAGGAGAACGTACTAGTCAGCTTGGGCCGTGTAACAAAGCACCACAGACCTCAGGCTTCAACAATAGGCATTTATCGTCCAAGATCAAGGTGCTGGCAGGTTTCATTTCTTTGAGGCTTCTCTCTTTGGCTTGCAGATGGCCACCTTCTCAATGTACCCTCACGTGGTGAAGACAGAGAGCAAGGTCTCTCTACCTTCTTCTTCTAAGGCCACTAATCTTGTTGGGCTGGGGCCCCAACTTTATGGCTTCATTTAACCTTCATTATCTCATTAAAGGCCCCATCTCCAAATAGCATCACATTGGGGGTTAGGGCGTCCACGTACGAATTTGGAGGGGGTGGTACAAAAACATTCAGTCCATAACAGAGGCAGTAGTACAGGCTTGGGGAGAGCACTGGGCAAGGAGTCAGCCAACCTGATCTGCAGGCTCCGTTTGCTCTGGCCTGGGAGGACAAGTGGAGTTTGTGGGATTCCAGGTGTGGGGCACTCTGGGCCTGGGCATGTCAGTAGACCAGAATGTGGACTTGCCAGGGTTTGATGAGGAGGTGGGGTGTGCAGCATGCAGGGGTAAAGGGAAAATGCCTGTGTCCTGACCGTGGAAGGAAGACCATCCTCTGACCCCCAAAAATCTCTCTAGCCACGGCCCAGCCCTGCTCAGTTCCCAGGTGCTTTTCACCTCCCATCAGTCTGCCCACAAGTCTGGGGCATGCCCAGGGGACCATGTCTTTCTCACCGCCACGCCCCAGACACTGCTGAAGCCTGGCTCTGTGGGACAGCTGAGCAAATTAAGGCTCATCAGAGACCATGAAGGTCCTGTGGTTTCAAAGTTATGTGGGTTCTGTTTGGGCATAATGAAGCATTTTCTCATTCCTTCCCTCCACATGCCTGCCTAGCACCTGCATGTCCAGGCCCGATGCTGGGCACCGTCACAGAGAAGAATAATCCAGATTGTACTGGGGCTGGAGTTGGGGGCAGACAAACCAGTGGTGCATGAACTGACCCTGTGCCATAGGACAGCTGAGGGCTCTGTGAGCACATAGGGAATGGGCCCTGATCCCTTGGGGAAAGGAGGGCTGGAGAGGGGTGCAGTCCCTGGAGACCTCCTGGAAGTGGTGACACTGAGGACTGAGCTTTGAAAGGGTGGAAAGAATGACCCCAGGGACGGGTGAGGGCAGCACTGCAGTAGAGGGCACAGTTAGCGTGGAGCATGCAGAGACCAGTGCAGTGCGGGGCCTGGAACCCTGGTGGGGACTTTCCTGCCTCTGTCTATGCTACTGCCTTGTCTGCCTGGGAGGCCTGGCCCTACTCCTCACTGCCCACGCCCACCTGACCTGGCTCAGCTTCCCCAGACTCCATCTGCCCAACATGGCAGCCACTGACCACAGGGGATTATCACCACAATTTGGCTTATCCATGCAACGGATATGATCAGCCATAAAAAGGGATGAAGTACTGACACATGCCATGCACCGATGAACGTTAAAAACGTTAAGTGGCCAGGCGCGGTGGCTCACGCCTGTAAGCCCAGCGCTTTGGGAGGCTGAGATGGGTGGATCACCTGAGGTCAGGAGTTTGAGACCAACCTGGTCAACATCGTGAAACCGCATCTCTACTAAAAATACAAAAAGTAGCTGGATGTGGTGGCGTGTACCTGTAATCCCAGCTACTAGGGAGGCAGGAGAATCGCTTGAACCAGGAGGCGGAGGTTGCAGTGAGCCAAGATTGTGCCACTGCACTCCAGCCTGGGCAACAGAGTGAGACTCTGTCTCAAAAACAACAACAAACAAACAAACAAACAAAAAATCCATGGTAAGTTGTAAGTGAAAGATACCAGTCACAAAAAGTCATATATTATAGAATTTCATTTACATGATATTCCTAGAATAGGCACATTCATAGACAAAAAGTATTCTAGTGGGTGTCTAGGGCAGGGGGAGGTTGGGGGTCATGGCTAAAAGGTGTGGCATTCATTTTGGGGGTAATGAAATGTTCTAAGATGAACCAGTGCTGATAGCTGCACGGCTCTGAATACACTAAAAGCCACTGGTGTATCAATCGTATGGAATGTGAAGTGCATCTCAACAAAGCTGTTAAAAATCAAATATAATTGAAATAAAAATTCAGCTACTCGGGTGCACTAGGCCCATGCCAAACACTCAGCAGCCATGTGCAGCTGCGGCTACTGTACTGGATAGTGTGGGTAAGGAGCCCTTCAGTCATTCTGAGAGCTCCACTGGACAGGCTGGACCTCCCTGGACAGCCAGGCCTCCCAGATGTCCCCTTGGAGGCTCCCAGATGTCCCTTCAGTCACTGGCCTAGCAGTCATCTTTCACAATTGGCACTGCTTTGAGGTCTCCACACAAATCCTCTAGCTCTGCAGATGTAGCACCTTCGTCCATCTCATCTCTGCTCTGTTCTCAGCGCCCAGAACAGAGCCTGGAATGCAGTAAGAACCACCCCTGCCGGTTCAAAAGACGGGTGCATGCACCTTCTCTGTGAGCTTTCCCCTAGGCCCCACGCTGATTCAGAGCCTCCCTTTTCCAGGGTAGCCCTTGCACTTGGCTCATACATCTCCTAGCAGCTGGTCCCCACCTGCTCTCCACCTATCCCAGCACCTGGTCACCACCTGTCCCAGCACCTGGTCCCCGCTTGTCTCAGCACTGGGCCCCCACCTCTCCTAGCACTTGGCCCCCACCTGTCCCAGCATCTGGTTCCTATCTGTCCCAGCACTTGCTCCCCACCTGTTCCAGCACCAAGTCCCCACCTGTTCTAGCACTGAGTCCCCACTGTATTCTGTAGCCCCATCACCGTGTACTGTGGCAGTCTCCTTATTCCACAGATGAAAAATTGGAGGCTTAAAGAAGTTACAGCTTGCCGGCCCGGCGTGGTGGTTCACACCTGTAATCCCAGCATTTCTGGAGGTCGAGGTGGTGGCTCACGCCTGTAATCCCAGCACTTTTGGAGGCCGAGGTGGGTGGATCACGAGGTCAGGAGATGAGACTATCCTGGCCAATATGGTGCAACCTCATCTCTACTAAAAATACAAAAATTAGCCAGGCATGGTGGCGCATGCCTGTAATCCCAGCTACTCAGGAGGCGGAGGCAGGTGAATTGCTTGAACCCAGGAGGCGGGGATTGCAGTGAGCCGAGGTCACACCACTGCGCTCCAGCCTGGACGACAGAAAGAGACTCCAACTCAAAAAAAAAAAAAAAAGTTACAGCTTGCCTAAGGCCACATGTGTTAGTATCTTAAGACTGTCGTAACAGAATACCACAAACTGGGGTGGTTTTAAAACAACAGAAATTTATGCTCTCACAGTTCTGGGGACCAGAGTCCAAAATCCAGGTGTCGTCAGGGTTGGTTCCCTCTTGGGGACTCAGAGGGCTCCATGCGTCTCTCCCATCTTCTGGTGGCTGCCGGCAGTCCCTGCTGTACCATGGCTTGTGGCAGCATCACTCCAACCTCTGCCTGTGTTGCCACGTGGTGTTCCCCCTGTGTATCTGTGTCTCTTCTTACAAGGACACCAGTGATTGGATTTAGGGCCCACCCTACTCCAGGGTGATCTCATCTTCACTTACATCTGCAAAGACCCAACTTCCAAATCAGGTCACATTCACAGGGGCCGGGTTTAAGGCTTGAGCATATCTTTTGAGAGGACACAGTTGAACCCACAGCCTCATACCACCAGTAAGTGTCAGAGCTTGGCAAGGCCTCCACCTGTAGCCTCTCTGTTCACTATGCTATTCAACAAATGACAACGTGTGAATATGTAAGTCCATGTCACCCATTTAACAGCCCGGGAAACTGAGGGGCACATGAATGCCAGCCTTCTGCTCCCCCATCTAAGGATACAGGGCTGATCCTCACAGAGCAGGATTTGTGTCTCTGCCTCTTCTCTTCCCTCCCCTGGCTTCTGGCTGCAGGCTGGTCTCGCACCTCCAGCCTTGACCTGCTATTTACAGCTGTTTCTTTCTCTTGCCCCTGTTGTCATTGGGCACTTGCTCTCCTGTGGGCTGTGTGCGGACATTCTCTCTGCTGGGCTTTGCATCTGCTGCCCCTCCCCTCCCACTTCTGCACCAGACCAGCTTTCTCCCCACTGGGCCTGGGATTTGCTGAATGGACTTGGAGTCAGAGTCAGCCTCTGGCTGCTATGACCTGATTCAAGCCGTATTTATTTTTCCACGTCTGATATTCTCTGTTATTTTCTAATACTCAATACGTTAATTTCACAGCCAGCTACTGAGCCACGACCTAAAGTATGAAGTGCTGACTTGTGGTCCAGATGCCTCCAGGGCCGCTGAGACCCTCCGGGGTCTGTTTCCAGCTGACTCCACCAGCCTCAGGCCTGCCAGCCTCACCTCCAAACCGTGTGGCCCTTTCAGCTGAGCAGGCAGGTGGCACTCAGACCTCCAGGCTCAGCTCACGCACTGGCTCTTCCGGGGGCCTGAGTCTCCAGCTTGTCATCACATCTTTCTAGATTCTAGATTTGTCCGCCTGCCATCCTCTCAGCCTGGGGTCAATAGTGTATTAACTATGATTTCTTATTTTCTGCATTCCTGATGACTGGCAATGTGGCCTCACAGACTGGAGAGACTGCCCCTCCCAGTGGGTGACATCCTTAGAGATTGCGAAAGGCTGGAGCGTATCTTTCACAGGCAAACCCACCAATTCCAGGCCCAGACCCCCAACTTCCCCTCATCAAACTCTCACACACCAAGGCAATATTTCCCTGCCCTAAATCATCCCAGACCAGGGACCAGGCAACTAGAGACCACCTCTGTAGTTCAAAGCCCACCAGAATTATCCCAAGGAGCCAATCCTGGACTCTTTCCTCTGTTCTGCCCTAACTTTTCCCCCAGGAAACCCCAATAGAGGGCCTGGCCTCGTTTTCCCCTCGCTCCTGCTTCTGCCTGGCCACACCTGGAATTTCCTCTGGCGTGTCCTCTTCTCTCAGGACATGTTAGTAATGCGTTCTTTCAATGACATTGATCTCTCTAAATCCCAGCGGTATAATTTTAATGCACCAGCCTCTCCTGGGCCTGCCCAGGTATCTGCAAACTCCCGGGTTCCACAGCACCTTGTATTTCATGACGATACAAAGGAGTAGCTATTGGGGCTCTATCTGCTGAGGGAGATTCATCAGACACCCCGATGCAAACCTGAGTGAGTGAAGGCTGGGCTTCTAGGCAAATGCAGCCCCTCCCTCTTCCAACCAGATGGCCGCCCCTCAGCGCCCCCTGTGGAGAAATTCAGGAAGCACCACTCTTGTATAATACATATACCCCTCTTGTTAAGGTCATTACCCCAAACTGTTAATTATTATTTACAAAAAACATATTATCTACTAGAATATGAACCCTGTCCCCACACCTAGGGTGGTGTGTGTATGTGTGTGTGTGTGCATTTGCACACATGTGCCATAAGAGCTCGATAAATATTTGAATAACTGAGTGAATGAATGGGTATTTAGAAGCCCATTAAGCTCAGACTAGGATGCAATTTGAACTTAACCCTGCAGGTACTCGGACAGCTGATAAGGGGAGTAGCATGCATAAGGATTGGAAGAGGAAGCTGGGGTGTGTGTAGGAGGTGGTGTGTAGCACTGTACTGGGGAGAAGAATAGGCCTCAGAACCCAGCAGGACAATGGTTAAATCCCAGCTCCACAGAGTGATCTCGGCAGGTTACCTGACATCTTGTTTCCTTAGGGGTTGCTGGGAAATTAAATGACAAAAATGCAAAGCACTCAGAGACTGCACTCCGATGCCCATGGAGAATAAGTGGCAACTCTTATTATTACTCAACCTTTCTGAGCCTCGATTTCCTACTCTGTAGTAGCATGTCATTGTCTGATGCTAAATGGAAATGAAGTAAAATTTGTAAAACGAAGTTTCACTAAATAATACTTCATGTGATGTATTCTAATATATTCTGTTTTATGCTAACTCATTAAAGAAAAAAGAATACTGTCAGTGACCCAGTAAATTGATTTCATAATCCATTAACGGACATGTCCTTAAGTTTTAAAAAACCCAGCCTACAGAATACATTTTTAAATAGACTTTATATTTTAGAGCACAATTCAACAGAAAGTACAGAGAATTCCCACATGCCCCCTGTCTCCACAGCTCTCCCCTGCGCATCAACATCTCACACAGGGTGGGACACTTGTCATGGTGGACCACCCCACATGGACACGTCATCATCGCCCAGCACCGAGTTTGCATTAACATTCGCTCCTGGTGGTGAACATTCTATGGATTTTGACCATTGCATAACGACACATATCCGCCATTATGGTACGTTTCACTGCCCTAAAAATCCTCTGCTCTGCCTATTCATTCTTCCCTCCAGAATATTTTTAACACGATCTCGAGGCCATAGATGATATCAGTAATTTGCAGTATTGATGATAGTGGTGAACCGGAGGAGAGAGACACTGTTAGGAAGCTGCTGTAGTGGTTCAGGTGAGTGAGGACAGAAGGACAGCTGTGGCTGCAAAGGCTGGAAGAGAGGAGGGTGTGGGACACTGGTCAGGAAGAGACAGGCCTTGGTCAAGGAGTGAGGAACGGGGAAGCAGGAGCCACTGGACCCTAGGGGTCTGGAAGCTAGTGGCCTTGGTGTGGGACTGCAGAGAGATAGGAGGTGCCAGACGGCAGGGACTTCAAGGCAGAATTGAAATCTGCTGAACAGCAGGCGTCGGTCAGCTGGGACAGCCGGAAAGCTCGGGATCAGGAGGCGGTCAAGCTGAGCTCTGCTCTCATTCCGCCGCGTGACCTTGGGCAAGTCCCTTCCCTTCTACAGGAGGCTGGACTAGATGTCCTCCTTGTACAGCGTTGCGGGGAAGGTGAGACAGTGCCACCAACACAGCAGGGCATTGCTGGGTCGGGGGGATGGGGCAGGAAACGCTTCAAGGATCAGGCAGGATTTTCCTCCCACCAGGAAAAGCCGGCGCGGGTCTAAGGCCGGAGGAGGGACCCAGACATAGGAGTCACCTTCTAAGGGGCTTCCTGGAGCACATTTTCCTGCCCAGCAACAGGCGGCAGCATTCTCTCCCCACTAATCCTCTCCAAACAGCAGTGAGAGAGAATGCCTGCCGCTTCAAGCCAGGTCGCAACCCCTCGGTGACCCGCTGCGCCCGAGGAGGGGCCGGCGGTGCGCGGTGGTGGCGGCGGGCGCGGCAGCTGTGCCCGTCTGCCCAAGGGTTAATCCGTCCCCTGCAGCTGCCGCGCGTGCCTTGCAGAATTTCACCAGAAGAGGGTACAGTTTGAAAAGCTCCTGACGTCAGGCTGGAATTCCTATTGTGTTTAGAAAAGGCTCGGGCAAAGCCAGCCCAAGTTCGCTCTCTGCACACCTCGAGCACCTCGCGGACGGCGTGGGTCCGCCAGCTCCGGGACCTGCCGCCGCTGCCTGCGCGCCCCGGGGCGGAGGACGGTGCCAGCCGCCCACGAGGAGACCCCGCTCCCGCAGGAGGCCGAGCTGAAGCGGCGGAGCGCGCCGCCAGCCAGCCGGGGTGAGTGCCCCGGGCGAGGCCGGCGGCCGCCAAAGCCCCCGCGGGCTCGCCCGGGCGCCCGGATGCCAGCCCCGAGCCCCGCCGCCGGGTGCATGCCTCCCCCGCGGCGCGCCCCCGCAGGCTGCTGCCCGCTGTGACCGCCCTTCCCCGCAGGCGGGCGCCGGCCAGGCTCTCCCCGAGATCAGCGCACGGGTGGCACCCGCCGGACCCCCAGCGGCAGCGGCGGCGGCGGCTGCAGGGGGCGCGGGGCGGAGGCTGCGAGGGCGCGCGCGGGGAGGATGGACGGGTCCGGGGAGCGCAGCCTCCCGGAGCCGGGCAGCCAGAGCTCCGCTGCCAGCGACGACATAGAGATAGTCGTCAACGTGGGGGGCGTGCGGCAGGTGCTGTACGGGGACCTCCTCAGTCAGTACCCTGAGACCCGGCTGGCGGAGCTCATCAACTGCTTGGCTGGGGGCTACGACACCATCTTCTCCCTGTGCGACGACTACGACCCCGGCAAGCGCGAGTTCTACTTTGACAGGGACCCGGACGCCTTCAAGTGTGTCATCGAGGTGTACTATTTCGGGGAGGTCCACATGAAGAAGGGCATCTGCCCCATCTGCTTCAAGAACGAGATGGACTTCTGGAAGGTGGACCTCAAGTTCCTGGACGACTGTTGCAAGAGCCACCTGAGCGAGAAGCGCGAGGAGCTGGAGGAGATCGCGCGCCGCGTGCAGCTCATCCTGGACGACCT
This sequence comes from Homo sapiens, assembly GCF_000001405.40. Taxonomy (NCBI): domain Eukaryota; kingdom Metazoa; phylum Chordata; class Mammalia; order Primates; family Hominidae; genus Homo; species Homo sapiens. Next base: position 10,912,882 of record NC_000002.12, read on the forward strand.
GGGCGTGGACGCAGCCGAGGGCCGCTGGCGCCGCTGCCAGAAGTGCGTCTGGAAGTTCCTGGAGAAGCCCGAGTCGTCGTGCCCGGCGCGGGTGGTGGCCGTGCTCTCCTTCCTGCTCATCCTCGTCTCGTCCGTGGTCATGTGCATGGGCACCATCCCCGAGCTGCAGGTGCTGGACGCCGAGGGCAACCGCGTGGAGCACCCGACGCTGGAGAACGTGGAGACGGCGTGCATTGGCTGGTTCACCCTGGAGTACCTGCTGCGCCTCTTCTCGTCACCCAACAAGCTGCACTTCGCGCTGTCCTTCATGAACATTGTGGACGTGCTGGCCATCCTCCCCTTCTACGTGAGCCTCACGCTCACGCACCTGGGTGCCCGCATGATGGAGCTGACCAACGTGCAGCAGGCCGTGCAGGCGCTGCGGATCATGCGCATCGCGCGCATCTTCAAGCTGGCCCGCCACTCCTCGGGCCTGCAGACCCTCACCTATGCCCTCAAGCGCAGCTTCAAGGAACTGGGGCTGCTGCTCATGTACCTGGCAGTGGGTATCTTCGTCTTCTCTGCCCTGGGCTACACCATGGAGCAGAGCCATCCAGAGACCCTGTTTAAGAGCATCCCCCAGTCCTTCTGGTGGGCCATCATCACCATGACCACCGTCGGCTACGGCGACATCTACCCCAAGACCACGCTGGGCAAGCTCAACGCGGCCATCAGCTTCTTGTGTGGTGTCATCGCCATCGCCCTGCCCATCCACCCCATCATCAACAACTTTGTCAGGTACTACAACAAGCAGCGCGTCCTGGAGACCGCGGCCAAGCACGAGCTGGAGCTGATGGAACTCAACTCCAGCAGCGGGGGCGAGGGCAAGACCGGGGGCTCCCGCAGTGACCTGGACAACCTCCCTCCAGAGCCTGCGGGGAAGGAGGCGCCGAGCTGCAGCAGCCGGCTGAAGCTCTCCCACAGCGACACCTTCATCCCCCTCCTGACCGAGGAGAAGCACCACAGGACCCGGCTCCAGAGTTGCAAGTGACAGGAGGGCCCCTCAGGCAGAGATGGACCAGGCGGTGGACAGATGGGTAGATGTGGCAGGCATGTCATCGACAGCACAGAAGGGCTGTCCTGTGTCCCCCCAACCCTCCCCTGGACAGACTCTGAAGGCCCTCCCGGCACCTCTGCCAAGGCTGGGTAAGACTCCTCTATGTTGCCTGCTGTCCAGGAGCCCGGGAGGGAGGGGTGTGCAGGAGCCGCAGGGCCGTGTGGGACGAGTGGAGGCCGCGGCCTGGCTGGCACGAGAGCCCACGCCCGCTTCTGTATCTCCCTCAATAAAGCCTCCTGCTCTGTGCACCCTCCGTGTTGTAGGTTCTGTCACAGGCTGGCTGTCACCCCCAAGAGTAGCTCAGGCACACTTCAGTGCCAGGCCAGGAGGTAGGTGTGCAGCCGGGTGGTGGGGGAGTTATTTTTAGTGGGAACTAATTAAAGAAGGGCTCATAGTCAGGTTCGGCGCCAAGGAGCCTTACCACATTCCTGGAGGCTCTGCAGGCCGTGCTTCCCTGCTGCTTCCTTCTGGGGTAAAGCTTGCTCCCCCTGCAGGCCCAGGATGGGGGAGAGTTCACAGTGCACGCCCAGCAGCCTGCAGCATTTAGTTATCACGTGCACCGGGCCCTTTTCACAACCTCTTTCTATTCCTTCCATTGACCCTACTAGCTAGGTATCTCCATTTTACAGATGAGGAAACTGAGGCCCAAGGTCACACAGAGAAGGGAACAATCCCAGGTCTGATGATCCCAAAGCCCATGTGTTCTCTCTGACACCAGGTGGTCTTGGGACAGAGGCATCTGCTTGGGCTCATGATGAGACAGTCTTTGGACCAGGAGAGGGGCTGATCTTCCTTGGTGTGGGGGTGCCTGTCCTCCAGCCCATCTTTCTAGCCCTGATACCTTTGAGATAGCTGCTGAATGGATAAACCCGAGTGTGGATGCCCCTACCCGTGTCCTGGTGTCTCACTGAATCTCCTCTGAGAGCCCCGAGGGAACAGATCAAACAGATCTGGGTTCGAAGCCCAGGCAGTGAAGAGGAACCCTGAGATGCCTTTGAGCTTAAACATTTTTCTCTAAGGCCTCTCCTCCACCACTCCCTTACCAACTTTGTGACCGTAGGCCTGCTGATTCATCTCTCTGACCCTCATTCTGATCATCTGGTAAATGGGAATATAATATTTAATAAGTACGGCAGAGAATCGTGGCTTTTAGCATGGCACCTGGCACTTAGTAAGTGCTCAATAAATAGTAGCTGTTTCTATTACTCTGTGCTGGGAGGGAGGTGGGTTGCACGGTTGCCCACTCTGACCTCCACTGATCTGGGCTGGGCTTGTAGGTGGGGGGAGGTTGGGGGCAGGGCATTGTCACACTGTCCTTAGTCAAAGGCTAAGAGTTGGCCCCAGCAGGCCCCTTCTTCTGGGTTTCCATCTTTCCTGAAACCCAGAGCTGTGTCCTTGCTTCTCTTGCTAAGGCAGCTGGTGCAGTGGGAGGAGCCCTGCAGTGGGGCAAGTGTGTGGGACTAGATGGGGGAGAGGGAGGTGGTGGTCCCCAGTCTGCCACCATCTCGGGCCAATTTTTCCCCTCCTCTGGGCGTAGGTTTCCCTATACGTATAATAAGACTTCTCGAGGCCCCATCTAGATCCGACCTTCGAGGATTCGGAAGCCTTAGGCTGTGGATGCTCTGTGGTGGGGACTCTGGAGGGTGGGAGGCTGCCATGTTGTAGGGGGCTTGGAGTGGGAGGTCTTGGGAGAGAGTTAGGGTCTGTGGAGTGCAGGGCTTAGCTGTAGAGCTAAAAGTGATGAGAGGGCCCCAGGTAGAGAGGGGCCTGGCCAGGGGGTGCAAGGCCAGGTGGGGCAGGAGTGTCAGCCCTGGCCTGAAAGGGGCTGTCCTGTGTCCCCCAGCCCTCTCCCGAACAGAGGCCCTCCCAGGCAAGACTCTTGTGTGGCTTTCAGTCAGTGCCGTGCACCCCTCCCTCACACGTTTCTCCAGGAAAATGCTGGGTCAGGGCCAAAAGGCAGAGGAGTCAGGAGGCAGGGGCTGGGGCAGCGGGGACCCACTGCAAGGGGGAGAGGGGCTGCACGCCCTCCAGCTGGGAAAGAGGGGAGGAGGGTTGTGGAAGGTACAGTCTGTGCACCCCCTGGGCTCAGTGGGTTTGCTGGATGTGTGGGTTGCCTCTTTTTGTTCCCCTTTTCCCCAGAGCCTGTGCTGGCCTGAGCGGGGGAAGCTCAGGGAGGGCGGGAGAGGCCAGGGTGACCCTGGCTCTGGAGGCCGCCTTCTCTGCACTCACCTGGGGCACCAGGGGAGGGAGGCGGTCAGTGAAGAGCAGATTTACGGCTACAAAGCCATGCATTGGAAGAGGAGGAGATCCAGTCCCAGAGGCGGTAGGTGTTTTGTCTGAGACCTTCATAAATTAGGATTGGACAGGATTCTGATCTCAGAGGAGCTCAGAGTGTAACAAATAGTTTCTCTACAGTGACATGTTGTGTTATGCAGGAGTGACCTGGGGACTCTGGGATCTAGGAGGAGGAGCAGTCTTCTTTCCCTGGGTAATCTCTCTGGGGCACGAGTTCTGGAACTCTGCTGTGCATTAGAACCACATGGGGAGCTTTAAAAAGTCCCACTGTTTAGCTGTTTAGGCTGCACCCCATACCTATTAAATTAGAATTTCTGGGGGTGACACCCAGGCAGGATTTTTTTTTTTTTTTTGAGACAGGGTCTTACTCTGTCACCCAGGCTAGAGTGCAGTGGTGTGAGCGTAGATTTTAAAGTTTAAAATGCACTTGAGCCATCCAGAGACCTTGTTAAAATGTAGTCTTTGAGTCTGTAGGTCTGGGTGGGTCCCTGGAATCTGCATTTCCAACAAGCTCTCAGATGAGGCTGAGGCTACTGGGCATGGACCCCACTTTGAACAGCAAGAGGGCAGAGGGGGTGCTGGCAAACTCTGGCTGTGGCCAATCTGATCTGCTACCTGTTTTGGTACAGTCCATGAATTAAGAATTGTTTCTATGTATTTACATGGCTGAAAAAATTCAAAGGAAGAATAACATTTTGTGACACGTGAAAAGTACATAAAATTGAAATTTCAGTGTCCACAAAACAAGTGTGGACTATTTATTTTCCATCCCCTATAGAAAATGATGTCTAAGTTAGGCCTTGAAGAATGAGTAGGAGCTCTCCCGGAAGAGGGAGTAGAAAGAACGTCCCACTCACCATGAACAGTGTGGGTGCCAAGACACAGGAGTGTGGAACCCGCTTCAGAGGGAGTGAGGCCCACTCTATAACCACAGGGCAGGTGCAGGAATCATAGTAAAAATATCTTCCTTTCTCATTGCATCCCAGGGCTCACAGCTCCCTGCTTTGTTTCCCACGGAGACCCCCGATTCCAGGTCCCCTGCAGCCAGCTCTCTGCTGTCCTGGCTTGTGCTTAAAGGCCACTGGCTTCTCTTCCTCCTTTCTTGACCTCCCATCCACAGTCTTGTAAAATCTCCCTGTCCTGGGGCAGTTGCCTCACATACTCTTCCCTGGTTTGGGTGACTCTCACAAGCTTCTTGTAACCTGCTAATAATGACTATTGAGTGAGAGGCAGATGTGTTTCTTGGAGTTGCAGAATGCGCAAGTTAAGAGAAAAGCAGGGCATCATCGGGTGCAAGCCCCTGTTGTACAGATGGGGACATGGTGGCTCTGAGTGTGTACGGCTGAGCGAGGCCTGCATGCCACAGCCTGGTGAGGGGCCCACCCCATTCTGATTCTCATAAAATTGGGAGCACTCTGTGCATGCCATTTCAAAAATAGAGACGTGTGAGTACAAGACTGTGTGTGTGTGTGTGTGTGTAAAAACAAATCAATTTCTGACTTTTAATGAAACGGCATGTGGTAGACACTTTCACAAACAATCCCCTTTTAGCCCCAAAATAACTCCGTGCAGTGAGCTATTAATCTGCAGTTTTACAGATGGGGAGACTGAGGCCCAGAGGGCAGAAGCAACAGGCTGATGGCCTTGCTGCTCGTTGGTGGCAGAGCTAGTAGCCGAGCCCAGAGCCTCCAGCTGACATTTATCTGGAGGCGGATTGTGCACCTCTCCCTGCTGCCATCAGAACTTGGCGCCCAACAGACCCCAATTAAGGTCTGACCTGAGCTTCCTAATAAGGCCACCATGTGATCTCTCTAGGGTGCCATCATCTGATCTCTCTAGGGTGACGTCATCTGATCTCTCTAGGGTGCCATCATCTGCTCTCTCTAGGGTGCCATCATCTGCTCTCTCTAGGGTGCCATCATCTGATCTCTCTAGGATGCCATCATCTGATCTCTCTAGGGTTCCATCATCTGATCTCTCTAGGGTTCCATCATCTGATCTCTCTAGGGTTCCATCATCTGCTCTCTCTAGGGTTCCATCATCTGCTCTCTCTAAGGTGCCATCATCTGATTTCTCTAGGGTGCCATCATCTGATCTCTCTAGGATGCCATCATCTGATCTCTCTAGGATGCCATCATCTGATCTCTCTGGAAGGCTTCACTTCATGAACTACGCTTTAGTTTTGGCACAGTATTTTTTTAAGGAAAGAAAAAGAAGGCAAACCCATTTCCTTGGAAGAGATGCTTGGGCCATGCGGAGTTCAGGATCCATCTTGGCAATTGTAGGAGGGTCTGGAGCCTAGAGCCCCCCATCTGGGGTCTGGAGGGACCCCATAAAACGAGGGAAACTGGAAAAATATCTGTGAAAATGGCAAGACCTAGAACTACTTCTCACACATTCCCTGATGAAACCTGGTGGGCGGCACGTAAGACACTAGCAATTGCCCCAGGGTTACAGGAAGGTGGTTCATTGACCTCATGGAGAGATACCAGCAGGAGGATGAGCCAGTGTGAGGAACACTTGAGAGGCAGTGCCCGGTCTCCCCTCATCCTGTGAAGGGCTGCCTGCTCCTCCCACAGCCCCCAGGCCCAGCCCTCTTCCCCCCAAGGGAGGATAATTAAATGTCTCCAAGCCTCCTGTCATCTCCCAGGAAGAAGAGGGCTGGGGGCATTTCCAGGGGCCTCCCACCTGTCTGCCTGTGCGGAGACAGCTCTGTGCTCCTCCGGAGAGCACATTCCCAGTTGACTTGAAAGGGGATTTCACCCATCCCTCAATCAGAGGTGGAAGTTCCCCCTAAATGCTTTTCTCACTTGGAGCAGCCCAAAATGTAGCTATAGAGAGGATGTCAGTTTCCAAAAGGAAAAAAACAAAACAAGGATTGGGAGGCTCTATGCTTAGTCATTTTCGTTTCTGAGGCTATCGCTATCGGCCAGCCGGGCTCGGCGCCAGGGCCGCCGTAATCATGATTTTATTCTACACTCCCAACAACTGGCCAGAAACGTTGATTGCTCCGACTTCAGGTGACACCTGTGAGGTCCCGTGAGTCCAAATTGCCTGTGGTCACGCGGCTAAAGAGACGTCAGTGCAGTCAGAGAGGGACTCCAGCTTGGGCCCAAGGGACTGCACAGCCCTCCGCCTCCCTCTCCACTTGCCAAGAGGGCCCTGTGCCTGCGGCCCTGAGGGCCAGTGTCCGTCCCCAAGGAGCGAGGATGGAGCCCACCACTGCCAACCCTTCACTCCAGCTTAGCCTCTAGGTCACTTCCCTGGCACAAAGGTAGATTGCAGGTGAAGGAAAGACCAGCCCTGCTGGGGCGCCTGCTGGCAGCCACACCTCTTCTCCCCAAACACAAAGTATTATGCCTGTTGTCAAGGGCTTGGTTGGGAAGATGGGGACTGTGCTTGCAATAGCGGCAGCCCAGACCCGGGAGAGGTGCAAATATTAATATATCTAGGCCGGGCTTCTGCTGGTGCGTCTGTTAGCGAAGTTGTCACTAGAAGCCAAGGGCTTTGTCTGTTGTAGTCCCATTGCTGGATTCAGCAGAATGGGTCTGACCTTGGAGCACCAGCCCCAGGAGAGGCCCCACGGAGGCTGTCGGGCAGCCAGGTTGCAGGTAGACTGGAGCCGTAGGGAAGCATCCGCAGCTTGCACCCACACCTTGCTCCAGAGTGGGTAGCAAGTGCGAGCCAGATTCCTCCCCCTCCTTCGCTTCAGTCTCCCTGGCCACATGGCCAAGTGCAGGCTGCTGAGCCTGCCGGAAAGGCCCTCCACGGCTCCAAAGACCTCTCCAGCGTCATCTCCCATGCTGCTACCCTCAGCCCTCCCTAGCACCGAACGCTCCCTGCTGTGCACAGGTGTTTCCTGTTGTCCCTGTCGCCCTTCCCCCAGTCCTCCACCTGTCAGAACGCTGCCCCCACACTCTCCTCCTCGGAGGTGACACTGCCCCCACACAGCCTAGGGAGGGGCCTGGCTCTGTGGGGCAGAATCTGGGCTGTGGAGATCCTATGGTCAACCCACCTCACTCCACACAAGGAAAGCATCTCAGGAGGTCATGTGACCATCGGGAGTCACATGTGGGAACGAGGCTCCTGATCCTGTCTCTACACTCACTTTCCAGCTCTGTTCCAACTCCATCAACCCTCACCCACGACTGCCCACAGGTGTAGGCCCAACCAAGTCAGAGGTGAGGATTGAGAGATGAGACTGAAAGACAGCCCCAGGAACAGCTTCCCGTCACCCATGTGTGGTGTGGCAGGCATCAGAACAAGGCCGGGGCTCGCCAGCCCCAAGTGCTTTGCCCATAGTCTCCTGTTCATGTCAAACCTTTGTGGAAGCCTCTTGGCCTTTTAAAGACCTGAAGTTCACAGCCAGACTGAGGGATCCTCTGCTTCTCATGAAGCTGGGAGCACACCATACACGCACAAGACCTTAGTGCATGCGTGCGTGTGCCTGTGTGTGTGTGTGTGCGTGTGTGTGTGAACAGATTCTTTCTTGCCCTCTGAGTGAAAGGACGAGGACTACTGCATGCTGCCTCCCTTTGTAGCTGATCACCTTCCGCAAAAATCTGCTTCACAGCCAGCAAGGCAGGGGCCATAGACTGCTCCACTTCCCGTGCCTGGAAACACCAGCCGCGTTCTGGCCCTGGGACCAGATGGGCATAGAACATGTGGGGGAGGAGGCCCCAAACATCCTCAAGAGCTGGCTGCTCAGAGCACAGGCAGAGATGGCAGAGGGACGGACCGAGAGTTGGCCTCTCTCAATGACCGACTCTGTGTCCAGCTTGTGCACATTTCCCAGAAACCTGAAGCTCGAGCGCCTAAGTGGCTTGTCCAGGCTCTCCACTGACCCGCGGCACAGTGGCTGGGCCAGGGCATGCACCCCAACCTGGGGAACATGTGCCTCCCTGTTGTGCCTCATGACACCTTTGGGCTGCCCCTTGTGGGACAGTGACCTGAGCTGTGGTGTGAGTCCCAGGGTGACAGGTTTGTGTTCGGGTCACAGGTGTACCTTCTGGCAGCCGGGGCAGTGCCTGGCACATAGTTGGTACATAACGAATGTTTATGGGATGGACCCACTCTGTGCACGGTGCTGTGCCCTGGGGTGGCCACACCCAGAACTTCTCGTCCTCAAATTCTGCATGTGGCTGTCTTGTCTGTTGATGATGGGGTCCGTGTCTCACCTCCATGCCCTGTACCTAGCTGCCAGTGGCTGCCAGCACAGAGAAGTGCCCTCTCTAAATGCTCACATTGAATACTTGAGCCCCTAATGGCATCCTTCGTGAGGAAGCTCAGACTCCTTGGTCAGAAAGTTCCAGTAATGAGCATCTGCCCAGCTGGGATGCACCTCTGCAGAGCTCTGCCTTTGATCCTGGGCCCCTGCCCGGCCCAGTGAGGGAAGACCCTCAGGCCAGCCACAGACCTGGGGTTGTGTCTGGGGGCCTGTTTCCACGGAGCTACACCCATGTGGCTCACCCTCTCTGCCTTCCCTCCTGGGGCAGCCCCACTGTGGCCCAGAAGCTGGAGCCCCAGGATCTAGCCTGCGATGCGTGCCCTCTGCAGGCTGCTCCTCTCGTTCTCTGGCCTGTTTGCCTCCCTAGAAAGGGAGAAGGGTGCTCTTTCCTTTGGTCACAGAACATCCCTCCACATCTCCCAGAACCAGTGTGTTGAAGGATACCCTTTGAGAACTGTTGGCCCTGGTATTTTCTTCCTTTTTTTAAAAATGTTCTTTTTAAAAGTGTCATTACTATAAATTTTTTCTAACACACAGAAAAATAAATTCTATCATCAAAATAACCACTACATACACGTTCTTAGTATTTCGCATTTTGTTAAACCTTTTAAACGTGTCAGACACGCAGACGCGTTTCCCTGAAGACTTCATCATGCAGCTCCAAAAATAAAATAACCACAATGTGATTTCCACACCTGACAAAATCACCAAGCATTTTCTAAGCTCCCCCCTAAAGCTTTCCACCACCCTGTTTTGTGGAGGGAGGAAGAGAAGGCCTGGCCAGCTCCCAAACACCTCAGGGCACCAGAGTGGAGCTGGAGCGGGTGTCCCTGCTGCCACCTTAACTGAGTCCCTCCCTGTTAGCCCCCAGTCTCTCCTCGGCATGATGGATCACAAGGCTTTGCCTGCTCTCTGCCCTCCCAGTGCGGGCAGGAAGCACTGAGAGGTTTCCAGAGATTTTCCCTGAGCAGAGCCAGGGCAAGGCCGGCAGGTGAGGGCTCCGCAGCCCAGCCACAGGCGGCACGGTGGGGGCTCACTTCAGAGTAGGGGACGCACTGAGAGCAGGCAGCATGTGCTGTGCAATGGTGCTGGGAGATGGGAGGGGATGCTTCCGTTTCCTTTAACATTCGCAGCCCTTTCTCCGTAGCCCCTCCTCCGTAGCCCCTCACCTGCTCTCTGCTTCCAGTGGGTCCTGGCCATGTCCCGCCTTCCTCCTGGGGGATGGTCTGAGGTGACACCAACCCTGGGATACACAGTCCCCTCCCCTCCCACCCCCACTGCACTTTCTGAGGAAAGAGGGCACCTCAGAGGCCAAGAATGTGTGAACCCACAGGGCCAGAGGGTCCCAGCCTCACCCGCTGTAGCCTGGTTTGCCGCAAAAGCCCACTCACGTATCGCTTGCCTCCAGTCTCGGCCATTTTCTACATAACAAAGGGATTTGTCAAAAGAACCCCCAGCTTGAGCAAGGCATCGCCTTGCTTAAACCCCCAGTGCCCTCGGGGTGAGGCCCAAACTCCTTGGCATCCCTTGGAAGCTTCTCTCCCTGTGCTCACACGGGGTGCTTTGGTGGCAAGTGACCAGGAAATCTGAGCCACACTGACTTAAAGCTAAGAGAAGGTGGACTTCAGGCTGGGCTCCATCCAGGGGCTCGGCTCCCTTCTCTGCAGTTGTCCCAGCTCTGCCTCCTCCACACGTGGGCTGGTAGAAAGACAGCTGCAGCAGGCATGTGCCTCACCTCTCCAGCGGCACCCAGAGCCGGGAGAGGCACTGCCTCCTGCAGCCTGCTCCAGAGCGAAGAAAGCATTCCCCAAAGCCCCCTGCAGATAGCCCTTACTTTTCACTGGCAGACATTGGATGATATGCTCGTATTTTAGTCCATTCTTGTGTGCAGGGGACAGCCATTTGCTGAGGCCTGGGTTTCTGCAGCGCTCACACAGGGTCAAGATTACTGTGACTGGCTTGGACTATTCAGATCCTGTGCCAGGTGTCAATCCCCAGACTGCATGGGGTGAGGGTGGGCTGAATGGTGGGATGGTGGGGAGACTCCACGGCCCTCTCCTTTGTCTACGCAATACTCACACACACATGCAGTTCATTTTTATTAAGCATCTACTATCTGCTGGGTGTCATTCTAGCACCTGGGGGTAGCACAGTGAATGACAAAGCACAAAGCCATGCCTGATGGAGTGTGTACAATATGTAGTCTTCAATGTCCACATGGGCTGACACACCTTTCATATATACATGAAATTCAAACATCTTCCCCAAGGCAGACTCGGAGGCACGGGCAGTCATTGTCTCCAGGCGGCCCACCAGGCCTTTGCAAAATGCCTCTGTCCCCTTCAGGTCTGGATGTCGAGCCTCAGGGTTTGACGATTTCTGGTCACAGAAAATCATCTCTACCCACACACTCGAAGTACCCAGTGTTGGAGAAAGGGCAGGAAAATGATGTTCAAAGTTTACATTTGGAAAACAGGCAGCCTAGTTGGCCCTGGCCCATAGCACTTATCATACACTGGGGAAAAAAGCACTGCTTCCAAAACAGCCGGGCACTCTTTGCTTCTGCACTTTGGGAAAATATCCCTGGTCCACTCTCCTACCCTGTCCTTGGTCTGTCCCCTGGGAGACTTCCTTCATGACTGTCCTCCAACATGGCGATGAGGGTCCCTGCCAGGCCCGCATGGGTCTAGCAGCCAGGAGCAGGTCTGGGGCCCACCTTCTGTGTTGCGTAGACCAGGCTTTGGTCGGCTGTGTTGAGGATTTCTTTGACACCTCTCCCTTCAATGCTTAGTAGGCTTCCTGCTGATTCTGTGATTTCCAGGAGATACAAGATCTTGTCCAGCCTTTTTCCCGTGGGAACACCTCTGTCCCAGCAGCAAGACTCTGCACCTGCCCATCCCCGCTGGACCTCAGCTTAATGGCCTCTCTCTTCATCTTGTTAGGCTAGGAGTGTGCCCCCTTATCTCCCATTGGCAACTCTTGGCTCCCTTCTGCTAGCATGAATTTTTGTGTAGAATTTGACCCTAGCAAACACCCCATGGCTGCTCACTGGCCAGAACTGGGACATTCCTGTGGCTGGGGCCAGCCATGCCCTGACTGGAGTAGGGCTGGGTTCTGGTCACCATGTGGGAATTACAGCAAGGAGGAGAGGATGCTGAGGAGAGATGGCTGTGGTGCTGCCGAGGACTGCGGGGCAGGCAGCAGCATCGCCGCACCCAGACTTTCCTTACACCTCTTGGCAATTACTGTGCTGCTCCTGCCAGGGAGGACAAGGCGCAACAGCCCCATGGTTCATGGTTATGCTTTGAGGCACATCTTCTTGGTCACCTCCCCCAGGAAGCCTTCTCTGACCACACAGTCTGGGCGTGCTGTCCTTCTCTGAGTTCCCTGGCCTCTTCTGATCAGAGCGCCTAGCTCCTTGTCTTGTCACTGCTGCCTGTCTTCCCTCCCCCGACCCCCCTACCCATGTTAGTGCCTCAGGCCACGGGCTGTGTCAGGTCTCCCTGCCTCACAGAATTGACTAGAAGCACACTGCACATTTCGGGGAGATGTGTTTCCAAGAAGCCCTAAGCCCAGCCTGGCCCAGGGCCTCAGTGTGTGTGCAGTGAGTGAAGAGGTTGGTAAGGGGCTGAGCAGGGCTTCATGGGAGGGCCTGGCTGCTGTTGGAGCAGGGAGGGCCAGAAGCTCCTGCCCAGCAAGGAGGGGTCCCCTAAAGGCACTCACCTGTGTGTTGGCACCTGCTACCATCTCTGAGGCAGAGGAGAGGGGACATGAGCTTTGCAGTAGCTCTGTGTGTGCCCATGCACAGGGCTTCTCTCCATGCCTCACTGGGATGAGTCCTGGGTGTGACTGGAGCCAGGGTGGGATTTGGGGAGCTCCCAGGGTGGGATTTGGGGAGCTCCCAGGGAGGGATTTGGGGAGCTCCCAGGTGGGATTTGAGGAGCTCCCAGGTGGGATTTGGGGAGCTCCCAGGGAGGGATTTGGGGAGCTCCCAGGTGGGATTTGGGGAGCTCCCAGGTGGGATTTGGGGAGCTCCCAGGGAGGGATTTGGGGAGCTCCCAGGTGGGATTTGGGGAGCTCCCAGGGAGGGATTTGGGGAGCTCCCAGGGTGTGTCCCCAGCCCTGCCTCTGTCCCAGGAACACTCTGTCAGAGGGGGTCCACCGACAGCTTGATAGGAGTCCACTAGCGAAGAACAAACACCCTTTCTGGTTTGGAGATCTCTGGTATCCCAGGACCTGGAGTCAACAAAGGAGATCCCATTTCTTGCTTATTTGGAACCATTAGAAGTCTTTCCAGACATTCTTCAAAAAGCTCCCCCTGAAACACACATCCGAGGGATCACCCCTCTGCCTAAAGCCTTCCATGGCTCCCCATTACCCTGGGGGAACATTTGAGCTGTTCAGAGTGTCTCCCACACTTCACTGTCTGCACCACCCTCCTCTCCAGCACTCCACATGATCACAACCATGTGAAGCTGGAAGTCAGGGTTTCTCAAACTCGGCACTAGTGACACTTTGGATATGATAGTTTTTTGTTTGGGGGCTTGGTTGGGGGCTGCGTTGTGAGTTGTAGAATGTTTAGCAGTCCCCCTGGCCTCTACCCATTAGATGTCAATGGTATTCTCCCCACCGTCCTATGGCGACAACCAAAAAGTCTCCAGACATCGTGAATGTCCCCCAGGGGCAAAATCACCCAAGCTGAGAACCACTTCTTTAAAAGCCAGCGGGGCTCGCTCTCTTTTTTCTAAACTCCAGGGGGCTCTGCCTGGAGCCCGTTGCTCTCTTTGCCCTCTGCCTGCTTAGAGCCTCCCCCAGGTTCGTCAGTGATCAGTTTCGATGTTACCTTCCTTCGGACACCTCTGGGCTGTCCCCTGCGCCCTGGCCGCCTGGATGGCTCTCCCAGGCTCCCTGGGTAGGGCTGGTCATCTCCTTCTAGAGATGGGGTCACTGAGACTTGAAGAGATGCGTGACTTGTCCCAGGCAATACAGAGAAGGCTGCCCTGGAGCCCAGGCTCAAACTCCCTTCCAGCCACAAAATGCGGTCTAGACATGGGATGGGACATTATCATAGAAAGGAATGCGGTGCTGACATACGGATGAATGAAGCTTGAAAACATCACGCTGAGTGAAAGAAACCAGTCACCACCGTGATTCCATTTATATGAAATGTCCAGAAACGGCAAGTCTGTAGAGACAGAAAGTGGCTGAGAGGGGAAGAGAAGCAAAGGGAGAAAGGAGAGATAGGGAGGTGATAGCTATGGGGTACAGGGTTTCTTCCTGGGGTGATGAAAATGTTCTAAAATTGACTGTGGTGATAGTAGCAAGTATCTGTGAATATACTAAAAACCAGTGATTTGTAAACTTTAAATGGGTGAATTGCATAGTATGTAAATTATATCTCAAAGCCATTACAACACACATTCACACACACATACACATACACACAAACCTTGACTAGAGATTGCAAATTTATCATGCTATCCATTTTATTGTAAAAAGAATTTTTTTTTCCAAAACCCTTCCACCTATTTATTTGTATATGGTTTTGAAGTGAGATGATTACATTTCTGGTAGTCTAGTGCCTTCAACTAATGGTTCCCAAACTTTCAGTGTGTGTTAGCATCGCACGCATGGCTTGATTTGCTGAAAGACACAAAGCTAAGCCTGTCCCAGGGCTTCTGATTCAGTGGGCCTGGGGTCAGCCCGAGGGTCTGCCTTTTTAACACACACACAGACAGGTAGCCTGATGCTGCTGGTCCCTGGATAGCACTTTGAGAACCAGTGCCTTGCTGAGTTCTCATATTAGTTCTAATGACTGTTCAGCTGCTTTCCTTTGATTTATAGGTTTCAAAAATCATATTATTGTCAGGCACGGTGGCTCACACCTGTCGTCCCAGCTTGGGAGGCTGAGGTGAAAGGCTTGCTTGAGCTCAGGAGTTCGAGGCTGCAGTGAGCCATGATCATACCACTGCACTCCAGACTGGGCAACAGAGAAAGACCTTATCTAAAAACAAAAAAAATCATATTATCTGCAAAGGACAGTTTTGTTTCTTCACTCCTACAATTAAGTGCCATTGTGTCTTGCTTTTCTGCATAGGCTGGGATCTCTGTAGCCTGTGGTTTTCAGCATCTTTTCTCTGGTGATGTCTGCTTCTGGTAGATCTCAAGTTAAGGAAGCTTCGTTCATTTCTAGGTTTCAAAAAGTTGTTTAAAATTCAGCGTTGAACATTTACATCTTTTTAAGTGTTTCTTCATTATCTTTTTTTTTTTTTTTTGAGACAGAGTCTCACTCTGTCACCCAGGTTGGAATACAGTGGCCCAAGCTCTGCTCACTACAACCTCCGCCTCCCAGGTTCAAGCAATTCTCCTGCCTCAGCCTCCTGAGTAGCTGGCATTACAGGTGCACACCACCACACCCAGCTAATTTTTGTATTTTTAGTAGAGACAGGGTTTCACCATGTTGGCCAGGATGGTCTCAAACTCCTGACCTCAAGTGATCTGTCCACCTTGGCCTCCCAAAGTTCTGGGATTACAAGCATGAGCCACCCAGCTCTCCATTATCTATTGGAATGATATATTTTCATGTATTTTATATGTCTTTAATGTATTTCTGTGAAGATTAATGATGAAATGATTTCCTAATGTTTACATACCCTTCCATTCTTGGAGTAAAAGCTATATGGTCATAATGCATTTTTATTTTAATTCGTGGCCAGATTCTGCTTGCTAATGTTTTATTTAAGATCGTTGCCTAAATATTGTTGAGTGAGATTGGCTTATAGTTTTCTAGTTTTGGGCTATCTTCTTCAGGTGTTGGTATCCGGGTTACACTAGCCTCATGAAATGAGACAGACAACTTTATCTCTTAGTCCATACTTTGGAACAGAACATGGTAATTACTCCCAATCCTTTGAGGCTCAAATTCTTAACCCAGCCCACAGGGCCCACAAGGCATGTGTCCACCACCTACCTCCCAGCCTCCCTGTCTATTGCTCTCTCTTCTTCTTACTCTACCCTCTCATATCTTGGTTTTCTTTCATTCTCTGGCTCCCCCTGCCACAGGGCTTTTGCACATGCTGCTCCCTTGATGGAAACATTCTCTCCGCTGTTTAACTTGTTTACGTCCTTCAGATTTGGGTGGAATCCTTGTCTCTTTCCCTGATCTCAAATGTGTCTAAGCTACACTCTAACTGCACCCTGTGCCTCTCTTCTGATGCTCATCACACTTGCAATTTTACCTTTTTTTTTAATTTATAGAATTCATATCTGTCTCTTACACTAGACTGGCAGCTCTTTGAGGACAGGGATTGAGATTCTGCATGCTATTGAACCTCCACCTCCCACCCAAGCATGCTACACACTGTCTGGCACATAGTAGGTGCTCAATAAATACGTGATGAATGAATGAAGGCATTTGCCCCTCGCTATGAAGGACCCATTTTAGCTTGCTTATATCAATAACACTTCCCAGCAGCCCTAATCTCTACCAGGCACATTTTATTAATAAAATGTTTACTTCTTCTCTAGTTACCATTACTGCTTTACGTCACATGCTTAAACTTCGGTTTCTCAGAATATCAGCTCTAGTCGGTATCTCCTGGATTCCCCTATGTGAAAATCCCCTAGGCCCCACTAGATCCCCCTGCCTTTTCTCCCCGCTCACTGCCCACTTCCTGGCCCCCACCTCTCATTGCTACATTGACAAGCTTTAAAACACAAACACTCTGTTCTGCGACTATAGTTATTTCTGTGCTTTGACAACCAGCTGATTCTAAACAAATTTAAACCAATAATCAGTGTTTTTAATATAATGATTATGCAACTATTCTTCACTGCAGATGCAGAGGATAGAACGGATGGAATCCCGTTCTCTACATCCGCAGATGTAAATGTCAATTCCATCCATTTCATTCTCTACATCTGATGCCACAGGATGAAGAAGACAGCGTGTAATTTTTACAAATTTCGTATTTTGATATGCCTTCTTCTTATCACTAGGATTATGCAGCTTTTTCATTCTAGTGTTTGTTAAAGACAAATGTCCTTTTCCTCTTGGAGACATTCTTTTCAGGACCTTCTAATTTCCCGATTGGATTTGTACCATTTGCTCTTGGGGTTGGTGGCACAGTTGCCATCCATGATTTCTTTTTCACGTAGCTTCCTGGGTTTGGTGGATAGTTTCTTAGTTTCTTAGCTACTGCATCATTTTCCTTCTTGGATTCCTTTTTGGATTTGCTGGGAATATACCCTTGGGTGCATCTTTCAGGATAGATCTATGGATGATAGACTTTCTGAGTCTGTATGTTTGAATATGCCTTTATTTTGCTTTCACACAGGACTGACAGTTTGGCTGCATGATGCTTTCTGGCTAATTTATCTGAAGTCAATCTGCTTTCTGTTCCTTTTCAGGTCATTCGGTTTTCCATCCTGGAGGCTTTTAGAATTCTCTGTATCTTTGGAATTCTGAAACTCTTTCACAACCTGAAATTTCACCTAGAAAGTAAACTTTTTCCACTGAACACTTGGCAGGGACTTTTACTTTGAAGACTCAAATCTTTCTTTAGCCCAGAGAAATTTACTTCTACTGTTGCTTTCTTTCTCTCCTGCATTTCTTCTGTTTTCTTACCCAAGCACTCTTATTGACTTAGTGTGCGTGTGTATGTTTTATTTTGTGTTTTTGTTTTGTTTTGTTTTTTTGCCTTTTTGCTCTATGTTTGAAGATTTTGTTGGCTTTATCTATCTTTATCTATAGATATAGATTATCTATA